>NC_000006.12:34908484-35211515 GCF_000001405.40 Homo sapiens
TTATCTCTAAGTGCTTTATTTCTAAGCCTGAGAGAGAGACAATTCAAACAATAAAAAAGTTGTTTCAGTTTCAACAGGATTGTGGTTGTACTTTGTTTGTTGGTTGAAAAAATATGTTGTGACAGAATGATTATGAACTCGGTAACTCTCTGAAATAAACTTGTGTTTTATTAAATATAGTAGCTTCTCTGTACCTTAGGGGCATCATAATATATTATTCTGTGACATTTATTCTGCCTACTGCTGGTGCTTGGTGTACGAATGCATTTGCTGACCCTTTACAATAACAACATGGCCCCAGGACAGAGTCACCGTTTTAAGTATGCAGACATGCTTTTTGACTTCCAAGCCTCATCTTTTGGGTTGTCTTCTGTCACAGGGGAGTGTGTTTCTTTTATTAGTAAAGAAAAAAAAAAGAAAAATTATTGTACCACTAGAAATATGGCTAAAAATTATTGAAGTATAATTTACATACAGTTAAGCACTTGGATATTAAATGTACAGACCAATGTATTCTTACCTACATACACATCTGTTATCATCATGAAGATAACATTCCAGTGCCCCAGAAGTCTCCTTTGTGTCACCTGCTAGCCAAAAATGCCGTCCTTGAGGTTATCACTGTTCTGACCTTGATCACCATAAATTTTTGCCTGGGGACATGTTTCTTTTTCTCCACCGTACACCCATGTTCATGCAGAACAGTGGAGTGGGAGCAGGGCAGGGTCTGTATGTGCCAAATACTACACTAGACACATTCCCAGACTTAAATAAATTCTCCCGTAAAACACAGACCTGGGCTTATATAACTTGTCTAAACTCAATCCCATGTCATTGATGCCAAAGTCAGTGTTTTTTCCATTGCGCCATGCTCTATGTCTTCAACTGACATTTGCCATAATCATTATCATTATCATTAATGAAAAGTCATCTGACACTTGCCAGTAGTTTATATGATCAAAGAACATCAGTTAACACCCAGTTCTCATTTCTAAGTGCGTTTAAATGGTCAAGAGCTTTTAACATAACTCTCTTGGGAAGCAGAATGAATTAAGTTAATTTAGAACCAAAAGATAATGGCAATTTCTTCATTTAATGAGTGCCTTGTTTGTGCAAGATCACGTGCTGGCCAACGGAGTTATAGAGAGAAAAGAAGTCTCAATCCCAGCTTTGTGATCTTCTGATGGGGGAGATAGAGAATAGTGTGATGAGTGCTATGAAACAGAGGGATGCTGGAGCATCAGAGAGGAAACAAGGGGCAGGGCTGGGGAAATGTTCCTCCCCGAAGGGATGAGGTCTGGGTGGAGTATTAGAACTAAAAGGAGTTGTACAGACAAAGAAGGGGAAAAGCGAGAGTTATTTTAAGCTGGAGTGTGTGTACAGTGTGGTGGCTCAGTGTGTGCGAAGAATGGGTGTCTGGAAGCATTGTGCATTGAGACGACTGCAGGTAACTGCCTGGTATGTAGGAGGGAGAGGGGTTCTGTGGAGTAGAAAGAGATTAGCTGGGGTAGTAACAGAGGTGAGATGCCCATGTAAAGGAGTTGGATTTTACATTGACAGTAGTTATGGATTTGCAATTTAGGAAGATCACTTCAGATTTTTGGAAGATGGATCAAAGGAGTTGAGATTAACTAGGAGTGCAAAATGATTAGGGCCTGAAGGAAGGCAGTACCAGTGAGTATGAAGAGGAAGCTAAATTTGAAATATTCAGGAGGAATGAACAGGACTTGGTGACTGTTGATTTGCAGTTGAGTGGGTGATCTCTCCTATGACTTTGCATCTAAATAGGATATTACAGGCGGGTCACAGTGGCTCGTGCCCTGTAATCCCAGCACTTTGAGAGGCTGAGGCGAGAGGATTGCTCGAGCTCAGGAGTTTAAGGCCATCCTAGGCAACACAGGGAGACCCTGTCTCTACAAAAAATTTAAAAATTAGCCAGATGTGATGGTCCCTGCAGTCCCAGCTACTCAGGAGACTGAGGTGGGAGGATCACTTGAGCCTCGGAGGTGGAGGCTGCAGTGAGCTGTGATCACACTACTACTACACTCCAGCCTGGGCAACATAGCCAGACTCTGCCTCATAAAAGAATGAATGGGCTGGGTGTGGTGGCTCATGTCTGTAATTCCAGCACTTTGGGAAGCTGAGGTGGGCAGATCACCTGAGGTCAGGAGTTCGAGACCAGCCTGGCCAACATGGTGAAACCTCGTCTCTACTAAAAATACAAAAAATTACCCAGGCGTGGTGGTGGGTGCCTTTAGTCCAGCTATGCAGGTGGCTGAAACAGGAGAATCACTTGAATTCAGGAGGCAGAGGTTGCAGTGAGCCGAGATTGCACCACTGCACTCCAGCCTGGGTGACAGAGTGAAACTCCATCTCAAAAAAAAAAAAAAAGAAAGAAAGAAAAAGAAAAAAGAATGAATGAATGAATGAATAGGATATTACAACATAAAATGGGAGAGTGGGGTTTTGTGGAAGGACTGGAGTTTTGTAAGGGATAACTGAAATGAAACACTTTTTTCCCTCTCTAGTAGAAGGGTAGTATTCATTTTAGAACAGCTCCATTACTTATTTTGGTGTGCACAGGAGTTTGTAGATGGAGACCTACAGTGGTATGGTAACTATTTTTTTAAGCAGGCAGATAAGTCAAACTTTTGGTTTATCTTTTGTTTATCATGGTGAAAGCTAAGTCTCCAAATGGTTGTTTTTGTTTCCACAGCAAAGACCTGTGAACCTCTGAACTGAGTGGGAATTAGTGGTATGAAAGAAGAAAAGACAGGCCCTTCCTACTCCTTTCAGGGTTTATGTAGTTATTTATTTACCGACATGTGTGCAGAAAGCCAAATCGGTACTTTTTGTGAAATGGAATATAGTTTAGATTCAAAGGATTTTATCAAGCTTAAAGCTAACCCTGTTTTTGCTTTGGCCTGTGTTCTGCTGTAATAATCTCCTTCCTTGTGCACAGGATAACAGTGGGGGGGATCCTTAAACTGGCAGGGGTATTATTTAGCCACCCAGGCCTTCTTCAATCACACTGAGAGTCCTGGTTCTTGGCTATGAGAATGTCTCCTCATGAGGCTCAAGGACTATGTGCATAGGATTGAAAACTTCTAGAAAAGGCAAAACAAATTCTCCAGGCTTTGTGATTGGCATTGTCTGGAGTCCTCACCCTGAACGGTCATTAAGAAACCCAAATTATACCCTTTATGCTGAAAGGAAGCTTTTCTCTTCAGCTAGCCAAAATTTAGTCGTCTGCTTATGCCAACTCCCGATTTCCTGTTACTATAAATCCTTGACAGTTTAGAATGAAGAATGGTGGTGTGTAGGGCAGAGAATCCTTGTTCAAATGAATAGCAGAGCAATGGCAGTATACCCCTTGGGTCATATATAATAAAACTACAGGATAGGTTTCTTGCCCTTGAAATCTCATTGTAATAGTGCTGTGAGCCACCAAGAGTTTCCGCCATTCTAGTTTTCAGGTTGTGTTCAGGAACCATTAATACTTTCGCAATAACACAAGTTCTTGTTCATCCAGGGATGTTTATTTCAGCGTTAAATTGTAAGTAAACAAGCATGCTACAATTTATGAAAGCTGAGTATGTGACCTCTGTTCAGTGTCAGGATGAAATCAAACGCTCATAATCTGACACCTTGAATGATTTGCGTGATCATTGTTGTACTGCATGATTATTAGGTAAACAGTTTATGTAAGTAACTATAATTAGTTATAATTTTTACATGGCCAAATCAAATGTTCACAGTTTCTTGTTTATTTATTTGTTGGTTCTCCAGCATCTGTAATTAGCATCACTGTCAGCATTTTTCATTGATACCTGTGTAGACTGTGTCCTCATCACTTGCTGGTTACCTTATGTTAAAAAACCAAGTCTAGGTTTTCTCCCTAGCAGTCCTTTAGAAGGGACGGGTGGTCCTCGGCTCTATTCTCTCTCACTATCCAACCTCAACCTCAGTAGGGTCTTCAGGGAGTAGGAGCTCCAGACCCTGGGACCGTGTGGCCTGCCCAGAGGTTCAACAGCACACTGTTGGGATGAGAGAGAGGCCCCTTCACCTCTGAGAAGGAATGAACAACAGATTTTATTTTAGAGTACTGTATAGATTGAAATAACTGAACATTTCTCACCTAACAGATAGTAAGGATTTCAATAGACATTTATTTGCAGAATTAGTTTTCTACCACAAAGTCGATTGGGGTTAGAAAAAGGGGTGCACTAGTAGGGATTCTTTGATACTGTGGTTAGATGGTCATTGAAAAGAAAATGATACATTTTGGATGGATTGAAAAGCGAAATTGATTTTGGATGACATTTTTGACTGGCTTTTGTGTATTTGTGTGGCATGCAGCAGTGAATGGCTGTGTTTGGTGGTTAGATGCAGAACATTTCTTGTGGTTCTGCTGGCTGTGTGTGTATTGCCTGTTTTGATTGTGGTTAACCTGACTCACCATTTGGTTCCTTAAGGTTGAGTTTCCTTTCCTGTCCTTTATGAACATCGTCACCTTGTTCAAAAGGGAACTTTATCCTTTCTTTTCAAACGTTTACTGAGTTTCTGTTCTGTGTTAGGCCCTGTGTTAGGAGCCAGGTACAGAAAGATGATCAAATATCTTGACTTTAAATAATACCTTTCACATTTACCTCTTTAATCTCAGGTAGCCCTAACAACCCTGTAAAATTGAAAAAGGTTGTTCATGTACCCCCCAATATAAATAACTAGTCACAGAGAAATGAACAGACTTCAGGTTACACATTGTAATAGTGACTGAGCTGAAGCCTTAGTGTTTTGACCCCACCCCTACCCATTCACTAGTTAGGAGAGTCTAAATAAAGTAGGGTTGTTTGTTTGTTTGTGACAGGGTTTTGCTGTGTTGCCTAGGTTGGAGTACAGTGGCATGATCATAGCCCTCTGCAGCCTTGACTTCCCAGGCTCAAGCAATCCTCTGGCCTCAGCATCCTGAGTAGCTAGGACCACAGGCATGTGCCACTATGCCCAGCTAATTATTTTAGTTTTTGTAGAGACAACAGGGTTTCAAACGCATGAGCTCAAGTGATTCTCCCGCCTTGGCCTCTCAAAGTGCTAAGATTACAGGCATGAGTTACCATGCCTGGCCTAAACAAAATAGTTTGTTGTTGTTGTTGTTGTTGTTGTTGTTGTTTTTGAGACAGAGTTTTGCTCTGTTGCCCAGGCTGGAGTACAGTGGTACAATCTTGGCTCATAACCTCCGCCTCCCTGGTTTAAGTGTTTCTCATGCCTCAGCCTCCCAAGAACTGGGACTATAGGCGTGCACCACCACACCCAGCTAATTTTTGTATTTTTAGTAGAGATGGGGTTTCACCATGTTGGCCACACTGGAAGTGATCTGCCCACCTCAGCTTCACAAAGTGCTGGGATTACAGGTGTAAGTCACTGTGCCCAGCCAATAAAGTAATTTTTTCTTTTGAGATGGAGTCTCGCTCTGTTGCCCAGGCTGGAGTGCAGTGGCGTGATCTTGGCTCACTGCAAGCTCCGCCTCTCAGGCTCATGTCATTCTCCCGCCTCAGCCTCCCGAGTAGCTGGGACTACAGGTGCCTGCCACCACGCCCAGCTAATTTTGTTTTTGTATTTTTAGTAGAGACTGGGTTTCAACATGTTAGCCAGGATGGTCTCGATCTCCTGACCTCGTGATCTGCCCGCCTTGGCCTCCCAAAGTGCTGGGATTACAGGTGTGAGCCACCTTACCCAGCCAATAGTTTTTGAATCTAAAATTGATCAATCAGGAAGCATGACATCTACCCAAAGAAATTTATGTAGACATTTAAAAAATTCATACAAATGATTCTTACACTGGGCTATTTTATTTTTAAAAAATCATTAAAAACATTAGAATTTAAACAATATTAATTAAGGACTCATTGTTTGCCCAATAAAAATAATCGTCACTTCGTAAATCACCCTAATGAACGATTTAGTCATCATAATTTGATTTAGTGTTTTCAGGACGACATTGTTCAGTGTATTTTTTTATTGGTTTGGAAGGTAGTGAGTAAGATATTTCTAAGGGCAAAAAGGAAACAGTTTTGAAAATTCTTAGCTAATACTGAGTTGGCCAGGATGGGTGAAACAGAGTTAAAGGAATGTGTTGGCCCCTTTTCTTGTGCACCTAGAAATCCTCCAGGGCCCAGTAACCATTTTAGGTTTATTTTATTAAAAAACAGGCCTTTGGGCTTCCTGTGTTATTGATTCTTCAGTTTCTGCAGAACTTAGAAGGAAAATTTACCCCAAGTAAAGTGAGAAGAGCATTAACATTGTACCATGGATGCCTAAAATGGTATTTATTAGACACAGGCCTGTTCAAAGGCTCTGAGTGTGGGAGCAGGGGCAGCAGTAAAGTTGTCTCTTCCTGGTGGTCTTATAAGAGCTTCTGGGAGCAGCAGTCAGAGGGCAGAGCTGACCTGCTGTGCTTAAGAGAACGTGGACTTTGAGGCCTTGCCAAACTGAGGTGATTGTTCCACCTTGGGCAAATTATTTAATGTATCTGATTTCTTTCAGCTATAAAATGGGGTTATATTTTATTCTAAAATGGAATTTTGCCTATCGTATATATAGAAGACCATTCTGTTTGAAGTAGGAAGTATTAGCTAGCTCATCACTTATATTCATTTCCAGGGTCATTTGAAGTCTATCTACCTGACGAGAATATAAATCCCATCAGGGCTAAGGCCATGTCTGTTTGTTTTTCTCACTATGTCTCCTTGCCCCTAGGTCAGTGCCATGGGCTTGGTAGGTACTCAGATATCTGGCAAGTGAAGGAGTCCCCGTAATTAGTACTGCAGCTGTCGGGAAAAAGTGTAGACTTGCCGCCTATAAGCACAGGTCTGTATTTGTCAACATCTTAGAGCTTTAGGCCTATGTAGGTTTTTTGTTGTTGTTTTGTTTTTTAAGAGACAGGGTCTTGCTCTGACACCTAGGCTAGTGAGCCTCCTGCCCCAACCTCCCGAGTAGCTAGGACTACAGGTGAGTACCACCGCACTCGACTAATTTTTAAATTTTTTCTAGAGATGGGGTCTTACTGTGCTGCCCAGGCTGGTCTTAAACTCCTGGGCTTAAGCAGTCCTCCTGCATCAGCCTCCCAAAGGGCAGGGATTACAGGCATGCTGTATCTTTGTTTTTTTTTCTTTTGGTTAGCAAGTAACAGTTTGGGTTTTTATATTCCCAAGATGTCTAGAGGATTTCTTTCTTCTACTTCAGCTTGATTGATGAAAATGTCATAATGAAGTGAAAGAAAAGGCTTGCTGTACTTCCATTTTGAGGTGGACCATCATGTTTTTGAAGCCTTGTTCTCTGAGCCACTCTATTTTGTTTGGGGTTCACTCCTAGTTTAAGGCAGAGCTGGTACTCTTTGTTCCCATCTTCTCAGAGAAAGTATTTGGTTTCAGGTCAGAGCTGTTTTCCTTTTAGCCACCTAAAAGCCTCTGAAGAATTTGGAGGTAAAGAGGCTTCATGTCTGGATCTTTTTTTTTTTTTTTTTTTTTTTGGAGATGGAGTCTTGCTCTGTTGCCCAGGCTGGAGTGCAGTGGTGCAATCTCGGCTCACTGCAACCTCCACCTCCCGGGTACAAGCAGTTCTTCTGTCTCAGCCTCCCGAGTAGCTGAGACTACAGGTGCATGCCACTAGGCCTGGCTAATTTTTATATTTTTAGTAGAGATGAGGCTTCACCATATTGGTCAGGGTGGTCTCGAACTCTTGGCCGCAGGTGATCCATCTGCCTCGGCCTCCTAAAGTGCTGGGATTACAGGCATGAGCCACTGCGCCCAGCCCATGTCTGCATCTTACTTGTTAACACGCTGAGGAAAGTCTGGACATGGAGATTTATGGAGGATGAGACCAAGTCTCAACCACAGTATACTTTTCAACAAATATTGCTAATTGGAGTTAAAGTGTTCGTTAATGTGAAAATAAAATTACTTTGGATTGAGACTGCTGCTGGAGACTGCTGTAGAAGAAAAATTAGACAAAATGCTCTCTATAAAGCCTCTATTTTAAGAAGAATGATTCAGAGAGGAACATAGGTCCAAGAAATTTTCATCAACAAATGAAAACTGAACTGCCAGGTTTGCCAGATGTCTTATTTTAAGGAAATTTTTCCTCATTTGGTCTCTTGTAAAAGTCTTCCTTTTGCCTCTGAAATATACCCTGTCCCTATGTAACTTAAAAATAAAATTTTCAGAGTGTTCAAAGTTCCTTCTGTGTAGGATTTGTAATTCTGTGTAATTCAGCTGGGAATTGTATTGCATAAAAATAAAGGCAAAAAATAACCACATTGTTGGATTACAGAGTTTTGGGAAATTTCCTTAATTTATTTAGTATAGTCCATCGTGGTCTGTCACTCAGCATTTGTTGAGTGCCTGCTGTGAACAGACACCGCTACTTGTTCTTTAAGGCGGCAGCAATGTGCCTTAATGTGGTTGTCCTCATTAATGTTCTACCCTATGGTCGTCCTACCTTACATGGTATAATAGAGTAGAATGGCTGATATTTAAGGGAGGGCCTCTCCCCTTTATTTAGACACACAAGTCCTGGGCATCTCTCTTTTGGGGACAACATAAAACACCCCTGCCTAGTCCTTTATTTGGTCCACCACTAATCCTATCCCAGCATCCTGTGTAGGCCTCCATGGGGCCTACATACTCTGTCAGGGGAAGAGCCAGGAGAGAAGGAAGAAGGCTTTGAAGAGCCAGCCCCAGCAGCCTGCTGACAGTTTTCCTTCTCTCCCCACTGTGGAAGGACTGACTACCAGTGGAGAGGTGGCAGCAGGCTTTTGGCTAAGTGGAGAGGCTCTCTCTTCCTGTGTAGTTTGTGGAGAGGCAGCGTTGACTCAAGGTACAGTTAGAAGTCAGCGATGCTTTCTTTTGGGACTTTCCATGTTGATGACCTCTTCTCTTTAAGTCAAACCAAGCTCCGCTGCCCCACAGTGTTCCAAATTACTTATCAAAATTCCTATGACCACTGTGTAGCTAGATTCAACTTGATGTTATAAAACCAGTTTTTGTAAGATAATCTGTATTAAAGTGCAAGTGAAATGGCACTCTGTTAAACTAACCTGAAATCTGATGATGTGCTGTGGGAAAAGAGCTGTTTGAATAGAGGTTCTTTGCTTCCTTCCAGCTGGGTGGACAGGAAAGACATCCTGTCCCTACAGAACTGACTGCCACTGCTCCATATGTCCTCCATGCTCACTGGCCTCTTCTCCGGACCTAAGACCCGAAGGCCTATGGCCCAGATGGGTCTCACCTCTCCAAGCATGGCTGCCCAGCTTAGGGAATTATAGATGTTTCTGTTCTGGCCAAGGAGGAGCTGAGAGTGGGGGCTGATAAGCAGCTTCCAGAACTCTGGGATTGTACAATCCCTGGAGAGAGGAGGAGACTGTCTCTTGTTACCAGCTGCCCTCCTTTCACCTGGTAGTATACAGCCTCTTCCTAAAGAGCCTTACTCAACCCCCCTCACTTTTTCTGTCTCAGACTCACTCCAGAAATGTGTTTTCTGTTCCTTGTTCTGCCCTCTCTGCCGTGTTCTACCCTCTCTGCCGTGTTCCTAGGACCAGACCCTGCTAGTTCCTTCTAGAAACTGATTTTACCCATGATTGAAACCAAAGCCTTAAGATTCTGTGGGTGTGGAACACCTTCTGGTTGAAAACCAAAGGCTGTAGAATTCCATGCAGATGTGGATTGTTGATTCCATTTTGAAGGTAGGTGTGATGTGGGAGAAGTCGTGTGTGTAGTGGTTCGGAGTATGGTTTCTGGAGCCAGTTGGCCTAGGTTCAAATGCCAGCTCTCCACTTAGTGGTAAGTTAAACTTCCTGTGCTACAGTTTTCTCACTTCCAAAATGGGGGTGGTAATAGTATCTACATACACAGTCACCATGAGGGTCAAAGGAAATAATACAAATGAAGATGTTCCAAACAGCACCTGGCACGTGGTATGTGCTTATTAAATGCTAGCTTTATAACTATTCTGCGAGTGAAGCTACGGGGCTGATCAAATGGCTGCCACCAAGCTCATCCCCAGTGCATGTCTATGCATTCTATGTAGAAAATCACGATGAAGAAAAGAAGGCAGCAGAAGGTATCTCAGGATCGGTTCCATCAGAAGTTACGACGTTGAGCATATTGTCTCAAGATCTCCTTAAGGATGGCTACTAAATCTGTTTCCTGAATTGTATTGTCTCATTAAAAGTATTGTTTCCTTCTGATCTGTTGAAGCAAAAAGCTGACAACACACATGAAATTTTTTTTTTAACGGAACACCATGTAACTATAGCATATTGACTGTGACTTTGGTTACTGTTACATTTTGAGCTTTATATACACTTTATTTTTTTTATTTAATTTTTTATTGAGACAGGGTCTCGCTCTGTCACCTAGGCTGGAGTGCAGTGGCGCCATCTTGGCTCACTGCAACACCCGCCTCCCGGGTTCAAGCGATTCTCCCACCTCAGCCTCCCAAGTAGCTGGGATTACAGGCGCCTGCCACCATGCCCGGCTAATTTTTGTATTTTTAGTAGAGACACGGTTTCACCATGTTGGCCAGGCTGGTCTCAAACTTCTGACCTCAGGTGATCCACCTGCCTTGGCCTCCCAAAGTGCTGGGATTACAGGCATGAGTGCTGCTCCCAGCCTTATATACACTTTAAAAGACTTGATCCTGAAAAAGTTTTAGTTGTGGTTGGTAAACCACAATGTTTGTAGTTCAAAAAGCTGGAAAACAGTTCCTTGTGAAGGTTCCCCCAGGAGATTGTTGTTTCTAACAGAAAATTAAATACTGACCTGGAGCACCTTTTCAGTCTCCTGGCTTGCCTTGAGTCCAAACTTACTGTGTCTTTGAGACTTTTGCAGTCTGGCTCACTTCTCTTCCCACACTGCTTTGCACTAGATGCTTCAATATTAATTTAACAAATATTAAGTGCCTTCTCTGTACTGGGAACGATGCCATTTGCAATTCCCTTGAACCTGGGCCCTACTCTGTCTTGCATCTAGACCTCTACACATGCCTCTTTGCCTACAGAACTTCCCATGCTTCAATCTTTAACAGCTTTTGGGCTCATTTTAGAAAATGCAGTTGGTGGTGGTGAAGTGCCTAGACTCTGGAGGCTGTGTGGGTTCAAATCCCAGCTCTGCTACTTGCTAGCAGTATGACCTTGGGCAAGTTTCTTAACCTCTTTGGTTCATCTTTAAAATGGTGGTAATGATAGTAGCTGTCTAACTGTGTTGTTCTGAGAATTAAATGAGGTAATCCACAGTGCACTTAGTATATTCTTAGCACATAGTAGCTTCTTGGCAACTGTTAGTTAGCTATTATTATCATTTTTATGTGTCACATCCTGCAGGAAGTCTTCCCAGTTCTGCTTG
This sequence comes from Homo sapiens, assembly GCF_000001405.40. NCBI lineage: Eukaryota > Metazoa > Chordata > Mammalia > Primates > Hominidae > Homo > Homo sapiens. The sequence continues at coordinate 34,919,881 of NC_000006.12, forward strand.
AGGGGGCCCTTCCAAAGTACTCCCAGAGGGCCTGTTCTAGAACTCCTGTCATTGCCTTTATTATGCTATATTGTAATTTCCTGTTTGCTTATTTCTACCCACTTCTAGATGGCAAGCTCCTTGAAAGTAGGTAAGGTCTGTCAGCCACAGCCATATCCGCTTGAAGATGTTAGGGTAGGTTTTTTGTTGTTGTTAGTTTTTGTTTTTTAAGAGTTCCTAATTAAATTGCTATTGATTTATTGATGAGTGGGTCTGCTTGCCTGTTTTGTCATAAGTAAGGAGGTTTAAAATTGTGTTTCCCCATCTTCTCATTAGAGTAGTTTTTTTTGTTGTTTTTCTTTCTTTATTTTTTAGAGACAAGGTCTTGCTATGTTGCCCAGGCTGGAGTGCAATGGCGCAATCATAGCTCACTGCAGCCTCGAACTTTTGCGCTCAAGCAGTCCTCCTGCCCCAGCCTCTTGAGTGGCTGGGACTATAGATGTGCACCACCATGCCAGGCTAATTTTTAAATTTTTTGTAGAGATGGGGGTCTTGCTCTGTTGCCCAGGCTGGTCTCAAACTCCCGGCTTCAAGAAATCCTCCTGCCTTGACCTTCCAAAGCACTGGGATTATAGGTGTGAGATTACACCTGGATAGACTCAGCCTTCATTAAGGCAGTTTTTAAAGATGCACCAAGGTGTTTGGAATGAAGAATGCTATTCATTAAGCCTACTTTGTGTGAGGCATTAAGTAGGCTTTTTAGATACATTCTTATTGAATTTGCCTCCTAACTCCTGTGAATTGGGTGCTAAGATACCCATTTAAGAATTATGTAAAGTTCCTAAGGAGAGCCTAGTGATATTTTAAAAAAAGAAAAGAAAAATAAAAGAATGATGTAAAGTGCTCAGAGTCATTCGGCTCTAACCTGGTTCTGTTTGGCTTCATGGCACATAATATTTTCACTCACCGCCTTGCTGAGCACTTGTTGGCTGACTGGTTCCCTGCCCAAAGCTGCTGTCCCAGGGCCTTACTACCTCTTCTCTAGGGAGCTGCACAATTAAACTTCAAAAATGATCATTAAAGGGATTCATTCTTTCTGCTGGGGAGGTACTGAGTTGGCTATGGTTTTATATTGTGCAGTTGCAATACTTGAATAGCACAAAACAATGAGACTATCATGCAGGCAGATAAGGATTATGGACAAACACAATAAGCATTGGAACTTTGAGGAGAAGAGAGCTGCATTTTTATAGCTTCATTTCTTCATTTGTCCAAAAGTTAAAAATAGAATTAATTATGCCCCATAGGCCACCTGGATTTCTGATTGATACAGAAAACTTACACAACATATCTAAAGGATAGCCTATGTCAAGACTTTCTTTATCAAAATATGCCTTTGGGTCAAATCATAGTCTCTTCTGAACACATTTTCGTTTGTTTTTTATTTTTATTAAGCCTCTTCCTTAGTGGATGAACATGGTTTTTTAAGCAACAAAATACACGGGCTTAGAAAGTAGGGTTTATTGTCCCTGTAGAAAGCCTTTAGATTAGTAGGATAAGCTGATGAGCAACTTAATGTCTACTTTCTATGCTAAGAATCACTAGAGTTCCAGCCTTTTTATAACATCGCTACATTTTAATTTTTTATTTGCATATTTAGAAAACAATAACTTGGAAATGACACAGTCTCAGATGATTAGCATCCATCTGCTGAGCTATTTCTAGTGCAATGGGCCTGGTGGACCTACATGGTACCAAAGGAATCTTCACCCTATCTGGTTTGTCGTTAGTCTCTCACCCAAGCTGAGGGGCACAAGGACTGCTGAGAGGAGCTTCCAAATGTAGCAGCTGATGAAGACTTTGGGTCTCACTTTGTCATCCAGGCTGGAGTGCAATGGCACAATCGTAGCTTACTGCAGCCTCGAACTCCTGGGCTTAAGCGATCCTCCCACTCAGCCTTCTGAGTAGCTAGGACTGAGGTGCACACCGCCATGCCCAGCTAACTAAAAAATTTTTTTGTAGAGACAGGTCTCGCTATGTTGCCCAGGCTGGTCTTGAACTCCTGGCCTCAAGCAGTTTTCCTGCCTCAGCCTCTCAAGGTACTGGGACTACAGGTGTGAGCCACTGCTTCTAGCCAGGACATCTTAATTGACTTCCTTTTTTTTTTTTTTTTTTGAGATAGGGTCTCCTTGTGTTGGGCTCGAACTCTTGGGCTCAGGGGATCCTCCCACCTCAGATTCCTGAGTGGCTGGGATGACATATGTTTTTGACCAAGACTCTGAATATAAAAGTAAGAAGAACACAGTTGCAACTAAAGTTGCTTGTTCACTTATTATATTTTAAGCACTGTGTTGATGCTTTACATGTACCCCATGTAAAGCCATATGCATTGGCACTGTTATCCCCATTTTACAGATGAGGAAACTAAGGTGAGAGAGGCTGCGTAATATGTCTGAGGTCATAGAGCTATTGAGTGGATGAGTCAGGATTCATTCTGGCACCAGAGGTCACATTCCAAGTACTACATTGTACTGTCAGGGCTGGAGATTTTGTAAACCTACCAATTCAAGCTATTGTTTTCACACGTTGTTTTGGCCACAGACATTGCCTTCCCACCTCAATGAGCACACCTGGCTTTGCATTTTAAGCAGTTTTGCAGAGGTCATATCTGTCTTTGCAGGATGAAGACTTTCCTCCACACAACATAAAAGCCCTTATAGCTCTGTGACTCATCCTGACAGACGATGAGATAGGTTCTGCTGTGAGGTTGACTGTGTCCCTGTGAGCAAACTTGTGCAGAGAAAGAGAGCATGGAGGATTGAATCTGGGCATTTCTTTTTTTTTTTTTTTTTTGTGACGGAGTCTCACTCTGTAGCCAGGCTGGAGTGCAGTGGCGCGATCTCAGCTCACTGCAATCTCCACCTCCTGGGTTCAAGTGATTCCCCTGCCTCAGCCTGCTGAGTAGCTGGGACTATAGGCATGTACCACCACACCTGGCTAATTTTTTGTGTTTTAGTAGAGACGGGGTTTCACCTGTTGGCCAGGATGGTCTTGATCTCCTGACATTGTGATCCGCCCCTCTCGGCCTCCCAAAGTGCTGGGATTACAGGTGTGAGCCACTGTGCCCAGCCTCCAGGCCATTTCTTTAGCCCAGGGGCAAAGGTAGGAGCCATAGAAGGCACCACAGCAAAAGCCAGTAGGAGCTGAAGAAGACGTCTAGAAAGACTACGATGCGTGGTGAGAGGAAAGGTTGCCCAACCGTACTGAGGGCTTCAGAGATCAAGGAGAACCAAAACAGAATTCAGATTTTGTGATTGAATACATTGCTGGCCTTTGAGATTATGTTCCATTAAAGTGGGGAAAAGTGAGTGTTGCCTTGAGGGGCTTTGCAGCGAAGCCACGGGTGGGGAGTCTGCTATCAAGTATAGAATACTGACTTTAAAAGTTTGTGTTCCAAGGTCAGGAATAGTTGAAATAAGGTAGGTTGAGGGACCTTGAGGCCAATGAAGGCTTTTTCGTCTTTGGGAACCCGGTTCTGACCATGTCTAAAGTCAACGGAAGAACCTGATGGAAAGGGAGAAATCAAAGATTTCTGGAATAATGTTAGTAGTTATCACATATTGAATGCTTACTGTGTGCCAGGTACAGGCAGAAGAGCATTTCCTGTTCTATCTTATTCAGTCTGCACAGCAACCCTGGGAAGTAGGTAACCAGACCCCCTTTTACAGATGAGGAAACAGAGGCTTAGAGTTTAAACAACTTGCCAAGACTACTATTAAATTGTATAGTTTTAAACTCAGGTCTATCAAGCTATATCATAGATATGATTGAGTGAGCAGGTTATGGGGGAGATAGAGCCTGAGAAGAGAGGTGCTTCCTTCCTGTGAGACCAGAGGAAATGACTCCTGAATTCAGATGGAGAGAGGAAGATGGACCAACTCTTTGACCCTTTTCTAAGTGCATGTATTGTGCCCAATATCTGGCTCATTGCTCAGGACCGCTCCCCATGGCCTCTCACTGCTGCATACTCAAAGAGCCAGCAAACTGTTTGCAGAATGTCTACACTTTTTTCTGATGGCCAAGTCGTCTTACAGAGGCAGGGGCTCCAGAAATCTAGAGGAGGTTGCAAAAAAATTAGCTGTATGGACAGTGGATACACTGGGAATGTTGGCTTGGCCCCATGGCCTCCCAGGATCTATTGCACTTGACATAGAATAGAGGGGGCTTTTTCGTGTGTGTGTGTGTGTGTGTGTGTGTGTGTGTGTGTGTATTTTTCTTTTCCCCTGTATTTGTGGGTGTTAATATGAACCATCCAGCCAGGTCTGTGACGGCTGAGAAGTTGGTCAGGGTGTGGTTTTTAAATACATTTTCCTTTAGGTTTTCTTTCAACTATCTTCAAGTTTCTTGTTATGATGCATTTATAGGTTCCAGAGACCTGAATGTTATAGCCCTCAGTTGTCATTATAGTCCTCATAAAAAAGTTGAAGATTTGTATACATTCTCTACTCCAAAAGCCTCTGCAGTGGTGAGCATAGCTAGCTGCCTTCCAAAAAGTTTCTACAAAGGCATTTTCCTGTTTTTCTCAGCCTTTAACCCTATCTAAAGGAGACATTCTTTGGGGTAACTGGTTTAGTTTAAGTTTCTCATTTCCCTGCAGCACTACTGTTTCTGTAGGTGGTTTGGCAACCATTGGCACAGGGTCTTTTGAATTTCCAAATCGGTGACTCCTGCCATTTCAAGAAAATCTGTCTGAAATGACAAAGGACCTCCTTTGTCCTTTGAGGAAGAGACAAAATGACTGGAGAAACAAAGGCAGAGGAATCTGTTAGTGTATTTATTCATTGTTTACAAATTAGAACAAGCATCGGAATATTCAAGATTCCTGATTTCAGGAGTCCTTTTTGAAATTTTTTTGAGGCAGGGTCTTGCTCTGCCACCCAGGCTGGAGTGCAGTGTGCCATCTTGGCTCACTGCAACCTCAGACTCCCCGGGCTTGAGTGATCCACTTGCCTCAGCCTCCCGAAGTGCTGGGATTATAGGCGTGAGCCACCACGCCTGGCCGATTTCAGGAGTCTTAATTGCCTCTACTATCACTTTTTTTCCCCTGCCTAATTATATAGATCTTTTGCCTCTTTATTGTTGAAGACTAATTTTTTAAAACAGGCAACTCAGCAGTTACTGTAATATTTATTTCTACTGGGCTTTTCAAGTGTTCTTATATTTCTTCCTTGAATTAATTTACAAGGAGACTTAATTCACCTTACTGGTCTGTATTAGCCGTAGTTTCATATTAACATCTTGTTTTTTTAGGTTTGACTATCTTAGTAGGCTTTTTCTTTCTTTCCTGTCCTCTGTAAATGATTAATTAAAAGTCTTTTTGTTTTGGGCATTCTATAAATGCTCTTTTAGTACAGTTTTCTCCCTTAAGTGGTGTCATTCCTCTCCACAGTCTCTGCCCATAGAATGGCTTTCCTCAAGTCCTATGTGGCAGATGACATCAAGGGTGAGGGGAAGGAGAGTCTGGTTGGGCCCTGGCTGTGAGCAGCAAATGAGCATGTCATTGGGCCTTGGGGCAAAGGCCTTCAATGCTCTGTACGTGAGAGGAGCATAAACTGTTGGACCCGGGGTAAGTGAGTAGCCGACTTAGAACCTTTCTAGAGAAATAGCTGAGAAAGCCTGAAAGAGGCTTAAATGACAAGACATGGAGGAAGAGCCTCCTTGCCAGGAATTGGAGAATCTAGTTCAGGGAAACTTTGTCCATAGAACCCTGAGAATGGTGTATGGGGTATGAGGGAAAAATAGTTTTAGCCTGATACTGGGTGCGGAGAGGGATACTCTGTGGGATTCAGACCCAAAGGAGCTTTCTTTAGTTATTTTGGAGAAGTGATTCTCAGCCAGGGCAATTTTGGCACCTTCCCCATCCCCTTCTCACCCCAGGACATTGGCAATGTCCAGAGATGTTTTTGGTTGTCATACTTAGTGGGGTGCTACTGGCATCTAGTGAATAGAGACCAGGGATGCTATAAATTTCATACAGCATACAAAGGCAGCCTCCCATGACCAAGAATTATCTGACTAAAAATGTCAGTAGGCGGAGGTTGAGAAATTCTCCTTTAGAGAGTCTTGAGGAATTTTCATCAGGAATGGAATTCAAGTTAGGAAGTAAAACTAGAGGAGGCTGTAAAAGGCTCAGGTCTTGTTATATGTGTTAACCTGTCCTAGGCCAATGTGAAGTAAAATTATAACTAGGACTGGATTTGTGTAGTTCCCTCTGTGGTATGGTTTGTATTTTCTGATGATGACAAATTATAGTAAAGAAGCTTTGACATTCCCAGCTATGGGTGTGCCACCGTGCAGAGGACACAGGTGAAGGATGCTCACCTGTGAGAAGGGCAGGGCCTGCTGGGGTCTTGGACTTTCAGGGGCAAACCTCCATTCTCTGGGTGGCAGCAGCATGGGAAATTTTCCTGTGGTAGCTGAGAAACTGTGAGGGCCACCTGAGGCTTCCCTGGACCATTCATGCCTGTGATGGGGTGTGTTTAAGGGAGAAAGAGAATCCTTCAGATTCTCTTCTTCATAGAGTTCCCAAAATGGAAACTTTTGTATTTGGTGACCCCTTCTGACTTGTCATGCAGCTAATTCGAATACCTTAAAACAAGAATTTCTCATTGTAGAATCCTTGACCCCTGGGCTGTGGACTTTGAGGTGCAAAGTATGCAGACAAAGACAGACAAAGTGTGGTCTGTCTCTGTGCTTGAGGTAGATTTTTATATTGGAACACTTACATTAGGTAGATGTTATTTAAAAGGTGCAATGGCTCATTGCAGCCTTGTTAACACTGGTGCCCCTCACTCTTCCAGGAGGAGAAAAGCTCTTTTTTCATTTGCTGCTGAGCACCAGAGCCAGTCCCTGATTGGGGGCTTGAGCTTGCTTCCTGTCATCAGTTACAGAATATTAGATAGTGTGCAACTTTGGGGCTTGGCTGTGGGGAATGTAAGTGACTCAGTAGCATGGATGCTGGTACTGAGTCACTTACAATTATGGTACAGTATGAAGTAGTTTATAATTATTTAGTGGTTAGGTGTGTGGCTCTGACACCAGGTTGAATTCTGGCTCCAGGATTTCCTGCTGTGTGACCTTGGGCCAGTTAACCTATCTGTGCCTCAGTTTGTCCATTTGTGAAATGAGAATAATTCCATCAGATAGTTGTAAGGATTAAATAATTGTAGAACACTTTGAATGGTACCTGGTATATACAGAGTACTAAATCATATTACGTAAAATGGTGTGGTGCAGAGTATAAGTGCTGGAGGAATTCAGAAATGGAGAAGGTAAGTTGAGGGATGTGTGGTCAGGAGAGGCTTTCTTGGTGGGGCTTGAAATGGGTTGAAGATTTGAGTCAGGCTCTAAGAGAACAATAGTAGATGGTGTTCCAGACAAGGGGACAATGTGCATAAGGACGCAGAAGAAATTGTTATGTCCTAGACTCTGTAAGGAAACTGACTAGGGTAATGGGAAACTAGATTGAGTATGTGATTTTGGGGATGGGAGGTGAGGGATATTGATAAATGGGCACTAAAGATTAGTTTTTATACAGGGGCACCAGATGCTCATTTGGGCCACTAGGGATTTCTGAGCTGTGAAATGACCAAAGGAACTTGAAGTTCAAGCAGATGAGTCAAGTGTGGATTTTCAGGGTGGGCTGAAGTGAGGAGCTGTGGCACGGGTCGGAAAGCCAGCCAGGAAGCCGTTCTGATAGTTCACCTCATTGGAGCTGGACTAAGTGACAGCCTTGGGCATAAAGAGGCAGGTGTAAGTCTTGGTATTGTTTTGAAACAGTACTGTAATGTACAGGATTTGATGACTGATGGAGGTGCAAGGGAGACAAGTGCAAGGTGACCTGAGCCTCTAATCCTGCCTGAATGGCTGTGTAAAAAACTGGTCAGAGGGAGGAGAGTGGGCAGGAGGAGCTGGTTAAGGGAAGGTTTAGTGTAAACAGGAGAGCAGTTCCTCACCCACCCCTTACAACCAAGAGGAGCCCATTTTCCAAACTGAGATGGCTTCTTTTGGGCTGCAGTTTGAATCCAGGAGCAGTAGGCAAGGCTGGCATTTTCCCCATTCATTCACAGGGTATCCAGCTCCACCTGGTCCACTTGATGCAGACCCCACATGCGGTACTGGCTTCTTAGTGGCTACTATTCAACCTTACTGCCAGCTCCCTCTGATCCTCTTGAGCCAAAGGCTTTTCAGAGTGTCCAGTGGGACTTGGGCTTCAAACCTGTTTTCCCTTCATAAGGAAGCCTGTAAATCTTGATGGAGATTGGGAATATTGTCTTCCCATCTCTGTATGCATGAACCACAGACTTCTGCTATTTCCAATCTCTGCGTAGCCCTCCTGCTTAGAAGACACAGCACAGTGGAAGAAGAGAGCAGCCTTTTACAGCCCCAGGCCTCACAGGATCCTCTGAAAAGACTCGGAGCTTCATGCTCAGAATCACCCTGTCAGGAGCACTCTGTCACGGAAGGCTGTAATTTTAGGATAAGAAAGAGCCCTGGTTTCCCCCAGGCCAAGGCTTTATCCCAAACTCCCAAGTAAAAGCATTATCACAGCAGGGTGGATTGAGTTAAGGACCTTATCCATGTTTGCTTTGTCTCAATTATTTTTAGAGGAGTCTTTTTTTTTTTCTCTTTTTTGCTCACTGCTTTGTGTCCCACACTGTTCTAATACTTTCCATTTAATCTCTGATTTTCACAACCCACCCCTATTAGGAGGGTAGAGTGTTACTCTGTTTTGCAGATGAGGAAATTGAGGCACAGCACAGTTAAGTTTGCCTGGAGTTGCACATCTGGTTATTGGCGTGGCTGGGATTTGAATCCTGGCAGGGGATTCTGGGGTGTCTGCTCACTCACTGTGTTTCACCATCTCCCTTCAGTTAGCCAGAGCTGCCATTTTCAAGGTGGCATTTTCTTTTTCCTCTTTTGAGTTCTAATGAAGAAGTTGTTTTAGGAAAGTCACATGGTAACATAAGAGGGAGCAGGTGCTTTTTTGAGTCCCATGGGCCTGGTTTGAACACTGGCTGTGCCCACTTATACTAGCTATGCACCTTTGGGCAAGTCTGTTCACCTCTTTAAGCCTCAGTTTCTTAGAAATCTCAGAAATCTGTTTACTAAAGATATTATGGAAAAGTGAGCAGGTATATGTTTAGTGGCTGTGAGGTTTGGGGTTAGTTATTTAACCTTTTCTATAAGGTGAAGATGCTAATGCATACCTTCATAAAGGCTTTACTATAAAGCACTTCGAATGAGATCTGGAATGGAGTAAGTAAGGAATGAGTACTGTTGGTACTAGCAGGCTTTCAATACTTTTTTTGTATGTGGTGGTAGTAATGGTTTCATTTGGTCCTTTTTGGTTACATTTTATGTACTTTTGACTCTTATAAGCAAAAGTACCTTGCATGGTAGGAGTTGATAAGATTATAATAGACGAATGAATAAATGTATTCCACCCATGTTTGATTTCCCTGTTTAGCAGTATCTGCCTGGAAAAGCTCCCATCATTCTCGATCATATTTGCAGATATGCTAGATGGGGAACTTGGCTTGCTTTCCATTCACCTGTGCCGTTCACGTGTCTCTAGTTTGGCATACAGATATCTATTCTAGTGGTGCAGTTTTGTTTTTCATCAATGTCATTTGGAATACTTAGCAATCTGCCACTTTGCTTAGATTTTTTGGTTCTTATTTCTTTATCCTTTTGAAATACTCTACCTTTTTATTGTAAAGACCATCCTGATTAACCATGACTTTTAAATTATGAAGATTCATAATCACACTGCTAAAAAGTGCCTTTTCCATTAGGTCTTTCCTTTCTTTCCTTCTCTTTCTTTCTTTCTCTTCCTCCCCTTCTCCTTCCCCTCCCCCTCCCCCTTCCCCTTTTCCTTCCTCCTTCTCTCTCTCTCTTTCTCTTTCTTTCTTTCTCTCTTTCTTTCTCTTTCTCTCTCTTTCTGTCTCTTTCTCTGTGTGTTTGTTTTGCTTTGTTGCTTCCTATCCTTCATTGCTTAGGCCTTACTTTCTATCCTACTTATTTCCCCTATAGTCCTGGCTTATTCTCCACATTCCTGCTCTATGACATCTGAAATTCATGAATGGGATTTTTCTTTTTAGTTATCTTTCATCGATAGCTGTTACCTTTCCCCCTTGGATTCCAGAAGATCGTTTTACTAAATAAAAGGTTTTGGTCTTCATCCTGTTATGCCAATGGGTAGTTTCCAGCACAGGAAGTTGGTTTTCACATCTAATGGGATCATCTCCCAATATTCTGAACTCTCTCCAAGTCTATTGGAATATTCATCATCTTGTTTTTAATATTGACCTTTACACTTTTTTCATTACCTTACTGTGGGGGGACTTAGAGGTGGTAGGTACATCTCTCCTGGGCTATGTTTGGAGGCTCAGCAACATAAGTAGATGAAGCACAGAAAGATGGAATGAGGAAGGGAAGCTTCAGCAGGAAGGAAGGTGAACGGATTGTCTATGTGGTGCTGCCAGCCCAGGCTGTGGAGCCTTAGCAGAACAGGGTTCAGACTCGGCCCTGTTGCACATTCCCTGTGTGTGTGACCTGGGCAAGCTGTTTTATTCTTCCAAATCCCAGGTTGCTTTTTGTGTAAAAAAGGGATGTTAATGTTTACCACATAGAGTTACATTAGGGTTGAGCGAGATGTCCTCTGGTGGGCTCTGGTTTGTCTCTCCTCTTTCCTTTATCTTTTCTCTCTGTTCTGCTTGTTTCTGGCAAAGCCATTTTCTCTGTTTTTGTGCAGTTCCTCTCATGGAAATTATTTATACTTTTTTAAACTTGGGAACGTTATATCTCCTAAGAAGTATCAACTTGCCTCGTTTCTGTTACCACAGCCACTGATGTAGCTGAGGCCCCTTCCTCGCTTGTAAGCTGCTCATCAGAAATGACACTTCTTCCCTGTTACTTTGGCTGAGGGAAGAGTTTTATGCTTATCTCACATAAAGTCTTTTTTTTTTTTTTTGAGAAGGAGTGTGGCTCTTGTTGCCCAGGCTGGAGCGCAATGCAAGATCTCAGCTCACTACAACCTCTGCCCCCTGGGTTCAAGCGATTCTCCCGCCTCAGCCTCCTGAGTAGGTGGGATTACAGGCATGCACCACCATGCCTGGCTAATATTTTTGTGTTTTTAGTAGAGACAGGGTTTCTCCATGTTGGTCAGGCTGGTCTTGAACTCCCGACCTCAGGTGATCCGCCCGCCTCAGCCTCCCAAGGCTGTTTTCTTTTTTTTTTTTTTGAGAAAGTGTTTCACTCTGTCACCCAGGCTGGAGTACAGTGGTGCGATCTCAGCTCACTGCAACCTTCGCCTCCCAGGCTCAAGCGATTCTCCTGCCTCAGCCTCCTGAGTAGCTGGAATTATAGGCACTCACCACCACACCTGGCTAATTTTTGTATTTTTTAGTAGAGATGGGGTTTCACTATGTTGGCCAGGCTGATCTCGAACTCCTGACCTCAGGTGATCCACCCACCTTGACCTCCCAAAGTGCTGGGATTACAGGAGTGAGCCACCGTGCCCAGCCTAAGGCTGTTTTCAATATTGGACCTTTTATGCCTTCTTAGCTTTGAGAGTTCTCAGAAGCAAGTTTTATTTTTGCATAGAGGACCCCTACTCTCTCCCCTTCTGCTTTTTTTACTCTCTACAAATGGCATTACTTCATGGAGCCACAATCTTAGGTGGTTTTTAAATCTTCAAAAAGCTAGGAGACTCAAAATGGTTAGAGGAGGGAAATTGCTGTACTTTTTCTTCCAACCAGTCTAGGGCAAGGGAGGAAGCCCAATTTGTGTAGCACTCTTTCCTTCATGGAGGATACCCCCTATAATCTAGGTGCAAGTCTGGGAAAATTCATGCTCAGATGAACACATAGGTTGGCTCATTAAATAACACCCGTTTCTGTGAAGGACACTTGCAGAGAGCTAAAAGGCAGGAAAGTTGGTGAGTAAGAAGTACAAAACAGTAGATTAATAAACGTGTGATTATTCCTTTCAGTATTCAGAATTTAATGAGCATATATTACAGATACAAATCTGTATCTTAAAATAGTTGATAGCCTCTAGAGAAGGGATGGGGTGGACTGTTAGGTGCTGAGGCCAGTGGCCAATGGCCAGTTGGATGGCCTTGAGGTGGTTCTGACAAATTTTAAGGTACAGAGATTGGAGGACCTGGCACAGGAGTAAGCCTGACTTCAGTTCGAGCCTCAAATCTGCCTTGGACAGAGTAATTTTTCTCTTTTAACCATATTGGTTTTTGTTTTGTTTTGTTTTTGTTTTTTGTTTTGAGATGGAGTCTGGCTCTGTTGCCCAGGCTGGAGTACAGTGGTGTGCGTCTCAGCTCACTGCAACCTCGGCCTCCCGGGTTCAAGCAATTCTCCTGCCTCAGCCTGCCGAGTAACTCGGATTACAGGCACCCACCACCGCCCCTGGCTATTTATATTTTTAACAGAGATAGGGTTTCACCGTGTTGGCCAGGCTGGTCTTGAACTCCTCAGGCGATCCGCCTGAGGATCTGGAGTGCAGTGGTGCGATCTTGACTCACTGCAATCTCCGCCTCCCAAGTTCAAGAGATTCTCCTGCCTCAGCCTCCTGAGTAGCTGGGATTACAAGCGTGCATCACCACACCTGGCTAATTTTTGTATTTTTAGCAGAGATGAGGTTTCACCATGTTGGCCAGGCTGGTCTTAAACTCCTGACCTCAAGTGATCTATCCGTCTCAACCTCCCAAAGTGCTGGGATTACAGGCATGAGCCACCATGCCCAGCAGTTCTTCTTTTTTATTGCCAAATAATATTCCATTGTATGAGTATACCATATGTTCATCCATTCATCAGTTAATGGAAATTTATGTTGTTTCCATATTTTGGTTTTTGTGAATGATGCTACTTTGAACATCCATATACAAAGTTTTGTGTAGACCTATGCTTTCATTTCTCTTGGAGTGAATTGCTGAGTTATATGTTAACTCTGTTTAACTTTTTGAGGACCTGCTATATTGTTTTTCAAAGTGGCTGTATCATTTTACAATCCCACCAGAAATGTATGAGTGTTCCAATTTCTCCATATACTCACTGACATTTGTTATTGTCCATTTTATTTTATCCTAGTGGATATAAAGTGATTTTTGATTTGTCTTTCCCTCATGACTATTACTATTGAACATCCTTCTGTGTGCTTATTAGCCATTTGTGTATCTTCTTTGGAAAGATGATTTTTCAAATCATTTGGACATCTTTGAATTGGGTTACTTGCCTTTCTGTTGTTGAGTTGTATGAGTAGTTCCTCTTTGGAAGTTTTATTTGGCAGTCTGGAATTCAAATTTATGTCCGTGATCATTCTATCACTACTTTTGTGGACGAAATGTCTTTGGCGAAATAGATTTTTTTTGACACTTGCTATTAGTAATGGAAGCATAGAAAGATTTTAAATGCATAGAATGATGGAGAAAAGGCTGTTTTGTTTTGTTTTTGAGATGGAGTTTCGCTCTTGTTGCCCAGGCTGGAGTGCAATGGCGCGATCTCGTCTCACTGCAACCACCGCCTCCTGGATTCAAGCGATTCTCCTGCCTCAGCCTCCCAAGTAGCTGGGATTACAGGCATGGGCCACCACGCCCGGCTAGTTTTGTATTTTTAGTAGAGACGGGGTTTCTCCATGTTGGTCAGGCTAGTTGCAAACTCCCGACCTTAGGTGATCCGCCCGCCTCAGCCTCCCAAAGGGAAAAGGCTGTTTTTAAATAAATTTATACATGGAAAAACTGTAACAGTGTTTTGGAAGCAACTGCCCTTCCTTCAAACAGTTGACTTCCTTGGATAGCATACCAGTGTTCTAGTTTCTTCCAACCCTTTTGTTGCTTTGACTGACATCTTCCAAAAGAATTGTCAGGGCTAATGCCTTTGAAAAAATACTAACAAATTAGATGGAATTAATGCAATTAAACATTATTTTTATTTGAGAGTCTTGTGGCTTTCTTTGAATACGGCAGTCAATAGCTGATATTTTAGGGCTGCTGTTCAGAAATTGTGGACCTAAACCAAGATACCATGGTGTTAGGAGGAATGAAATGGAGACGGGAGAAGAATGGAAGAAACAGCCAGATAACTGTGTACGTTGGAGAATTAAAAGCTTTGTTTTTTCTCTTATACTCCATACAAATTAAAGCATTTTCCAGAGAGGTGATGTGGAAGGAAGCCCTCAATTTAGTTCCCCAGGCACTTTATTTTTATTTATTTATTTATTTATTTATTTTGGAGACGGAGTCTTGCTTTGTCACCCAGGCTGAAGTGCAGTGGCCCAGTCTCGGCTCACTGCAAGCTCCACCTCCCGGGTTCACGCCATTCTCCTGCCTCAGCCTCCGGAGCAGCTGGGACTACAGGCGCCCACCACCATGCCCGGCTAATTTTTTTGTATTTTTAGTAGAGATGGGGTTTCACTGTGTTAGCCAGGACGGTCTCTATCTCCTGACCTTGTGATCCGCCCGCCTCGGCCTCCCAAAGTGCTGGGATTACAGGCGTGAGCCACCACGCCCAGCCACCCCCAGGTACTTTATAACACTAGGTGAAATTGGTTTTTTAGTCACTGAAGTCTTTTGAGCTTGCCAAGAGCTTGGTTAGCTTTAAATCATTTTGGCATTACTCTAGGACCCTGTCTGGTTATTATCAGTTTTCTCATTTGAAGTTACATATCATTCAGCGGTCATGCTTACATCCGTTTCCCTGGAATCTCATGCAAGAAGAAAAAAATCCTTGCTTCATAGTAAGTGTTGGAAAGTGGGCGTCGTGACAAGTTGGCTCTGACCCAGCTTCCCTTGCTCTTACACATGTGAAACCTGTTTCTTTTGGCTAGGGCCAAGAACCTGTCGACATCTCAGCTAAAACAATCTAGTCTTATTCCCCTCTCTTTTCACCTCCCACCCCACCCCCAGCCTATTTTTCTCCTTTTCCTTCACATTTTATTTTATAAGGCTGTTGTGGGTCACTTTTTCTAGTTATTTCAAACATTGGATTCTTCAGGTGTCTTCTTTCATTTGTTTTTATTTTCCTTCTTAGAACAGTGGCCATGTGAAGCCATTCATATTTACTCTAATGTAAGAAAATCATTTTGAGTTTTGTCTGCTGGACATGCTTAGGAGATTTAACTCTGTTTTCATTCTTCTGGACAGTGATAGGCTGGTTCCCTCTTGTTTTTTAAAGACAGTTTCTTGATGTGTCGCTTAGGCTGGAGTGCAGTGGTGTGATCATAGTTCACTGGAACCTCCAACAACTGGGCTTAAGCCATCCTCCCACCTTAGCCTCCTCAGTAGCTGGGACTACAGGCATGCATTGCCACACCTAGCTAACTTTTGAAATTTTTGTAGAGACGGGGTCTCGCCGTGTTTCCCAGGCTGGTCTCAAACTCCTGGGCTCAAGCATTCCTTCCACCTCAGCCTCCCAAAGTGCTGGGATTACAGGCGTGAGCCACTTGGCCTGGCTGGTTTACATTTTTTAATGCCCGTCTTCAGAGTCAAAACTGGGATTGCCCTGGTGTTAGTTTGCATTAAAAATTGCTGATATGAGATTTATGCAGAGCTGGGACTTGCTGATATTGTTGGACTTTGTCATCTGTACTTGAAATATGAGAAAGGGAACTGCTTAAAATATCTGGGCTCCCTTTCCGGTAGCTTTAGTTGTTTCCCATCTTTAAACCAAATGCTGAAGGCATAACATAAATTAATGTATTGCTAAAGGCCGAGTGGATAAAATACACAACAGCTTTATAATATTAAAAGCTTCATTGGTACTTAACGTGTTCAGCTGCCAGCTGCATAAGGAGAACCTTGAAAGAAAGAGGGTACAAATTACTTATTTAAAATACTTTCTCCTGGTGGGCCGGGCGCGGTGGCTCACGCCTGTAATCCCAGCACTTTGGGAGGCCGAGGCGGGCGGATCACGAGGTCAGGAGATCGAGACCATCCCGGCTAAAACGGTGAAACCCCGTCTCTACTAAAAATACAAAAAATTAGCCGGGCGTAGTGGCGGGCGCCTGTAGTCCCAGCTACTTGGGAGGCTGAGGCAGGAGAATGGCGTGAACCCGGGAGGCGGAGCTTGCAGTGAGCCGAGATCCCGCCACTGCACTCCAGCCTGGGCGACAGAGCGAGACTCCGTCTCAAAAAAAAAAAAAAAAAAAAAAAAATACTTTCTCCTGGTGAAGTGGTGGTGAGATTAGCATGTCCCTAGTTGCTGGTAAGGGAATTTCAGGAACTTGTTTTAGAGTGCAGAGAACCCCCTGATCTGTAGTGTGCATTGAAAGAGTACACATTATGCCAACCAGCTCTTACCTTCAATGGAGAAATTCAGGCCAGGGCAGCAGCAGAAGTAGAAAGACCTCCACTGTCACTGAGGTAGAGACTCTGAAGGGCGCGAGATTCTGATTGTGCCTGTCCTCACAGTGGAGGGAGGCCTTTGGAGGGCCTTTTTTGCCTTTGTAGCAGGCGGGAACACTCAGGTCTGTGACTGTCAAGCGGAAGCTGGTGAAGGTCCTCCAACTGTAGATGGCTCAGGATATAGTACTGAGGTCATTATCTTTAGATTTTCTATATTCCTTCCAGGCTGAGGGAAACATGTCCAGTCTTCTTTCAACAGTTCATTTGCTTCCATTGCCAGGCCTTTTATGAGAATGTTCTAGTGCTTAGAATATGTTTCCTTCCTTAATGGTCAAAGTGCTACCATATTTTTAAACACACCCTGGGTTTCTAATTCCTACAAGAAGGCTCTAATACATGATAATGGCGGTGATAGCTCCCAAGGATATTCGGTTTCCTCACTTTTCATTCACTCCATCTCCAACATGTACAGGATGAATGGCCCCTTTGCTGATAATTCATGTGAAATATATTCCCCGTGACACCTAGATGAGCAAATTTATTGGGAGCTAAAATTCTATAAGAAACTACTTTTATTTCAAAAATAAAGCTTAAAACTGATATGTAGCTTCATCTATTCAGCAAACATTTGATCCGGTATCTACTATGCTGGATACCTAGCAGATACAAAGATGAATCTCATGTAGGTGGACCTTGATCTCAAGAGGCTTAGAGTCTAGAAAGATACATACATGTTACATACATACATATACATTCCTATACATACATACATATTACATCCTTTTTACTCTATTAAACAGGTAAAATGCAAGGGGAATTCAGAGGAGAGAAGATAGTCATTTTGGATGTGTAGTGCTGAAAGGCAGACTGACATTATGGCTTTGGGCTCTGGAGTCAGAATGCTTGGATTCTGGTGGGGCGCAGTGGCACAGCCCTGTAATCCCAGCACTTTGGGAGGTAGGGGCAGGCGGATCACTTGAACTCAGGAGTTTGAGACCAGCCTGTGCAACATTGCGAGACCTCATCTTAAAAAAATATATATATATATATTTTTTTAAAAAGAATGGCTGGATTCAAATCCTGTTTTAGAATTTATTATCTTAGGGCCCTTGTATGATTATTTTACTTCTCTAAGACTGTTTCCTCATCTGGTAAATGGAGATAATAAGTACCTATTTCACAGGGTAATTGTGAGGCTTAAACAATGTAATGTAGGTAAGGCCCTTACTGTGGAAGGAAGATCAGACATGCTATTGTGGAGGCTGCGGCCTTTGAAGGAGGAGGAGAATTGAGGCATGGGACAGTGGGGAGAAAGGTGAGGAAGGCAGAAGAAACTGTGCTGGTTTAGAGAATGGCTAAATTTTGCTGAATCAATGGGGTATAAAGGAGAGATAAAGATAGTAAGATCAGAAAAAAGAAGTTGTGGCTGGTTCACACAAGGCATGAAATCCTTCATTGGGTTGTTTTGACCTCATCTCAAGATTGAAGGATGCCACCGAAGGTTTTAGAGTGGGCAAGTAATAATCAGACTCTGGCATTAGGAGAATTAATCTACAGTGTCTATAGTGGGAAAACTTATTAGGACAAAATCAGTTACACCTCATAGCCTTTACTGCTCCCTAACTTGGTCTGATTTATATCATGGACACTTTCTTTTGTCATTGAATTTCCTAGCATATGATTTTAAATGATGCTTCCACAGCTTCTCCCACCCTACCCCACACCTCCCTCTGTAGTGACCTCTCTTCCACTTAGGGCACCTATTGACCTGTTCTTTTCTCCTTCCTTCCATCTAAGCTGGGAAAGGTCTGATATGTCATTTATTCATAATTAAATAAAATGCAGCCAAAGCAAATACATTACCTCTCATCCATTTTAAAGCACATTATAAGCCATTTATTTTTAATTGCAGTTTAAAAAGCTTTTCTTTATAAGAATTTCAGGCATCAAGCAAATTGGGAACAATCCTTTTATGCCTATTCAACTGGCCCTAAAAAATCAATCTTATTTAGGCTTTTTTGGAATAAGAGAGCAGGAGGAGTCTCCAATATCCTCCTCAAAGACAGCTGTCCTCTCCTTTGAGGAATGGAGTGAAATTGCTCTGTAGAAAAGGCTGTGTCATTGCCCCTGCCCTGGCACAAATCAGTCTGTTCCTTATGTACATACACTTCTGCCCCTCAGTGGATAAATGTGTGTGTGTGTCACGTGCCACTAGTGGCCATGGCTCTGTGCCATGCACATAACCGAACACACTCATTCTTCCATCCCTCCCCCAAGAAGCCTATTTTGGTCAAATTTGAACTTTTACTTTTTACTTAAGTTTTATTTGTTTTCTGATTCTGGGATACCCAGAAATGGTCCCCACGTTGCTTTTGTTTGTTTGTCTTCTCCTCTCTGAGTTTGAAAGAGTCTTATAAAACAAGTATTTCTGGGCCGGGCATGGTGGCTCACGCCTGTAATCCCAGCACTTTGGGAGGCCAAGGCAGGTGGATCATGAAGTCAGGAGTTCAAGACCAGCCTGGCCAACATGGTGAAACCCCATCTCTACAAAAACTACAAAAATTTGCCGGGCGTGGTGGCGCACGCCTGTAATCCCACCTACGCGGACGGCTGAGGCAGGAGAATTGCTTGAACCCGGGAGGTGGAGGTTACAGTGAGCTGAGATCTCGCCACTGTGCTCCAGCCTGGGCGACAGAGCGAGACTCCATCTTGGAAAAACAAACAAACAAAACCAAGTATTTCTTTGAAACTCATCTCATAAGTAGTTGCAAAATTGGAGTATTACTTGACTGTCCTAATAATTATGAATTTTCTAAAAATATTTGATTTTAGATTACTTAAGGCTTAGAGCACTGATTTTAGGTTCTTTTGGAGGTAGCATTTAAGGAGTATAAGGGAGCCAATTAAAGAATACCTTCTTTATTGTCTCTGTTCTAGGAGCCCTTCCCTACAGGGCCAGGCCCTTTACCTCACAGGTTGGAGCAGATCAGAATGCACACCTCCTGTGGACAGGGCAATGGAACCCCTCCAGCAGCCTCACTGGAGTGATTTCACAAGTCTTCTCAATAAATTTACTTAATTTGATCCTGTGTATTTCATCAGGTTTGTGGAGTTTGCCTGCAGATCTTGTTGATTCAGTGGGCATCTTAGTTGTGGTATGCATTCAGTAAATATTTTTATTGTGAACAAGTGCAGTTTGTTTTAGCAATATTATAATATACACTATGGTGAAGTAATTAGTTGCCTTCTGCTATTTGCTTTCAAGTAATCGGAAATAAGAAGTATTTGGGGCCAGGCACAGTGGCTTATGCCTGTAATCCCAGCACTTTGGAAGGCTGAGGTGGTTGGATTGCTTGAGCCCAGGAGTTCCAGGTTACAATGAGCTATGATCGTGCCACTGCACTCCAGCCTAGATGACAGAGTGAGATCCTGTCTCTTTCAAAAAAAAAAAGAAAAGGTTTGGGGATATGCTAAGGAGACTTAATGCTTTTCATTTACAGCATTCCCTTGGTATTTGTTAATGGCTGTTCTGCTTAGAAATAGCTGCAGAGTAGATGATGGTGCAAAAAATCAGCCATAGTGGCTTGAAGATTTCAGGAATATTTTCTACTTCTGTGGCTTTTTCACATCCTGTTCATCTAAGAAATATGGTTGCTGCTCCCAGCCATTGTGGGCAGTGGCTTTGGGGGAAGCGCTATAGTGTGAGCACAATGAATTTTGGTCATCTTGGTCCTGGTTAGATGGCCTATAATGCTCTCATTTCCAGAGTTGGTTTCTCAGAGACTGTTCACTTGTCTTTCAGGCCAAGAATAGTTACAAGATAAGCAGTGGATTTAAAAACAGAGTGTATTTTGCACTGTCTGATGAGTACATTGTGTCTCCGAAGTTGAGATTCCACATAGTGAGCCTTGGAAAACAACTGCTGGTAAATTCGGAAGATAAAGAAAAGATTAATTATACACTCCTTATCTTGCGGAGCACTTTGTGTTGACTGATGTAGTTCACTGACCCGAAGATGGAACCAGGAAACCTGGAATGTGATGTTTTACATTGTTTCTGTTGAAAAATGTACTTAACCAATGTGCAGAGTGTTCAGGGCAATATACTTGGAATGACCTTTGTCCTTGAGGCACTTGTGGGAATCTGCTTGTGACACACCTAACAAGGATGAGAATTTGGAGGAAAAACAGAAATGAGAGATGATTTAATTTTCATCAGTCCATATACTGGAGAAATATTTTTTCTAATGATTCTTAGATATCTTTTCTATATGTTGGATATAAAATTAAGTGAACCAAGATTAGTAGTGCTATTGAGTCTAACTTTTCTAAGACAAAAGTATTATTTAAAAATTATTAAAATATTGGCTCACACTTATAATCCCAGCACTTTGGGAGGCCAAGGCAGGCGGATCACAAGGTCAGGAGTTCGAGACCAGCCTAGCCAACATGATGAAACCCCGTCTCTACTAAAATACAAAAATTAGCTGGGCGTGGTGGCGGGTGCCTGTAATCCCAGCTACTTGGGAGGCTGAGGCGGGAGAATCGCTTGAACTCAGCAGGCGGAGGTTGCAGTGAGCTGAGATCATGCCATTGCACTCCATCCTGGGCAACGAGGATGAAACTCTGTGTCAAAAAAAAAAAAAATTAAAATAATATATCCTCATGATAAAAAAGTCAAACAATGGCAACATCTATAGTATTTCTACCTCTAAAAAAAATTTTTTTTTTGAGATGGAGTCTTGCTCTGTCACCCAGGCTGGAGTGCAGTGGTGCCATCTTGGCTCACTGCAACTCCACCTCCCGGGTTCAAGTGATTCTCCTGCCTCAGCCTCCTGAGTAGGTGGGATCACAGGCGTGTGCCACCACGCCCGGCTAATTTTTGTATTTTTAGTAGAGACAGGGTTTCACCATGTTGGTCGGGCTGGTCTTGAACTCCTGACCTTGTGATCGGCCTGCCTTGGCCTCCCAAAGTGTTGGGATTACAGGTGTGAGCCACCGCGCCAGCCTAACAATTTTATGTATTTATTTTTAGATTTTTTTCCATGCTTATACAAATATATTCCATTTTTATTTTGATGATGTTACATAATCCACAACTTGGCTTTTTCCGTTTTTTTTCCTCTGCTGTGTCTCTAACGCTTAATATATTATTATTATTTTTTATTTTTTTATAGAGATAGGATTTAGCTATGTTGCCTAGGCTGGTCTTGAACTCCTAGGCTCAAGCAATCCTCCCACCTCGGCCTCACAAAGTATTGGGATTACAGGCATGAGCCACTGTGCCCGCCCAAACTGAATACATTTTGACATTAATTGAGTTTTTATAATGAATTAATGTTGAATCAGCAATTTTTAAAAAATCTAATGAACATATAGCTTCTCTTCTTTATTCTGTTAATGGGAACATTGGATTCTCTGATGCTCAACACTCCTGACATTCCTTGGGGATAACTTTCGTCATTCCTTAAAATTGACAGCCGTTCATTCTTTAAAGACATTTCAGGGATGTCACAAAGCAGCAGAATATATGTATGACCTGGGCTAGGAAACCTGAGAGGGACATGGTCTAACTTGTGCTGGGAATGTGACTGACAATGTACGATGTACTGTTCAGAGCCAGAGGAAATGATACTGAGATCCAGCACCTCTAGGAGCTGTTCTCTATGTAGTTGTTGTTATTAGAGGTGATGCTATTAATTAGAGGTTAATAATATCATTAGCCTACAAAGTATTAGATTCGAAGTAACATTGTCCTAGTTGTAATCTTGAGGATTATGCATACTGAGGGGTTTGAAATGCTTTGACTGTCTTCAGTTTTGGGGGTTTATTATGTTTCATTTGCTTTCATAGTTTTTTGAGGATAGCTTAATAATCGGATGAAGTTTCTCATACGATTCCCCAATTAAACTACTTGTTTCTTTTGAGCGCTAGGCCAAACCTTGGCCATCTCTTCTTTCTTTCGAGGAAGTGAACATTTTCTCTACTTTACCAACTCTCTCTAGAACAACTGGTGAACTTGGCAGTGTATGACAGAGGAATTGGAGATTTGCTGTGAACAGCCATCACAAGTAGCCAGAGCTTCAGTACTCACTTGAGTTTAAGGTCTAGATTTGAGGTTAGTAGCTTAAATGATGTGACTTACTGGCTTCTAGGAGCTAAGATGGAGTTCCAGTGTTTACGTTTCATACTCCAAATCTGAAGAGTGAGTGAGGTGGTGGATGATCACTAACAGTTTCTTTGAGCTCTGTGAGATTTTGATTTTGTATGAATGCACCCACTTCTCTCAGACTGGTCCCTTAATTGAGAACTGAGGTCTTGCAGATAGGGAGTGTAAAGTTAGGATCTTGATTTGTATGTAAATTGGGCTGACCTTGTTGATTCATGTCTTTTTTCATCCTGATACTGATTTTTTTTTTTCCTCCTGTGTTTGGGATTGTGCATTGTACACTTTCTTCTGTCATTGGTATTTACTCTTAGGGAGTGTGGGATTTTTTAAATAGACTTGGTTTTTTTAGAGTTGTATTTGTTGATGTTGTTTCTTTTCTTTTCCCCCTCCCCTCCCCATCCTTCTTTTCTTTTCTTTTTTCTCTTTTCTTTTCCCTTTCCTTTCCTTTTCTTTCCCTTCCCTTTCCTTCCCTTTCCCCTTCCCTTCCCCCTCCTTTTCCTTTCCCCTTTCCCCTTTCCTTTTCCTTTTCCTTTTCCTTTCCTTTTCTTTCTCTCCCTCTGTTGGCCAGGCTGGAGTGTAGTAGTACAGTCAAAGCTCACTATAACCTTTAACTCCTGGGCTCAGGGCCTACTCCCACCTCGGCCTCCCAAGTAGCTAGGAATACAGGTGTGCATCACCATGCTCAGGTAGTTTTGATATGCGGTCTTGCTCCTTTGCCCAGGCTGGTCTTGAACTCTTGGGCTGAAGTGATCATTCTGCCTTGGCCTCCCAAAGTGCTGGGATTACAGGTGTGAACCACTGCATCCGGCCTACAGCAGTTTTAGGTTTATAGAAAAATTGCTCAAAAAGTACAGAGAGTTCCCATATACTTCTTCTCTCTCCCACTCACACAGTTTCCCCTATTATTATTAACACCTTGCCTGTGTGATACTAACATCTTTAATGTGTGGTACATTTGTTATAATTGATGAGCCAATATTGATACGTTATTAACTAACGTTCATTAGGGCTCACTCTGTGTGTTATATAGTTCTATGGATTTTGACAAATGCCTCATGTCATATATCTACCATTATAGTATTAAATATCATACAAAATAATTTCACTGCCCAAAGAATGCCCTGTGCTCCATCTATTCACCTGTCTTCCCTCCCCGTTGAACCCATGGCAGGCACTGATCTTCTTACCATCTCTATAGTTTTGCTTTTACTGAAATATCTAGTTGGAATCATACAGTATGGAGCCTTTCCATCCTGGCTTCTTTCACCTAACAATATGCATTTAAGATTTCTCGAAGTCTTTTTATAGCTTTGATACTTTATTTCTTTTTATTCCTGGATAATAAGCCCATTGTATGAAGGACATCTTGGTCGCTTCCAAGTTTTGGCAGTTATGAATAGAGCTGCTATAAACATTTGTGTGCAAGTTTTGGTGCAGACATAAGCTCATTTGGGTAAATACCCAGGAGCATGATTACTGAATCATATGGTAAGCGTATATTTAGCTTTGTAAGAAACTGCCAAACTGTCTTTTAAAGTAGACATATAGGCTGGGCGTGGTGGCTCACGCCTGTAATCCCAGCACTTTGGGAGGCCAAGGCGGGCAGATCATGAGGTCAGGAGATCGAGACCATCCTGGCTAACACGGTGAAAACCCAGTCTCTACTAAAAATACAAAAACAAAGTTAGCCGGGCATGGTGGTGGGTGCCTGTAGTCCCAGCTACTCAGGAGGCCGAGGCAGGAGAATGGCGTAAACCTGGGAGGCGGAGCTTGCAGTGAGCTGAGATCATGCTACTGCACTCCAGCCTGGGCAACAGCGAGATGCCATCTCAAAAAAAAAAAAGTGGACATATTATTTTGTACTCCCACCCAGCAATGAATGAGAGTTCCTGTTGCTCCATATCCTCACTGTCATTTGGTGTTATGTTTTGGATTTTAGCCATTCAAATAGATATTTAGTGGTGTCTTATTGTAGTTTTAACTTGCATTTCCCTAAGTGACATTTGAATTCGATATTGAGTGAGTGTCTTTTCATATGCTTATTTGCCACCTGTACATCTTCTTTGGTGAGGTGTCTGTTCAGATCTTTTAAATTAGGTTGTTTTCTTATTGTTGAATTTTATGAGTTCTTGGTATACAGTTTTTACTCAGTATCCGTGGGGGACTGGTTCCAGGACTCTCCTGCATATACCAAAATCTGTGCATACCCAAGTTTCTCAGTCAGCCCCACAGAATCTGCACATATGAAATGGTGGCCCTCTGAATATGCAGGTTTTCCATCTGCAAATACGGTTTCGTTGAAAAAAATCTGCATGAAAGTGAATCCATACAGCTCAAATCTGTGTTGTTCAAGGGTCAGCTGTATTTTGGATATATATCCTTTATCAGAAATGATTTTACAAAGATTTTCTCCCAGTCTGTGGCTTGTCTTTTCATTCTCTTAACTGTTTTTCACAGAGCAGAAGTTTTTAATTTTAGTAAGTCCAGCTTATCAGTGTTTTCATGGATCATGAAAGTCGGTGTTGTACCTAAATAGTCATCATCAATCTCAAGTTCACCTAGGTTTTCTCCTGTATTATCTTCTAGAAGTTTTATAATTTTGCATTTTACATTAAGATCTATGATCTATTTTATTTTATTTTATTATTTGAAATAGGGTCTTACTCTGTCACCCAGGCTGGAATGCAGTGGGGAGAACACAGCTTACTGCAGCCTTGACCTCCCAGGCTCAAGTGATTCTTCTGCCTCAGCCTCCCGAGTAGCTGGGACTACAGGCATGCACCACCACACCTGGCTAATTTTTAAAAATATTTTGTAGAAATGGAGTCTCCCACTGTTGCCCAGGCTGGTCTCAAACTCCTGGGCTCAAGCAGTCTTCTTGCCTTGGCTGCCCACAGTGCTGGGATTACAGGTGTGAGCCACCGCACCTGACCTTGATTTATTTTAAGTGAATTTTTATGAAAGGTATAAGGTCTGTGTCTAGATTCACTTTTTTTGCATGTGATTTCCAGTTGTTCCAGTACCAGTTGTTGCAAAGACCATCTTATCTCCACTGAATTGGCCTTTGCTCCTTTGTCAAAGATCAGTTGACTATATTTGTGTGGGTTGCTTTCTGGGCTCTCTATTCTGTTCCACTAATTTATTTGTTCACCCATCACACACTGTCTTCATCACTATAGCTTTATACTGGCATACCTCATCTTTTATTGTGCATTGTAGACACTGAGTTTATTTTTACAAAGTGAAAGTTGTGGCAACTGTGCACTGATTATTAATTATTGATTTAATTTCTTTAATAGATATAGACCTATTCAGATAATCTGTTCTTCCTTGGATGAAATTTGGTGGGATTGGCTTTCAATGATTGGTTCATTTCATAGAGGTTGTCAAATTTATGAGCATATATTTGGCTATAATATTTCTTCATTATCCTTTTAATATCTATGGGATCTGTAGTGATGGCTTCTCTTTTTCTTTTTGATATTAGTAATTTGTGTCTTCTCTCTGTCTCCTCCTCTCTTTATTTTTATTTTTATTTATTTTTTTTTTTTTTTGAGACAGAGTCTCACTCTGTCCCCCAGGCTGGAGTGCAGTGGCATGATTTCGGCTCACTGTAACCTCCACCTCCCAGGTTCAAGCAGTTCTCCTGCCTCAGCCTCCTGAGTAGCTGGGACTACAGGCGTGTGCCACCACGCCCAGCTAATTTTTATGTTTTTAGTAGAGATGGGGTTTCACTGTGTTGGCTGGGGTGGTCTTGAACTCCTGACCTCAGATTATCCACCTGCCTTGGACTCCCAAAGTGCTGGAATTACAGGCATGAGCCACCGTGCCCGGCCTCTCTCTCTTTTTACAAAATTTTGGGGCTGGGCACAGTGGCTTATGCCTGTAATCCCAGCACTTTGGGAGGCCGAGGCGGGCAGATCACTTGAGGTTAGGAGTTCAAGACCAGCCCGGCCAATATGGTGAAACCCTGTCTCTACTAAAAATATAAATATTAGTCGGGCATGGTGGTGTGTGCCTTTAGTCCCAGCTACTCGGGAGGCTGAGGTGGGAGAATTGCTTGAACCCAGGAGGCGGAGATTGCAGTGAGCCGAGATTGTGCTACTGCACTCCATCCTGGGTGACAGAGCAAAACTCTGTCTTGAAAAAAAAAAAAGGGGGGGTTAATCTGGCTAGATGTTTATCAATTTCATTGATTTTTTAAAGAGAACCAACTTGGAAGTGGGGTTTTCGTTCATGTTATAGTTTATAACCATAATGTCTTGGTTTTGAGTCAGTCCCTAAATTTTCACCAGTAATTGCTGTACCTGCATATGCACAAAGGTGTAAGTATTAGGAGCTAATACAGAAATATCAATACAACTTTTTAGAGTCCATAGACTTTCTAAGGCTTTCATTTTCAACAGAATAGTTTTATGAACCAACAGTTAGTTAAATCTAGCAGACCGTCAATTGAGGTAGGTGGTGAATAGGAAAGACTAGTATAGATTTAGCAGTCAGGCAGAAAGTGTTTGCATGCTGGCTTCTCATGCTAACTCTGTGTGCTTGCACAAGTGACTTCACCTTTCTGAGCATGTTAAAGTTTGTAAAATGCAAATTCTTATTTTACTATTTGGTATGAAAAGTAGAGTTAATGTAAAATATTAGGTGTCTAGTATGATACTTAATATGATACTTAATACGTAGTATAGTAGACTCTTTTTTTTTTTTTTTTTTTTTGAGATGGAGTCTCGCTCTGTCATCCAGGCTGGAGTGCAGTGGCGTGATCTCAGCTCACTACAACCTCTGCCTCCCAGGTTCAGGTGATTCTCCTGTCTCAGCCTTTCGAGTAGCTTGGGACTACAGGCGCCCGCCACCATGCCTGACTAATTTATGAATTTTTAGTAGAGATGGGGTTTTACTATGTTGGGCAGGCTGGTCTCGAACTCCTGACCTCAAGTGATCTGCCTGTCTTGGCCTTCCAAAGTGCTGGAATTACAGACGTGAGCCACCATGCCCAGCCTATACATAGTAGACTCTCTGTTGCGTCTCTTGTGCTTCTGAAATAGAATATCTATTAGACTCATTAAAGAATCTCTGAATTTTTTCATCCACCAGGCCATTAGGAGGTGATAGGACTTTCCTCTTGTTCTGTGATATATGAAGCTGTATTTCTTCCCATATAGAATTTTGACTGTTGCAAATGGCTGCCTCTTGTAAATTTAAAATCTGGAAAACAAAAAGCTGTTTATGGGAAAGCCCTCTGATTCTAGAACTGGTTGCCTTTATGCCCTCAGGGTCAAGTCTCGTACTCCTCAGTTGGGAGATGTTACACATAGCATCACATTGCCTTTTAGCCAGGTGTTTTTCTAGGTTCTTAGTCATCTCAAGTGAGTACTTATTTTTAGAACTACTCTAAGGACAGGGTATTGGGTGCCTTTTGAGAAAACTAGAAAAAGAATTTGGCAAATATAGCAAATTTGGGAGGTTGATTAAATACAGATCTCAGTAGAGGTCCTGAGACAGGCTCTGGGATTAAACTAAATTTAAACATATTACAATTAGAGAGACAAAGAAAGTGAGAAAAACCTGGACTTAGTTAAAATCGAAGTTTGTTTGTTTTTTTTACTTTAAGTTCTAGGGTACATGTGCACAACATGCAGGTTTGTTATATATGTATACATGTGCCATGTTGGTTTGCTGCACCCATTAACTCATCATTTAGGTGTTTTTTTTTTTTTTAATGTTCCAAAGTAATGTGCTTTGTTCAGCCATTTTCAGTAATAGAAGTTGCAACTAAGTGGCTACAGTGCTTATTACTAAATTATGTAGAAACAACCATTTAAAAATTAGTTTAAGCAGAAAAGCTTTAAGGCAGCAAAATTTGATCTGTATAACCTGTAAGTATATATTTTCAGAAATAAAATGTTTCCTTCAAGGACTGAATATAACTTTTAGAAAAGAAATAATCTGCTTGGGGAAGCCACTTTGGCTACATAGAACTAAAGCAGAGAGGAGGTGGCCAGTAAAAGGATTCTGAGAAGAGGGTAGCTCCTCATATCCTGGCTCTCTTGATTCAAAGTAAATAATGGCATTTGAGTAAGAAGTCTTTGCCATGAACTAAGTGCCAGGCAGGTCTGAGTTTAGCCCCAGTTGAGGGGTTACTTGCTGTTCATCAGTCCCCTCAAAGTGCTCTAGCTTCCTTTGCAAAAACCCTGTAAACATAACCTCACCCCCATTCCTTTCATCTAACCTCAAGCGTACCAAAAACCATTCCTCACACCCAGATTTAGAGACTTACCCAATAGGAAAATGATTCTGAGCTGTGAAAAGTAAACAAAACAATTGTTTTGTTTATCTGTCCACTGGACTGAATGTTCACGGATCTTGGTAGGTCACTTCATAAAGAGAAGTAAGGGAAGAAAGGCAGGGAAGATGATCAGAGAAGAGCTGAGGACAAGTGTCATCCGAGGAAGTCAAGAGGATTCATCCCGGGCATGGTGTAGTGATAAGAACATTTCACTGGGAGACAGGAGGCCTTGGTTCCAATCTGGCTCAGCCATTTACTGTCCTTTCTCCTGACTGTGTCTGTTTCCTCATCCGTAAAGGTTTTGGACAAGATGGTTTTAGGCATGGGGTTAGTGAGATGAATAAGACAAGGATGTTTCTGATAAAGGAAACAAGCTTGTTGTAAACAAAGAAAATGTAGTATTGTAAATGCTTTAAGTAGGAGTCTATAAAGAAGAGCTGTGGATATAGTTAACTCAGTGGGGCTTTGAAGAATGCTTGAGATTTCACAAAGATTAAGATGGGGGAAAGCAGAGAGAACAGCCTGTACCAAGAGATGGATGGTGCATAGCTGACACCCAAGGTATGTATAAGAGTAGGGAGGGTGATGGAGCCAGAAGGGTACCTGGGGTTAGATGTGGAGGTCCTTACTGCATGTCAGGCTAAGAAGTTTTTCCCATTGGTAAGAGAGAGCTCTGAAGCTCTTAAGTAGAAGGAAAACCTGATTAGTTAGCATTTAAAAAGTAGGATAGTGACAGCATCATAGAGAATGTTTTTTGGTTTTTCTCCATGGAGGAAGAGACTTGAGGCAGTCAAGCTCATTTTGGAGGTTATTTCAAGAGTAAGGCAGTGACTTTGGAAATAGGAAGGGACAAATTTATGAGCTGTTCTAGGATATAAAATAAATATCTGGGATTTAGTGACCCTCAAATTGACTCATTGACTTCCCCTAACCTCAGCCATGGCTGGGTTAGGTAGGAGTACATAACTGTTAGGTACAATTCGTACAATGTCTTCTAAAGTCCACTCGCCTTTGAAATCACTGAGCCATTTGGTTCCTTCCCCTGGGGATGGGTACTGAAGTTGTGTGAGCAAGCTTGTTCTTAGCCTCTTTAATTGAAGAGCTCCATTCAGAAGCAGTGGGGAGTAATTGATGTTCATCCTCTAGAGGCTGAAAAAATCAAGGACCACAGGAAGCTTTTTATAAAGGAGGCCAAACCCAGAAATAAATTTTCTCCAGAACTCCTTCTTAAAAGGATTCTTAAATCTCATAACCAGAACGCTTTCTCTCTCTGGACTAGATCTGGCTTCACTTTTAAAAAGTGTTTGTGTGTATGTTGTTAAAGAAAAAATTACTTCTGACACTTCTTAAAATGGTTCAGTCCTTGAATCCAGGAGCTTGAGGTTACAGTGAGCTATGATTATGCTACTGCACCCTAACGTGGGTGACAGTGAGACCCTGTCTCTTAAAACAAACAAAAAAGGTAAGGAAGAGGTTTTTCTTTTCTCTCTTTTTTTTTTTTTTTTTTTTTTGGGACGGAGTCTTGCTCTGTCGCCCAGGCTGGAGTACAGTGGCGCGATCTTGGCTTACTGGAACCTCCGTCTCCCTGGTTCAAGTGATTCTCCTGCCTCAGCCTCCCTCAGGTAGCTGGGATTACGGGCACCCGCCACCACGCCCAGCTAATTTTTGTATTTTTAGTAGAGACGGGGTTTCACCATGTTGGCCGGGCTGGTCTTGAACTCCTGACCTCAGGTGATCTGCCCACCTCAGTCTCCCAAAGTGTTGGGATTACAGGTGTGAGCCACCGCGCCCGGCCAGGAAGACGTTTTTCAAGACTATTACAATAAGAGAGAGAGAGATCCGGCTTAACTCCAAATATGACAAGGGCAAGTGGGGATTGATAGCCAAGGAGCAAGGTGAAGGGGTCAGTGGGTAGAAAGCGACTTAAAGGAAACATCAAGGCTAGGGGGATTCTGGCTAAACTGACCTGACAGGATTCTTGCTGAAGGCAGGCCAAAGACTTAGACATCAACAGTGGAGGATGAGGAACTTGATCAGATAGCAAGGATGGGGGTGGGTGGTGGGTGAGGCTGGTTGTGGGGACTCAAACTTACTTAGCAGGATTCTTGCTAAAACCGGGCTGGGCAGGTGAAAGATAGAAGGTGAGGTGGCATGGAGGCAAGGTCAGGCCCTAGAGGGCTTTGAGGAGCCTGACTGAAGTTTGGTCAAGCAGAGTCTTTGCCAGTGTGTGTTTTATTACAAAAGTAATATATGCCTCACCTCCAGAACTAATTTGTCTTCAAAGCTTGGTATGTAGCCTTCCATATGTTTGTATAAGCTTAGAAAAATACTCTGTTCCTACAGAAATGAGATCATACTGTACTTACTGTTATGCAGCTGCATTTTCCACGTCGTAGATCTTCATTGTGTTTCATGTCAGCACACTAGACACTGGTCTCAGTCTTTAGAATGCCTTGCCTCGTTTTATAGATTATTTACGAAAATTGTAAACTGGAAGTAATTCATATTTTATATTTTAAATTATTTATGTTCATTACTTTAAATTATATTATAAATTATATTTATATTTTAAATTCCAGTTTATAACTTTTTTACATACATTATCCCATTTGTTGCATAAAATGATCCTCTAGGGGTGGGGATAGGGCAGGTAATATGTCCATTTTACATAGAGGTTACATGATTTATTAGACTTTGCAGCTAATATGTGTCAAGTCCAGGATTCACACGTGTCAGTTGCATGTGTGAAAACAATTTTAGATCTTTGACATTCAGCTTACATATAAACCACATGTGGAATACTGTTTTTGTCTGTGGTGCTTTGGGACTTTTAGGAAATATATGTGGTGTATATAGGACCTAGACTCTGATAATAAATTTCATTTGAGACATTTATCCCTTTTAAGTGTATTATTAATTTCTGTATTGAAAATTCTTGTCATTTTAATGTCCCCAAAATGACAAAATAATCATCTTAAATAATAAGATTAAATGAATTCAGTCAGTTTGTAGCAATACTTTCAATACTTACCTTAAGTAACAGACTTTGTCAGCTAATTGGATTTCTGGAAATGTTAATGGAAGTCTCTCAGTTAACTACCTCTACTCATGTCCCTCTGGGACTCATTTCCTCCCTAGAACATCACGCCTCTCTTTCTCAGTATTCTTTATTGGTTTCCTGGGACCCTGGAGGGAAAGAAAAGGCAAGACAGGATGAATGAGGAGTGGGGAATGTGAGGCGGGGCGGAAATGAAAGAATATGAGCTGTGGAGAATTCACCTTATTCAGGAATGAGAAAAACAGCAAGGAAAAAAGCCATTTCTCAGGAAGCTATATGGCATGGTGGTGAAGATTTTGAGTTAAACCCAATGTCACCCTTTCTAGCTCTGCGACCCTGGGTAAGTTATTTCCGTCCATGCTTGTCAATTTCCTAGGGTTTCCTTACAGAGTTCTTATGAGAAGGAAATAGTGGGTTATCTAATCCACTTAAAGTATACTTGGCCCATAGTAAACATTTAATCGATGTTAGCTGTTATTTCTAAGCTTTTTAGATGCAAAGTTCCAAGAAAGGAGTCTGAAAGTCTGGATCCAGTAAAATGACCATATAATGTATTGTTCAGGCCAGGATGCTGTTAATAATTGTGGGACAACAAATATAAGCCAGTATTTGTGATTTCCCTAATGGGGGAGGCATCTGTGCCCCCAAAACTCTGACTGATTAAGGCAACTTTCCTTCCTACCACAGCCTAATTAAGCTAAGCCTCTGGACTTTGACAAGCCAGGGAGCAAATCATTCTTAAAAACTCTTTGACAGATAGACAAATACACACTCACTCACTCACTAAATCACAAAAGAAACTTTGCTTTTTCTTTCTAGGTAACATGTCTTAAAGTGATATGAGTCTGTACAAATTTTACTAAATATTTGTGCAGTATTGTTTACCCAATAAATAACTTCGAAGAATATATTTAAGTTCTTTTTTTTTTTTTTTCCAAGACGGAATCTCACTCTGTCGCCCAGGCTGGAGTGTAGTGGCACCATCTCAGCTTATTGTAACCTCCACCTCCCGGGTTCAAGTGATTCTCCTGCCTCAGCCTCCTGAGTAGCTGGGATTACAGACTCGTACCACCACACCCAGCTAACTTTTGTATTTTTAGTAGAGATGGGGTTTCTCCATGTTGGCCAGGCTGGTCTCGAACTCCTGACCTCAGGTGATCCACCCATCCCGGCCTCCCAAAGTGCTGGGATTACAGGCGTGAGCCACCATGGCCCAGCCTAAGTTCTTATAAGTAGTTTCTGCCACTTAAAAACAATAATTTTGACACATCTTAAATAGTTAGGTCTCCTCATGCCTTTAGGTGTAGATTTTTCTTACCTGTTGAGTTCTCAGTATGTGCCATATGCAGTGCTTAATTGGTGGTGAGGATATAATGGCAAACAAAACATATTTGAATCTGCCCCTGAGTTGCTTGTGGTCCAGTGAGAAAGGCAATCAAGTAATGAAAAATGCAGAGCTCTAAACTGAGATTGTTTTAATGAAGGCAAAGTACAAGGAGTTCTACAGGAAGTTCTTGAAGAGCCTGACCCGGCCTGGGAAGGTGAGGAAGAAGTTCCCTGAGGAGAGTTTTGCTCAACACTGAATATCAATTAAAAAGGCAAGATGGGATGGGGGTCTGGGAAAGAGGCAGAAAGGAGCTTGGTCTTCTAGGAAAGAAGGTTCTGTATGTGGAATGCAGAAAACTGGGAAATGTCTGTTTTTTAAAAAATCAACCAGGCTCCACTGTGATCCCACACTCTTCCCACTGTTTGCAATGCCCTTGCTTCCCTTTTTCTTGCTAATGGCATTCCATTCATCCATCATCACTTTACAGTATAATTTTTTGTTTTCATGTCTCTGACATCCTTTAGGACAGGGACTTGGTCTTATTTACTCATTGTAAGATGTTTAGAATAGCACAGCAACCTTTCTTCTTCTTTTTCCCTCTCCCCATAGTGCCAGGTACTTACTGTGTGCTTGCTACTTGGGAAGGGGGCACAAGACAGGCACAGTGCCTGTTGTCATGGAGCATGCACTGTAATGATTGTTTTGCTCATTGAGTAAATACGCTGAATGACTCACCCTTAGAATCAGAATTGTGGACTCTGGAGGCCATTTTCATAGAGTTTCAGCAGTTCTGTGCCTTCTTTACAGTTGTGCAACAGAAACAATCAATGCTCAAGGGTTAAGAAGCCACTAATAAAGTAAGTTGAATTAAATAAGATAAAGGCCCCCCAAATAATAGTGAAGGCACTGGAGATATAAGGCTTGTTAAAAATATAATGTATATGTTAATCCTCATGAATACATCCTAATTACAGCAGAGAACTCTTGTAGTGTTGTCCACTTTGTGGTGGTGTGTTTCTCAGGCTGTCCTGTCCGTGTTCATATTGGAATGACAATTTCACACTGTACTCATTCATGTGCTGTTCACTATCCACCTTTCTGTTATGGGGATTGAGAGGGAGCCGGTGTCTCACTTGCCCAGTATAGCAATAACTTAAAATAATAATCCTTAGAGCAAATGTACAAGGAGGTTTCAAACAATTCGTCATTGCTCTTGGGAAACCTATGGATTTGTGCGTGCGTGTGTGTGTGTGGTATTGTGTGTGTGCATTCACATTGCGGACAAGAAACAGAAGGGGTTAGAACAGAATAGCAAGAAGAGCAACATTGGATATAACTGCTATGTTTATCCTGAAGATAACTGTCCTTGGCAGGATAGAAGAAGGAACTCCTTGCTGGCTTTGTGGAACAAGGAGGCCATCCTTCCAAGTTTCTCGTGTGACTTGTGTCACGTGTGCAATTAAAATGGAGTGTCACCTTTCTTGCTTGTGTCTCTCTTAAGAGGGAGTAAATTTTTCCAAGTCACTGCTTTGCAGAACATGCTTAAACACAAAACCACAAGGTTCCCAGAATTATAGATTTCATAGTTGACAAGGTCCTGCCCACCTGTCACGTAGCGTCAGCATCCTTTGTGCATCAGTCCCACTGGAAGGCCGTTTGTGCACACCTGATTCCCTTCCTGGGAAAGCAGCCATTTCCAGTTCTTAGTGCTTTCTTCTTCTGGTGTTTCCTCCATATTACTGATTGTTAGGCTTATGCTGTTGTTTCTTTATTTTAAAATTTTAAACATCCTCTATTAGTCACTGTTAGCCTTCTTACACTCTCTGTCCACTGCCTCCCCCTTCATCCTTCAAGTATATCACAGCTTTTAGTTACATCAGTATTAAATGCTTATGTTTATGTTATTATGACTATTAGTATTATTTACCTGCTGAACCACTTACACTATAATTCTATTTTTTTCTTGTACAATTAATTAATTTTCTTCCTGTTGATTTTTCTGAGTTTTCTTTTTTCTTTTCTTTTCTTTTTTTTTTGAGACAGAGTCTGGCTCTGTCACCCAGGCTGGAGTGAGGTGGCGTGATCTTGGCTCACTGTGACCTCCACCTCCCAGGTTCAAGTGATTCTCCTGCCTCAGCCCCCCAAGTAGCTGGGATTATAGGTGCCCACCACCACACCCAGCTAATTTTTGTATTTTTAGTAGAGATGGGGTTTCTCCATGTTGGCCAGGCTGGTCTCGAACTCCTGACCTCAGGTGATCCGTCCACCTCAGCCTCCCAAAGTGCTGGGATTACAGGCGTGAGCCACCACGCCTGGCCATTTTCTGAGTTTTCTATGTCCAGCTTATTCTTACTTCCCAAATCACAACTATAATTTTTAAGTATTCTTTTTTTACATCCTAGGCAGATACATCAGTTGATCATGTTGGTTTCGTTTCCTTCTGCAGATGCCCCCCTGGATTCCCAGCATTCTCCAGATATGGTCTCTAGGCCTGCTGTGTAGCTGATTCCCTTCACCCCGTTTCCTGGATACCCATCTTCCTCTTTCTCGGTTTGCTCATTTGTTTGGTAGAGCACATCCTCCAGTCATTTCCTGATAAAAGAGTGTGTGGGAGGTAAAGTTTGAGACCCTGCATGTCTAAAAATATCCATTCTCTTTTTATACTTGACTGATTGGAAGTCATTTCACCTCAGAATTTTGAAAGCATTTCTCCTTTGTCTTATGGCTTTCAGAGGTGCTATTGAAAATTCTGGTGGCGCTTAATTCTTTGTATGCAAGCTGTTTTTTTACTCTCAAACTGTGTTCTCTTTATCCCATTTATTATAAAATTTCACAATGTGACTTTTAAAAAATTCTTATTCATTATACTGAGCACAGGATGGACTCATAAGCGGAAGTTCAAGGAAAATTTCTTAAATTATTTCTTTGATGATCTTTTTTTCTCTCTTCTCTGGAACTCTTGGTCCTCGAATTTTATCTTTCCTATTTCCAACCTCTATCTTTGGTTCCACTTTCTGAGAAGTTTATTCTACTTTATCTTCTGGATCATTATTTATATTTTTATTTATATTATTATTTTTAATTTCCAAGAACTTTTCACTGATCCTGGTTTTTGTTTTTTGTTGTTTGCTTTTTTTGTTTTTTAATCCTGTTCTTCTGTGATAATAGGTTTTCATTTTTGAGGTTTTATTTGGCTCCTTGTCTCATATCTTTGAGTCATTTTTTTCTGTTTTTTTGGGTTTTTTTTGTGTGTGCTCTGTCTTTTCATGTTAAAGTCTTTTCCTCAAATGTCTGGCAATCCTTGGTTGTCACTTGTATTAAAGCGTGAGACACTAAAAAGCTGATTGGATGTTCTGTATAGAGGTGGGAAGAGATTGTCAAGGATAGGCTTTATATTAATATTATATAGGGTTATGGGATAGGAGCCCCTCCTGTTTTATTGGGAAATCCCCGAAAGCCATCATCTGTTGAACTTTTCTGTGGTATCATTTATTTTCTCCAAGAAAGAATCCCTCAACTTTTCTGTGTAGGGATGGGAGTGGAGCTCCCATTCCAGCATTATGGAAGCCAAGTGGATTAGGGGGTGCTGGGATCTCATCATTCAAGATAGAGACTTTCATTCAGGGCCTCTGATTTCAGTACAGTTCCTTCCCCTACCTTCTACTGTTCCTAATATTCCTGCGTCTAGATCCAAGCTGGTTCTTACAGAATAAATCAACCCTCTCCTGTGCAGGTAGAGGAGTAATAGTCCCTGGCTGTCCTGGATGTGACAGCAGACCTGGTGGTCTAACACCTCTTTATACAGAATTTGTATTAAGTCCCAGTTTTCAGCCCCTCCCCGTCCCTGGCCTCCTCTGCCACCTGGTGCCCCTAATCCCTGAGCCTTCCCAAGGGTGCCTCTGTGAATTGGCATCGCCTTCACAGGCTGCAGAGATTCACTTTTTTCTCAGCTCTACTAACTTACCTACTTTTTATCTTTCAAAAAGGATCAACATTTTATGTTCAGTTATCTTCTCCTGTTCCTTTTGCCTTTTTGTTTGTTTTTACTCTGTTTTTAATGGGGTTCAGGAGAGAGCAGAAATAAAAGTACATGCTCAGTTTGTTAACTGAACTCTTTTGGCACTGTTGTGGGGCTTCTGTGTCTGACTGTTTCATGTCTGTGTTTTGTCTTCCCTTGAAGATTACAAGCTTCTCTGACAGTGGGGATGGTTTCATAGACTCCTTGTATCTCTCCTTTTACCCTCAACTGTTAAGTATGTAGAAAGCATTTTAGGAAGGATGTGTCAAATTCATTTGAGTAAGATGAAATCTTTTCTAAATTAGACTGATTTGAGAGAGTGTTTCCTTGTGTTGGAAAACTGCCAGCCTTTCCTGAGGTTCAGAGATAAATCTCACTTTGCAACAATAACCAAAAGAAGAAAACATTGAAAGCCTTTGGCAGAAAAAGGCTGATGAGACAAAACTCCTGTTTAGACATTATGATTTAATGAAGAATTGTTGGAGAGCTGCCTAGGACCTCTCTTCCCCCTCAAGTTTATTGCTCCCTCTTTACAGGGTCTGTGATCCAGAAGGCCTTTATCTGACTTGATGCTTTGAGTCGTTGACCTCCTGAGAACTAATGCAGGAGGAGACCCACAGAGATGCACGCTGTTTTCTCTAAACATTCAGTGTCAAGGGACTGGAGAAACTGGAAGGAACATGCACTAGAGTCAGATGTGGAATTTTGTTTCCGTTCTCATGTAATCAACTATATGACAATCAGCAAGCCATTTGAACTTCAGTTTTCTTACCTGTAAAATGGAAATACCGGTATCTGTTTTCCTTCTTGATAGTATGCTTGTAAGAGTCAAGTATGGGTACCATGCATGCAAATGCATGTAAACATTTAGACATTGTCATTTCAAGTTATTTGGTGTGTAACCATGGTACAAACAAGGATGGGCTTTATATAACATAGGATTATGGGTTCCAGACCCTCATATCGACCTACTGACCAGACATCTACATATGGGAGTCAAAATTCATTTCAGCCTCAACAAATTCAAAATAAAACTCCCTCCCGCTCCCTTCTCTTCTCCCCTACCTCACGTCACCACAGTCACAAAACAAAGCAACCCTGGTTTTCCCCCAGAATTCTCACTACTCACTGAGTAGCCTGATTCAAACAGCCGCCAGTGCACCCCAACCTGCATTTGACAAGGTCCTGTCTTTTCTATTGAATCTATCCT
The DNA here is from genome assembly GCF_000001405.40 of Homo sapiens. NCBI lineage: Eukaryota > Metazoa > Chordata > Mammalia > Primates > Hominidae > Homo > Homo sapiens. The sequence continues at coordinate 34,958,347 of NC_000006.12, forward strand.
TTTTTCTCTGTCCTCTTTACACTGCATGAAGGTGTTTACTTCATGCCTGAATTACTAACTTCACCTGGGCTCCCTGGATCTAGTCACACACTTCTCTTAGTGTATCATTTACACACCTGCTCAGCATAATGATGAAAAAAAATTCTGAAATATGTCAGGCCATCACAACAGTATAGTGAATAACAAATGGACCATCTGAGTACCCGCCTCCCAGCTGTCAACAGAAGGATTTTTCTAAAACACCCATCTGATTATTCCCCGCTTGAATCTCTTCAGCGGCATACAGGACCCTTTCTGATTTGACTCTGCCGGCCTGTTCAACCTTGCATTCACCATCCTTCCACTTGTATGCTCCAGCCACTCGTAGTTACTTGCAGGTGTCCCACTTTGCTGAGACTACTCAGGGGACAGTGAATTTGGATGTTGCCTCTTCGTTTCTGCCTGGCTGCTTCCTTCTAAACTTTAAGGCTCAACTTAAGTATCTCCTCTTCTGTAAAACCTCTCTGTTCCTATTTCCCTTAAGCCAGTTTGTGTACTTCCTTCCCAGAATGTCACACACTGTACAGTATTGTCATTTGTTTACTGGTCTGACTTCCTCACTGAACTCAAGGGTGGGGACTGTCCAGCGCTGTGGCATCAACATTGATTGGATTCAACTGGATTGGACACTTCTGGCCCATTGAGATGCCATTACTTGTCTGTGTAAAGTAAGCAATAAAGTAGCTGGGCTACCACATGAATCATGTTTACTGCCAGCTAAGGCCACTTAGGGTATCATTCAGTCCAGAAATCTGACCTCACGCACATGAAAGTGGCCTGAGCACTTTGGTTCTAACTTATGGTTCTTCTGTCGCTGTGTTTTATGTACAGACATCTCAGATGCAGTGTTCTTGTATGTCCCATCAAGAGATTGTTGCCATTCTTAATGGATATAAATGTAGTAGGTTTGTTATACTGCATAGAGACCATGTCATACTGGGGTAATGTTGGTTCAGGGTTGGCAAGAATCTGATCTGGTAAGAGGGAATGAGCAGATTGCTGAAAACTGAATGTTAGAAGTTGCACCCTGGTGGCCCTGGGCCAATTCCTTACATAGTGCTCTGTTCTTGGAAACATGAGGGATTTCCCTAAAGGACTTATAATATATGGTATGAATAAGCAGGATAAATAATTCACTGTGGCTCAGGATCAGATAGGATAAATATTGTGGTGAAGATGCAGTGGATGATCTGGAATATCTGAGAAGGGTGAAATTAATAGCAGCCAGTGCAATCAGGAAAGATGTGGAGGATCAGGGGACATTTGAGTTGGGCCACTTTCTGTGCTTGACAGAATAAATATCCCATTTGTCTTGCTTTTGCGATTCTTATTTGATTTCACAGAGACTTTAAGCAATTTTACCTCAAGTTTTCGCTTGAGTTTTGCTAGGTCTGAAGAGTGGTAAGTAAATTTAGCTATGAGTGTTGATGGATTTTTGAAATCAGATAGGAGGAACCCTGATTCTCTGTTAAGAGACTTAGTTTCTGATCACCTCAGTTTAGCCTTTAGAGCCTGTGCCTCCCCTTGTTTTGAAAGTGCTCCCCTTTCCTTCAAGTGTGGACTTTATGTCCTCCTCCGTTTTCTACCCCTGGCAGTGAACACTACTAGGTGTTCAGCGGATGCCTGTGGAACTGAACTCACCTCGATGTCCTTTGTGATGTCCTCTGGCATCTCTGTGGGCGGAGCTCCCTGCTACTCCCCTCTCCAGCCACAGGTCAGGCACGCTCCTTCCCAGGGCTCCTGTGTTTGATGCTACTCTGCCTGTCTACCTCAGACCCCCTCACGGCTCTTTACTTTATTCAGATATTCTCAAAGATCACCTTCTTAGAGAGGTCTTTTCTGATGACCTTATCTCAAATATCACTCATTTCCTTTTTATCCCCTTCCTTTGCTGCCTCTGCTTCCTTTGCTCACTTTTGGCCCTTATCACCACATAGGCATCATAGGATCTATTTGTTTGCTTATTCGCTCACTCTCTCCCTCCTCCTAGAAATCAAGCTCCATGAGGGCAGACTTTGTCTTTTTCCATCTGCATCTCCAGCCCCTAGAAGGCGCACTTCACGTGTCTGCTGAGTACATGCGTGAGTAGCTCCATAAACAGGACCTCATTTGGCTCCTTCACCAAATAGAGTGGGCTGTTTCTATTCATCAAAACCTCCAAATCCAGCACAGTGCCCGGCATGTCTACACATGCAATCAGTTTTTAAAGGAATGGAGAGAGGCCTTTGAGGGGGGATTCAAAAGCCACAGGGCCTCACCAGTCATATTCTTCCATGCCCTCCACAGTGCTTTAGATGCCATCCCAAAACATAGGTGCCGCCGAGGTGCATAGGGCAAGGCTTGCTGCGCTTCAGCATCATGTGAAAGCAGGTTAGCTTTTTTGACATGCTAGGCCTCTCAATACTATTATACTTGCTCAAACTTCTAGAAGTTTCCATGAATGATTTAAGTCCTGGGGAGCCCATCATGGTAGACTTTACAAATGCAGAGACAGTAGTGTGGAAAATCAAGTGAATTGTCCAAGGTCAAAAAATGACAAGTGGCGGAGGCGAGTTTTGAAGTCAGTTTGGCTAACCGCAGAGCCCAAGCTCCTAACTTAGGTTCCATAGCTTCATCACGCAGGCTTGCTGTGACTGCTCCAGGACCCATTAAGATCAGTCTGAGCATTTGTCTTGCAAGTCAAGGGCAGCTATTGCATTTCTGCACAATCTTTACAGGTTAAACTTTGCTTAGGAATCTCCTAGGCTGTGTTTAAGGTTGTTTTCTCTGGTTCTTGATGCATTATATGCTGCTTTTGTTTGTCGGTGAGCAGCCCTTTGGTGCTTACAGTTTTAGAAAACCTAATAGGACAGCTGTGATAGGGAGGAAGACCTAGATTGTAAGTAACTCTTTTCTTGAGCTGCCAAAAAGGAAGAAACTTGGGTGGAGGGGGATGTTACTACCATCCTGTCTGAAGCTGAAATACCAAACAAGGAGATTAGAGTTCTCCAGTTTCGTTTAGATTTTGTTTAATGTGTTCCCCAGTCCCCAAAACTTCTAGATGGGCTTTTGGAGGAGAAGGTAGAGAAAAAGAAGGAAAAAAGGCCTCTGGTTGGAAACGTTGCTGCTTTTTGCAGTGAAGTCACTATCTTTTTTCCTTTTCTTTTCTAATTGTTTTGAGGGAGTTTTAGTGCTGACATAGGATGTCCAAACTTAATCACCTTTAAACCAGTCATGGAGGCAAAAGTTAGAAAACGATGAAAGGCTTGCTTCATCCTGCCTTTTTGTTAAGATCAAAGGCAGTTTAAATCTTAGTTTCAGGGCTCCTTGGGGACATGAACTGAGAGGGCTGAGATAGTTGAGTTCTAATAGAACTAAATTGGTAGCTGATAGGCCCGCACTCTCAGCCGCTTTAACCAGCCTTGGTGTTTCCTCTTTCTCAGTTCTTCTTAATTATTCTAGTCATCGCGTTGCTGCTGAATTATGTCCACTACATATTCACTTCATGTTGTTGTTCCAGTTAGATCAGACAGTCCTTGTTTGGCCAAATGCCATGAGCTCCATCAAAGAGAGTTTTTGATCTGCCGCTGATTTCGTGTGTGATTTGGGGCAAATAATTTGTTTTTAGATTCTTAGTGTCACCTGTGCTATAATGATGATATTTTCTCTTGTGTGGCAATTTGAAAATAAGTGTGACAATGGTACCTCACAGATTTTCCAGATCCATGTCACTTGCCATCACCCTGATCCATTGTCAGGCATAGTCATATACTTTTTGGTTTGGAAAATGAGGTCATTGTACAAATGTGTTAAAGAGATTTAATTGCATTTAGCTTCTTGTTTAGAAAGTGCTATAGAAGTTCAGGCTTAGTGGAGGATGGGGTATCACGATGTCCCTCAGGCTCCTCACCTTGTCTTCACCATCCTTAGTTGGCAATGAACAAATAGCCTAGATATCGAAATACATGTATCTTGCTTTTTAAACATTTATTTTTAATTGACAAAAACTTTATATATTTGTTGTATACATTATGATGTTTTAAAATAGCTATACATTATAGAGTGGCTAGATTGAGCTAATTAACATATATATTACCTCACATATCATTTTTATGGTGAGAACACTTAAAAACCAACTCTTGGCCAGGCGCTGTGGCTCATGCCTGTAATCCCAGCACTTTGGGAGGCCAAGGCAGGCAAATCACCAGGTCAGGAGATCAAGACCATCCTGGCTAACATGGTGAAACCCCATCTCTACTAAAAATACAAAAAAAATTAGCCAGGCATGGTGGCATGCGCCTGTAGTCCCAGCTACTCAGGAGGCTGAGGCAGGAGAATCGCTTGAACCCGGGAGGCAGAGGTTGCAGTGAGCCGAGATCCCACCATTGCACTCCAGCCTGGGTGACAGAGCGAGACTCTGTCTCAAAAACAAAACAAAACAAAACAAACAAACAAAAACACCAGCGCACTTAGTGCTTTTTTCTTTCTTTCCTTCTTTCTTTTTTTTTTTCTTTTGAGATGGGATCTTGCTCTGTCGCCCAGGCTGGAGCACAATGGCACGATCTCGGCTCACTGCAACCTCTGCCTCCCAGGTTCAAGCAGTTCTCCTGCCTCAGCCTCCCGAGTAGCTGGGATTACAGGCATGTGCTACCACACCCAGCTAATTTTTGTATTTTTAGTAGAGGCGGGGTTTCGCCTTGTTGGCCAGGCTGGTCTCGAACTCCTGACCACAGGTGATCCGCCTGCCTCAGCCTCCCAAGGTACTGAGATTACAGGCATGAGCCACCACACCCGGCTGCGATTTTTAAGATTATAATACGTTGTTATTAAGTATAATTGCCTTATTGTACAGTAAATCTCTTGAATTTATCCCTCCTGACTGAAATTTTGTTCCTTTGACCAACATCTCCCCAACATCACCCCCTCCAGCTCCTGGTAACCACCATTCTATGCTCTGCTTCTGTGAGTTCAGCATTTTTAGATTCCATATGTAAGTGAAATCATACAGTATTTGTCTTTTTGTTCCTGGCTTATTTTATTACCATAATGTCCTCTAGGTTGATAAATGTTATTACAAATGACAGGATTTTCCTTCCTTTCCTAAGGAAAGTATGTCATTGTTTATATATACCACATCTTCTTTATTCATTTGTCCATTGATGGACAGGTAGGTTGATTCCATATCTCAGCTACTGTGAGTAATGCTGCAATGAGCATGGAAGTGCAGATATTTCTTCCATATACTGATTTTATTCCGTTTGGATATACCCAGTAGTACAATTGCTGGTTCATATGGTAGTTATATTTTTAATTTTCTGAGGAACTTCATACTGTTTTCTGTAAATGGCTGTACTAATTTTTGTTTTTACCAACAGTGTGCAAGGTGCTCTTTTCTCTACATCCTTGCTAACACTTACCTTTTGTCTTTTCGGTAATAGCCATTCTAATAGGTGTGAGGTGATATATCATTTTGGTTTTAATTTGCATTTCTCTAATGACTAGTGATGTTGAGCATTTTTTCATATACCTATTGGCCATTTGTATGTCTTCTTTTGAGAAATGTCTTTTCAGATCTTTTGCCCAATGTTTCCAATCAGGTTATTTGCTTTCTTGCTATTGAGTTGTTTTGAGTTCTTTATATATTTTGGATATTAACCTCTTAGCAGATGTATGGTTTGCAAATATTTCCTCCTATTCCATAAGTGGTCTTTTTACTGTGCTGGCGGTTTCCTTTGCTGTACAGAATCCCACTTTTTCTACTTAAAATTTATCTTACGATTCTAAACCTAATATCTACATGCTCATTAAAGTGGCTTGTCACCCATATACAGCTGTGTTTTATTAACATTTTGACTTTTTTGTCTTCTTTTCCTTGCGCATAGATGATTCCCCCTTTCTTTTACAATATTATTATTATAAAAGCACTATGTGAATAGATTCTCACTGTTAAGTGTTTTAAACTGTGGTAGAATACAGAACGCAATAGGAAAGTCTCTCTTCATCATCTGCAGTGCTCCCTAACACAGAGATTTTCTTCCCCAGAGGTGAGCACAATCAGCATTTGGTGAGTGCTCTTCCAGTCACCATCCATTTGCAGCGGTGTGTATTATACAATGCCTTCTTTCGTCGCTTTCTTATAACATGGTATGTCTTGGGAAATCTTTCCATGTCAGGACTTAAAGGTCCAATTTGTTTTCTTTCCTTTGTTATTACTGTTGTCGTTGATGGTTACGTAGTATTGTATTTTAGGAGTATACCTAATATTTTACTGCTTGCCTATGGATAGACATTAAGTTTTTAGTTTTTAACTCTTACAATGAAGCAGTCCTGTACCAGCATGTGTCTTTGTGCACATGTGCAAGTATTTCTGTTGGGTAATTGCCTGGAAGTGGAATTGCTGGCTCAAAGTGAATCCTATTTTTGGTTTTGGTCGATGGTGCCAAATTGTCTTCCCAAAGGAATTTACCAGTTTAAACTCATACCAGTGGTGTTTAAGAGTGCTTGTTTTCCTAATATTTAGAAACACTTGATAATATCATTATGTTCATTTTTGTCAATGAATGTTTTAATTTGCATTCTTCTAGATTGTGTCTCTGTAGATCTGACCTTGTCTACTTTCTGCCTTTTAGTAATTCCTCAGCATTGCTGCTTACTTGATGGTGTCTTTTAAAATTTTCTTGGTGTGAATCTGTTTATCTGTCTATAGCTCTCTATCTGTGTAGGGTGGGATATCTTTTCTGTCACTTCAGGGAACTTTAGACAGGAGGTAGAGTAAACTTGTGCACTTAATCTACTCTCCTGATAAATTTCATCCTTTCTGAGCTATGACTTTATAGTATTTACAATTTTGTTTCTTTTTTCTCCTTAACATTATAATCTTTTTTTGTCTTATTACATAGCAATGTAACTGGTATATGATATTCTACTCTGTGTCTGTACTGTAGTTATAATAATTTGTCTGTTGATGCCTATTGCTAAAATTTTATTTTATTATTTATTTATTTTGAGATCGAGTCTCACTCTGTCACCTAGGCTGGAGTGTAGTGGCACGATCTTGGCTCACTGCAGCCTTCGCATTCCAGGTTCAAGCAATTCTCCTGTCTCAGCCTCCTGAGTAGCTAGGACTACAGGTGCCCGCCACCATGCCTGGCTAATTTTTGTATTTTTAGTAGAGACGAGTTTCCCTATGTTGGTCAGGCTGGTCTCAAACTTCTGACTTCAGGTGATCCACTCGCCTTGGCCTCCCAAAATGCTGGGATTACAGGTGTGAGCCACCGTACCCGGCCAAAATTTTATAAATAATATTGTTTCCAACACTAAGCATAAAGGCTCTGGGCTCAGATGGCTTTACTGGTGATTCTTTATAATTTTAGTGCTCTGTCATTGTCTTTTTTTTTTTTGAAATGGAGTTTCTCTCTGTCTCTCAGGCTGGAGTGCAGTGGTGTGATCTTGGCTCCCTGCAATCTCTGACTCCTGGATTCAAGCAATTCTTCTGCCTCATCCTCCCGAGTAGCTGGGATTATAGGTGCACACTACCACACCTAGCTAATTTTTGTATTTTTAGTAGAGGGTTTCACCATGTTGAGCAGGCTGGTGTCAAACTTCTGGCCTCAACTGATTGGCCCGCCTCAGCTTCCCAAAGTGCTGGGATTATAAGCATGAGCCATCGCACCTGGCCTGTGTCATTGATTCTTCAATATGGAAATGAGTAGACAGCTGCCCAGCTGACCTGTGACTTTAACCTAACACTGATACCATCCAGTAACAGTAGCACAAAAAGCAAGAACTTTAAATCAGTCTCAATTATGAATATAGATCCTAAATAATCTACTCTCAAGTAGATGCTCTCAAGTAGAATTTACCAATAAGGTCATAATGGAAATGGCCAATTAAGTTTACTCCAAGAATGGCTTAATATTAAGAAACCTATTGATAACATATTAGGTTGTAAAATGTGAAAAACTATTATCTCCATAGATGCAGAAAATATATTTAACCAACTATTTCTAATAACACTTTTTGGGGGAAAAAAAATAGGATACTTCCTTTACAAGTTACAGAGTATCTACCTCAAACCATTAGAGGCATTCTCATTAGAAGCAGGAACAAAACAAGTTTGCCCTCTGCTACTTGATATTATTTTAGAAGCTCTAGCCAATGCAGTAAAGTTTGCAGAAACAGAAATAAGAACTAAGGCTTTTAGGATTATTTGATATTATTTTAGAAGCTCTGGTCAATGCAGTAAGGCCAATGCAGAAACAGAAATAAGAACAAAGGCTTTGAGGATTAAGTAAGGTAACATTTCAGCTTCCCTCCTATGGTATTTTTAAGTCAGATAAGACACTCCAATTATAGATTGTTATTTTTTTAATTAATAAGACATCTTTACAAAGGAAAGGCAAAATCGTCTCTTGCATCTTAAGACACGTCTCCTGGTGCTTTTTTGTCCTTGATCCTTGCTCGTTGGCTCGTCTTGATTATCTGATCTGTGTTGAGGTCTCTCTCAAACCTTCAGTCACCAGTACAGGAGTGAGAGGTCAATACCTGTGACTGGCGGAGAGGTTTGGTTCTGTCTTTGATGACCTTTCAATGAGCTGTTTTTGCAATCCTGGGAGTACTAGAAGAACAGACTCTTAAGCGATGACACTGTTGTCTTGAAACTTGACTCTGTTCAGCAAACCATTGCAGTGTACCCTCAGTGCTATGCATCTCTGCAGTGTATAGCTGCTGTGTGTTATCAGGAGTCATTTGGAAGTAACTGGTCTGGTTGAACACCACACAGAAATCTTTACTAATTAGCTAGCTATCTCTAACTTTGGTTTGTGACTTCGGTCTGTGAAATCTATGTCTCTCTCTTTTTTTTTTCCCTGATAGCATGTGGAGAGGGCCAAATGTGAACTGTGTTGACAGCACTGGCTACACACCCCTGCACCATGCTGCTTTGAATGGCCATAAGTAAGTATCAATGTACTACATTCCTGCCTTCACCCTTCAGAACCCAGGCCTTCACGTTGCCTTTTCATTTCCTAGAAAAGTTTGCTGGCTGAGCTTAGTGGCTCATGCCTGTAATCCCAGCACTTTGGGAGGCCGAGGTGGGAGGATCACATGAAGCTGAGTTTGAGAGCAGCCTGGGCAACAAAGCAAGCCTCCATCTCCACAAAAAAAAAAAAAAAAAAATTTTTTTAATTAATCAGGCGTGGTAGCATGCCTGAAGTCCTAGCTACTCAGGAGGCTAAGGCAGGAGGATTGCTTAAGCCCAGGAGTTTGAGGCTGCAGAGAGCTATGATTGTGCCATTGCATTCCAGCCTGGTTGACAGAGTGACCCTATCTCTAAAAAACAAAAACAAAACAAAGGTTTGCTAAGCGGTGGCACTGAGAAACAGAGAAAAACAAACGTAAGTTCAGTTCATTCAGCATTTCTGTGTCTTTCTTTCATGTATAATTTAAACATCCTTCCCCACCCTACCCACCAAAAAATCTTCAGCCAAGAGTTAAGTTTTACCTTTTCTTCTGCTTGTTCTTTTTCCCTCTGGAATGTTCCAGTGCTACATAATGTTCTAGGTATGATGATCAAATTTGGGGCAGCCAGAACATAAAGGGGCTGGAATCTATTAGGTAACTAACTGCTCAATAAACTGAAAATAGATTAAGTGGTCATGAGAAAGCTGTCTTCTGTTTCAATAGTTATTTATTTACTCTCTCTTCTTGCCTGCCATTCTTTCCTCATAAAATTAGCCCTGTACACAAGAACCCTTTTTAAGGGGAAAAAAATACATTAAATGGCCTATGTAATTCTCCTGAGTATAGAGAAGTTATTAGGAACTGGGTGGGATTTGTGTGGAACGTTCTCTGGAGGAGGCATGCTTTGGGGAGAATTTGAGAGAGAAGGCATAGGCTTAAGTGATTGGGCACTGCCTTTCAGGTTGCCCAGCAAAGGGGCAGGCATTGTCGGGGAGCACAGTGAGTGGGTTTGCCAGGATGTTGAAGAATGTAAACCAGAGTGTAACAGAATAGAAGGTGTTAAAGGAAAACAAGTACTATAGGCAATAAGTAGCAGCAGTGTCGTTTTTTTGTTTTTGTTTTTGTTTTTGAGATGGAGTTTCATTCTTGTTGCCCAGGCTGGAGTGCAGTGGCATGATCTTGGCTCACTGCAACCTCCACCTCCCGGGTTCAAGCAATTCTCCTGCCTCAGCCTCCTGAGTAGCTGGGATTACAGGCGCCCGCCACCACACCCAGCTAATTTTTGTATTTTTAGTAGAGACGGGGTTTCACCATGTTGGTCAGACTGGTCTCAAACTCCTGACCTCAGGTGATCCACCTGCCTCAGCCTCCCAAAGAGCTGGGATTACAGGCATGAGCCACTGCGCCCGGCCAGCAGTGTAGTTTTTATGAGGAGGGATTATTGGAATCATTTTAGATTTTGCTGAGCAAGGAGCTCCAGAGCCCTCTACCTTAGAGTATTTTGTGTCACTTGTCCGATATTTGACCCACCCTAATTGACTCCAACATACCAAAAAGAGGCAGTGGTTGTTTCCTTCAACATTAAACATTTCTAAAATATACTGAATATGATCATTAAGTCTTTTCTGTAGCCATCTTAGATATAGCTAAAAAGAAATCTATAGAGAACACTGTTCCCATATATAGTGGGGTAATCTGAATTAAAGTGAATCTTGAACTTAAATGACTATAGTTTGTTAGCCAAGTTCATTTCCAGATGCTGTTTTGATTTACAGTGGGGATTTTCTTTGACCTCACATTCATAGGGATAATTATATACTGGTATGTGTTTAATTAGTGCTGTCACCAGGAAAAAAGCAAGTTCCTCTTTCTGGGGATATCAAATGATAACATATGTGTCTGGCTTACTTTTGCAATAACTATTTATTTATTTATTTATTTATTTTGAGAGAGAGTCTCGCTCTGTCACCCAGGCTGGAGTGCGATGGCGTAATCTCAGCTCACTACAACCTCTGCCTCCTGGGTTCAAGCAATTCTCCCTGCTTCACCCTCCCAAGTAGCTGGAATTATAGGTGCCCACCACCACACCCAGCTAATTTTTGTATTTTTAGCAGAGACGGGCTTTCGCCATGTTGGCCAGGCTGGTCTTGAACTCCTGACCTCAGGTGATCCACCCGCCTCAGCCTTCCAAAGTGCTGGGATTACAGGCGTGAGCCACTCTGCCCAGCCTGCAGTAACTTTTGTTCTGCTTGGCCTCTCTGCTTTCAGCTCCTACATCACTAAATGCTCTGAATAATGTGGTGAATAATAATATTTGTCTTGTATGATTACTTTTATGTAAATTCAACACTTGAATGCTGTTTAAACATGATAAACAAGGAAACAGGTTTGGACAAAGAGTCCAGACATTTTCAAAGTAGTAGAAAACAGACGGATTACCAAGAAAGCCTAAACAGAGAGGTGATGAGTCAGCATAGCATGGCTCAAGGTGGTTCTGCTGCATATCAGCAGCTGTACAAGTAGCTCATGGAATAAAAGGAAAAGCTGGGGTGGTGAGCTCAGGTAGAGACACAGGAGCCAAATGAGATATCTGTGAAAGGGCTTTGTGCCATATAGGTGTAAAGAGCTGTTAGCTGGAAAGACTTCTGAGTTCTACCAACTCATGATTGATTTTTGCCTTCTAGGGATGTGGTCGAGGTTCTTCTGAGGAACGATGCGCTGACCAACGTGGCTGACTCAAAAGGCTGCTACCCTCTGCATTTGGCAGCCTGGAAAGGAGATGCCCAGATAGTGCGGTTGCTCATCCATCAAGGGCCTTCACACACCAGAGTCAATGAACAGGTCGGAAGGAAGGGAGGCTTTCCTTCCTCCATTCAGCTATAGCCAGATGTGGCAACCCCATCACCATCTTAGCCCCATAGTTCAAATCTCAGAGAACCAGCTCTTCCTTTTCTTTCTTTTTGATAATCAGTTCCTTAGCATGGAACCACCTCTTCCATACCCTAATTGTGATTCCCCTCTTCCCAGTTCTACTCTTCTTAGTAGATCTTATACTATGAGGATGTATTTTATATGCATTTGACTCATGCATATTTGGAATAGTACTAGAATAAAAATGTATACACAGTCAGCCCTTCGTTTCCAGGACCTCCCCATAGATACCAAAATCCAAGGATGCTCAAGTCCCTTATGTAAAACGGCAAAGTAACATTAGCTGTCTCTGTCTGTGGGTTCCGCATGTGCAGACTTAACTAACCATGGATGGAAACCTGTGGATATGAAGGGCCAACTGTATTCACTTTATGTGCAAAATTTGAAATAATGCAAACCCTGCAAAATTGCATGGAGTCAGTTTCAAGCTAGTGAGCTTAATTAACTGTGGGCTGGGTGTGGTGACTCATGCTTGCAATCCCAGCACTTTGGAAGGCTGAGGCAGGAGAATTGCTTGAGGCCAGGAGTTTGAGACCAGCCTGAGCAACACAGTGAGGAGCCCCAACCCCCCAGGCCCCATCTCTATAAAAAATTAAAAAAAAAAAGGCCGGATGTGGTGGCACACACCTGTAGTCCCAGCTACTCAGGAGGCTGAGACGGGGGATCACTTAAGCCCAGGAGTTTGAGGGTGCAGTGAGCCATGATCATGCCACTGCACTGCAGCCTGGGTGACAGAGTGAGACCCTGTCTCAAAAGTAAAAGTAAATTCTGTTTATGCCATTGACATGGCAATGTAACTTTCCCAGTGTTTGTCAGTACTGTGTAAACCATGCTCTTGTTTTACATACATCAGAACTTGCAGCAGTATAAGTACTCATGCTAGTGCCAAAAAATGAACTCACAAATCAGGAACATGTGAGGGGAGGTCAGAGGTGATTCAGTGGAATGAAGATCATTTCCATGATGTCCTCCGAGTAAGCATGCTTTGAAAAAGCAGAGATGATTCTTAGAAAATGAAAAAGGCAGGATTTGAGCAAAAATAACCGTATAATGGCCATGGATTTAGTTACTCTGAGAATATACCTGTTCTTTACATTTATATCTTTGGAAAAAATTGTACTTGGATTATGCAAGTTTTAAACAAGCCTCTTACAAATACAACTCCCTGTCATTTGGGTTGGAAGTTGTGTGCAAGTTTGAGAGGAGACGGGCATTCCTTATATGATAAGCCATTCTCCCCTTTCCTCTCTCTGCTCTGAACTGAAGCAGATACTTTTCTCAGTTCCTAGAAGGAGGGAGATATTGATGTTTCTCAGTAAGCTTAGGACTATTTTTCTAATGACTTTGCCGAGAGGGGATTGTTAAATTACCTGTAGGATTAGATCAAAGTTTTCCCTCAAAAAATAGGAAATTATCCTGGCAAGTCCATCTGTCAGGAGACTCATGCAGCTCTCAGTTAGCTGTTAAAAGCATGACTTTGATTCTGAGGGGGGCAGCTTCATTCTGAGACATGAGAAAATTAAAATAGTGCTCCCAAATCTCTTGATTTGGAGATTGTGTGTATATAGCTGTTAATCAGCCTTCCTTTCCCCTTTTGGGCTGTATTTTCTGGGTAGGTGAGCAACAGACATTTAAAATCATCAGTGAGGATGTTTGTTTATAACATTTGGGAATGAAAAGTATCTGTTTAGAATTACTTCTTTAGAATCTAAGTGCAATTTTACTCCTTCTAGCTAAAGTGGTCATTTCTCTTCTCTGGAGGAAATGCATAATGAAGTTTGCTTGTAACTAATATTCTTCAATGTTGGAAAGACTGGTCATCCATTAAAGTCCTTCTCATTTAAGAAATTTTCAGCAACCATTTCTAATCCTCTTTGCTCACGTTTGCCTTGAAACACAGCTGCTTGGATTTTTGAGCTACTTGAGTGTGCTAGCTTAACCTGCTCACAGCTGCCTCCTGCTTGGAGTATCAGTTGATAAGTGGGACCCCAGCCCAGTGCTTTGAGTATCTGGTAGGCAGGTGGTGGGCAGAAGCTGGGCAAGATGTCTGCAGTAGCTTGAAGACTTTAATGGATCTAGCTAGTGGTTACAAGTACTATATTGATTCATTTTAAAACCATTAATATGGTTCCAGTAGGATGCTTAGATTAAAGGGGGGTAAGAGTAAGGTGCTCTGGAGGTTGTCTTTCTTATTAACTTCCCTTTGAGGCATCCAGAGGGCAGATTCAAGTTGTTCTAGGGTTGGGTTCCCTCAGGGCTGTGTATTGCTTTGATATATTTCATCCATTTTGTCATCACTTTTTCTTTTCCTCTCCTTTTTGTAGAATGCTCTTGAGATCAAAGAACTCAAAAAGTACGGCCCCTTTGACCCTTATATCAATGCCAAGGTGTGTACTTTGCTGCCAGGAATTCTCTGCATCATTTCTCCAAGCTGTACCTCCTCTTTGGTCCTCTCCGCTTCTACTCTTGTCCACTCAGGGTCCTCCTCATCATGCTGACTGTTGTCTGCTTCAGTCCATCTGCTTTTGGCTTGTCTGGGAATGGGAAAATGCAGCTGCAGTGGGTTTTGGCTTTATTTTTAAAACCCATACTAATTTGGGAAATGGTGGGTGGTTTTTTCTGGAATATTTGAAATGGCAGGAATGGGGAAATAGAAAGGACCATATTACATGCTTAATTTACAATTTTGATTCTTAAAATTTTTTAAATGTAGTTAAGAGATGTCAAATTATCTTACTTTTTAAATAAGCATAGAAAAAATGATTAAGTTGTACCTCCTGGAATTAAAAAATATTTTTAACCTACTTTCTATCTGTCTTTTGAAATGGAATCTGATTTTCAGGTTTCAATAGCTAATGGTGGAGATGTGGAGGAAAGGACATGGTTGATCCGTTTTATTCCTTTAAAAGCTGTTGCATGACTCTTCTCTCATCTCCTGGAGTTTGTGCATCTCTGCCTGATGCTTTAAAACCACGACCCAATATCTCCAGCCATTAGCTTCTCTCTGCTTGATCACTCTTGACCCAGGAAGCGTTCTGAAATAGGAAACTATGTTGCAGGACCAAGGGAGCCTTAGTCTCCCTCCCTGTGAGGCTGGGACAAAGAGTAGTCTGATGGGCCTGGTGATGAACAGGCCAGCCCTGTCTGCCCCTCAGCCTTTACCACATCTGAGCAGCAGAGCTTGTTCATTGGGTGATGGTGTTAGCCTCTTTCCTTGGTGCTCTCACCCGCTGGTTTTGGTCAAAGATTTTATTCAGATGAAGTTTGCTTTTTGGCAACAGTCTGGAGTGTGCTCAAGACACTACATTATCCACATTAGCTACCTTTTACTTGTTCTGAAAACAGCTGCCTTGGGGAAGAGAAACATAAGGTACTTCTGTATGTTTCCAAACACAAGGCAGATATTTCATGCTTTTGAGAAATAGTGATTTAGCAAAGGAAGCCCCCTATGGGCTGGACCTAGGAAGGCCCTGTGGGAGATTTTGTTCAGCTGTTGGGTCTTAATGGTAGAGAAGCAATTTGACCTTAGGTAGTGGAGCACATCAGCTTTGTTTTGGCTTACTCTTTCTTACCTCCTTCCCCTTCCCTTCCCCTTCCCCTTGCCCTCCCCTTCCCTTCCCCTTCCCCTTCACTTCCCCTTCCCTTCCCCTTCCCCTTCCCTTCCCCTTCCCCTTCCCTTCCCCTTCCCCTTCCCTTCCCCTTCCCCTTGCCTTCCCCTTCCCCTTCCCCTTCCCTTGTGCTTCCCCTTCCCCTTCCTCTTCCCTTTCCCTTCCCTTCCCCTTCCCCTTCTCTTCCCCTTCCCTTCCCCTTCCATTCCCCTTCCATTCCCCTTCCCTTCCCCTTCCCCTTCCCCTTCCCTTCCCCTTCCCCTTCCTCTTCCCTTCCCCTTCCCCTTCCCCTTCCCCTTCCCTTCCTCTTCCCCTTCCCCCTTCCCCTTCCCTTCCCCTTCCCCTTCCCTTCCCCTTCCCCTTCTCCTTCCCGTTCCCGTTCCCCTTCCCCTTCCCCTTCGCTTCCCCTTCCCTTCCCCTTCCCCTTCCCTTCCCCTTCCCTTTCCCTTCCCCTTCCCCTTTCTCTTCCCTTCCCCTTCCTCTTCCCTTCCCCTTCCATTTCCCTTCCCCTTCCATTTCCCTTCCCCTTCCCCTTCCATTCCCCTTCCCCTTCCCTTCCCCTTTCCTTTCTTTCTTTCATTTTAAAAAGGGTCTCCCTCTGTTGCCCAGGCTGAAATGCAGTGATTGGCCTGCTCTTTAAATTCTGTTTTCTAGTCTTCAGAATAGGAAGATACTCTTATCTTAGTTTTTTTGTTTTTTGTTTTGGAAGTAGAGTGATAGAGTGAAAAACTCATAAGTCATAGGCTTTCATGTCAGACCAGAGTTTAAGTTCTGGGGTGCGACTTATTAGTTTTGTTGACTTAAGCAAGTTACTTAATTTCTCTGAGCCTCAGTTTCCTCTTCTGTAAAATACGGCACTATAATCTACCTTGCTGGATTGTTTTGGAGTTTAAATAAGATAATATATATAAAGTAAAAATATCTGGTAACTAGTAATATTTGAGATACTAATTTTTTAAAGTGTATGTAATGTATTTCTGCAAAGGCATTTTTGGAATCTGTTTTTGTTACTAGTAGATGACGCTTAATGAAACATTATTCAGTTAGTCTATTCAGAGTTTTCTTTTATGGGGAGGAAACTTGAAGTGATTGTTTTCCCAACAGTGGTTAATTTAGTGAGCTTATAAAGCTTTGATAAAGGGTAAGACTTTGGTTCTTGAAAGTACATTTTCCTATCCTTTAATTTTGCACATATAAAATAAAATTAGTTTAAATGTAGTAAGAACATACTTCTTTCTTTGGAAATAATTCCCTTTGCCTCTTCCCTGAAAGGCCAATTGATGCAAACTACATTAAGAGTAAAGCTGAGGCCAGGTGCTGGAATTACAGGCATAATCCCAGCACTTTGGGAGGCTGAGGCTGGTGGATTACCTGAGGTCAGGGATTCGAGACCAGCCTGGCCAACATGGCAAAACCCCATCTCCACTAAAAATACAAAAATTAGCTGGATGTGGTGGCATGTGCCTATAATCCCAGCTACTCGGGAGGCTGAGGCAGGAGAATCGCTTGAACCCAGGAGGCAGAGGTTGCAGTGAGCTGAGATTGTGCCACTGCACTCCAGCCTGGGCAACAGAGTGAGACTCAAAAAAAAAAAACAACAAAAAAAAGGAAAGCTAGCCAGTGTAGTGGCTCACATTTGTAATCCCAGAATTTGGGAGGCTGGGGCTGAAGATTGCTTGAGCCCAGGAATTTGGGACCAGCCTGGGCAATATAATGCGATCCCATCTCTAGAAAAAATAAAAAATTAGCCAGGCATAGTGGATAGTGGTACATGCCTGTATCCCAAATTCTCAGGAGGCTGAGGTGGGAGGATAGTTTGAGCCCAGGAGGTTGAGGCTGCAGTGAGCAGTGATCACTGTCACCTGGGCAACAGAGTGAGACCCTGTCTCAAAAAAAAAATAATAATAATAATAGAAACAGAGAGGTAAAGCTGTTTGGGTTGTGCTGAGAATGCAAACCCTTCTTGAGCTGATTCAAATCTAACCTCCTTTGACCAGGCATGGTGACTCACACCTGTAATCCCAGCACTTTGGGAGGCTGAGGCTGGCGGATTACTTGAGGTCAGGAGTTCGAGACCAGCCTAGCCAACATGGTGAAACCCCGTGACTACTAAAAATACAAAAATTAGCTAGGCGTGCTGGTGCATGCCTGTAATCCCAGGTACTCGGGAGGCTGAGGCAGGAGAATCACTTGAACCCGAGAGGCAGAAGTTGCAGTGAGCCAAGGTTACGCCACTGCACTCCAACCTGGATGACAGAGGAGACTCCATCTCAAAAAAAAAAAAAAAGAAAAGAAAAACTGATCTGATCCCCCTAGGTTTTGTCCTGATTCAGTGGATTTTTATAGATCTGGCTTATGTCTAGGAATTGTTTTGTTAAAGTACTTTTGAGTGCTAAGTTCTATCAGGCACCTGTACAAATTAAGAAGTCTCAGATGGCTTATTTTGGGAGCAGAAGTAGTTTTTAGGAGCTTTCATGTTCTTTTTTGACATTTGGGGCCTTTTTCAACAAGTCGGTGTAAACCAGCCAAATGTAAATTATCCTTAGCTAAGGCAGAACCATGAAAATTGCGCATTTTCCCCCTCTTAACAATTCTTCCTTAGTCTGAGTCATAAAATGAGTAACAATCAAATTAATATTAGGGCAGATCTATTTTTTTGGTACATTTAAAATGATTTCACAGTCTTAGAACTGAAAGGGACTTGGAATTTTATCTAGACCAGTTGCCTCCAAATATAATCAACCTTTCTGGTTGCATTAGTATCACCTGCAAGCTTCTAAAAAACTTTTTATTAAAAAAAAAAACTTGTAACTTAAAGTTTTAAGAATAATGCCATGAACTATGGTACACTCTTCTTGATACTACAGTGTTAACATTTTGCTACCTTTGCTTTTTCTCTTTCTGTGTGTGTGCGTGTGTGTGTGTGTGTGTGTGTATGCAATAATTGTTGTCACTGATGAAATATTTGATATTAAGTCATGGACATTATGACCCTTTAATCCTAAACACTTCCATTTTGGTATTAGTTAGTTCTTTGACCTAAATCTCCTAAGAACAAGGACATTCGCTTATAAAGCCACAATACATTTATTACATTTGGAAAATTCAATATTGATACAATACCATTATCTAATATAGAATCCATGTTCAAGTTTTACCAGTTGTCTCAAAAATGCCCTTTAGAGCAATTTTTTTATGATCGAGAATCCAGTCCAGGATCATACATATTAATAATATGGAACAGTTCCTCAGCCTTTCTTAGCCTTTCATGACATGGATGGTTTTTAAGAGCACAGGGCAGTTGTTTTGTATACTGTCTTTCAATTTAGCTTTGTTTGATATTTCCTTATGATTAGATTCTGGGTATACATTTTTGGCAGGAGCGCCATGGAAGTGGTATTATGTATGTCCTTTTTAGTGCTTTGCATCAACAAGGCACATGACGTTGGTTTGTCTCATTCTTGATGATTATGATTGATTGCTTAAGTTGGTGCCTACAAATCTGGGGTAAACCTACTACTAGCATTTTAGCATTTTTTTTTTTTTTTTAGTTCCCATGTAATTCTAAAAGCTGGTTTGAGAACCACCAATTTAGGCCAACCTTCCACATAGAGCAGGAATCTTTCTGTCATTTGAAAGGTGACCCTCTACCCTGTATTTTAATTATTTGCTTGTTTTCCCTAATAACAAACAGAACTCATTACTACTTGGCAGCCTGTTTTTGGATTCCATTGAGTTTTGGTTTGTTGAGTTTGATTGGCATCTATCTTCCTAAACCTTCCATTTTTTTTTGGATCAGAGTTCTGCTTTCCAGAACAATACAGAGTAAGTCTAACTCTTCTTCCACATGATGGACTTGCTTTCATGCTTCTCCTGTGTCCTTTCAATCTCAGACCTAGTTTTTCCTTTCTTTCCATTATGGTATGTTTTTCTAGGGCCTGTACTTTCATTGCTGCAGATAGCTATAGGCCAGGTGTCCCTAACTTCAGTATCTGCCAACAAGGGGTAAGTGTGCAGTTGGGCTGTAATCTGAGCACTAGGAGGTGATAGTCCTGAAATAGTTCCAAGAGGAGAAAGGTCGGGAAAAAGTTTCTTTCTTCCTTTTTTTTTTTGAGATGGAGTCTCACTCTGTCACCCAGGCTGGAGTGCAGTGGTGCAATCTTGGCTCACTACAACCTCTGCCTCCCAGGTTTAAGCGATTCTCCTGCCTCAGCATCCTGAGTAGGTGGGATTACAGGCAAGCACCACCACACCCAGCTAATTTTTGTATTTTTGGTGGAGACAGGGTTTCACTGTGTTGTCCAGGGGGTCTCTATCTCCTGACCTCATGATCTGCCCACTTCGGCTTCCCACACTGCTGGAATTACAGGCATAAGCCACCGCACCCAGCCAGAAGTGGGTCTTAAGATGAGTAGGAATGGAGAATTTGTGCAAAAGCATTGGGGGAAATTTGGGCTATTTCCTCTCACTCCATTTTCTCAGTCCAGATTAGTAGTAATAGGATTTTGGAAACTCTGGAGGTATTGTGAACACCTGTAGTGAGATTTGGAAGGTGTGACAGGGAAACATTCCAGATGATCAGGAGTCTGTGCTGCTCCTTAGAATCCTTTCTTTTCTTGTGAGTGTATTAACCAGCACTTAATAATAGTTTCCTAGGCCTGCGAGGCGCGGTAGCTCACGCCTGTAATCCCGGCACTTTGGGAGGCCGAGGCGGGCAGATCACCTGAGGTCGGGAATTCAAGAACAGCCTGACCAACATAGAGAAACCCCGTCTCTACTAAAAATACAAAATTAGCTAGGCGTGGTGGCACATATCTGTAATCCCAGCTACTAGGGAGGCTGAGGCAGGAGAATCGCTTGAACCTGGGAGGCGGAGGTTGCGGTGAGCCGAGATCATGCCATTGCACCCCAGCCTGGGCAACAAGAGCGAAACTCCGTCTCAAAAAAAAAAAAAAAAAAAAGAGTTTCCTAGACCTTACCCTCTGAGGTGCTACTTTGGCAAGTCTGAGATTGGACCTCCTACTAGTTTTTTTGTTTGTTTGTTTTTTTGAGATGGAGTCTTGTTCTGTCGCCCAGGCTGGAGTGCAGTGGCGCAATCTCGGCTCACTGCAACCTCCGCCTCCTGGGTTCACGCCATTCTCTTGCCTCAGCCTCCCGAGTAGCTGGTACTACAGGTGCCCGCCACCACGCCCGGGTAATTTTTTGTATTTTTAGTGGAGACGGGGTTTCACTGTGTTAGCCAGGATGGTCTCGATCTCATGACCTCGTGATCCGCCTGCCTCAGCCTTCCAAAGTGCTAGGATTACAGGCATGAGCCACCGTGCCCGGCCCCTACTAGTTATTTTTAAGCTCCCATGTAATTCCAAAATGAAGCCAGTTTGAGAATCACTGATAGTTCTTGCCCTGATAGTTGTCAGGCTCAAAAAGCCTACAGTAATAAGAGCTTATCGTGATGGCTTGTGTCAGTGATGGATGTGGTCACCACAGATATAATAAACTTGGGTATTACAGTTACCAGACCATGTCTGGCATGACTGAAACCTAAGTAAGATGCTCCCTATACTGTGTCTATGAGTGTAACTTTCTGCAGAGATGTGGTTAGACCATTTTTAACATGAGGCAGGAAATTTGCCAGTAGTGATTATGACCTTGCCTTTAGCAGGGCAGCTTTGTGAGAGCTGCTTTCATTCTGGCGAAGAAGAAATAGAGAAAAGTTTTTTTGTTTTTTTGGTTTTTTTTTTTCTTTGCTGGATGGTTTAGACTTTTACAGTTCTTTAGCCCTAATGGCATACTTTTTATAAAATCAAGGACAATTTATTCTGGTTGTTGGGAGACAACTTGGATATAAAAGAGACAGTAGTATTTGCTTCAGAGTAAATAGTTTTTCTGGATTGGAATTTTAATAAGAATAAGCTGACTTTCTTGGCTCTTTCTATCACACTCATCTTGAGATGTACAACCTGGAGAATCCTTTTAAACTTCTTTGGGTTACTACTCTGCCCCAGAATTACTCCACAGAAAGATCCTGTGAGTTTTTGTTAATGTAGGTGTTGGTTCATCAGGAGAAAGTGATAATCAACCAGAGAAATGTTGGGTTAAAAAAGAGAGAAATTGAAGGGACAGCTCTAAGTTTGCTTAGGAAACTCATGGCATAGCTTAATAGGGCCTTCCAAATGGGTATCCTAAAAGGTTTGTTTGGCACAGGGAGGACCTCAAAGACTTGCTTTCTGCCCAGCATTTCCCCTTCCTCCAGACTTTCAGGTTACATGGAATTTGCCCCTCAGGGCCCAGTCATATCATAGGAGGCCATGGCTGGCAGGCCGGCTGTATCCTCTGGCCAGCGAAGGCTGTTGGCACTTTCCTGACAGCTGCTCTCCTTGAGTTGTGTTTGAGCTCAGTGCAGCTTCCTCTGCATCCTCTGTTTATTTGTGTGCATTTATCTTTGCATGTGTCCTGCTACTACTTTTTCTGTCCTTATTTCATTTAAAAATTTTTCTTTGCCATCGTTCTCACCTTTTGGGGAGTTGTTCCCAGCAGCTGTGGATCTTTCTGGTATACTTGGTATAGTTGGAAAAAATGATGCAGTCAAATGCCAGATCAAAAGCAGATGGAATTGCATATGCATGTTTGGGTAATTCCTAATCCATTACTTTTAGTGTTATTAATAGAATTAAAGCAATTGCAGAAACATTTAATTTTGACCTTTTGACCACTGAAAGGTGCACAATATTGACTTAACTGACAAACCCCCTCTTAAGCTTTCTTTCCCAAAAGTAGCAGAAGCCTCCTGGATAAATTTAGGAATCTCAAAATCTTGTGGGAGAATTATTTTCATCAGTGCTTCTCAAAAAGGAGAGGTCATGGGACTTACTTTATTTCTGCTCTAATTAGACATTGTCAGTAGTAAAAGAGCATAATTGGAATGACTAACATTTTGCCTCTGGTGGTTGATAAAGCACACAATTCTCCCATTTTATCCCAAATTCTGTCTTTAGTTTGAAACAAAATTGGCATTAGAGGACTGTGGGTTGTGAGCTTGAATTGATAGCAATATTACATTTGAATATTTTGCACCTCTCACACAAAACATGCCAGCGTTTGCCTCTTTCTTACATAAGAAACATCTTCCCGTGCTGGCTGCCATTTTAATGAAGTAGATACTGCATGCGTTGCTTGGTGCAGGCTCCTGGGGTAGGCACAGTGCAGTGTCAGGGTCCCTTATTTCTCTGTGACTGAGCCCGAGTGCCCCCTTTACCTGGAAATGGCTTTTGGCTGATACCTTGAGCGATTTTTAGTCTGCTCTGTTACTTTTCACTGTTGGCTGATTGATTTGCATGCAAGAAGCTGTGCAGATGAAAAACTTTTATTAAAAAGCTTATGTGTAAGGCAATGGATGGTTGACAAATCCAGAATCAGAACCATAGGGTTGAATGCCTACAAATTGTAAAACCATTTGAAGTTTAAACTGAAATAATAGCAGTGATATTATTGGTATTCATCTTGCCAGGGCTTCCACCAAATGCCTGCCACATTTTCTTGTTCACTCTCCTTACAACCTGGAGACCCTTCCTTCATGGCACACAGGGCATTGCCAGTGTTTAAGAGATGACTTCTCCCCTCTCACAGTCACTGGGGGAAGGTGTCGCTGATTAGACCAGTCAGGCTTGTTTGTGGGGGAGTATGTCTGGATTCCGACTTTTATTAGCCCCCAAGTGTTGCTGCTATTTTTCTCATTTAAACTTCAGTGGTTTTACGAGTGGTTGTCCCAGTCAGGTGCCTGTCTGCCAGTGACCTTTCTGATGTGATCTGCTTGTTAACCCTTTAGAACAATGACAACGAGACAGCCCTGCATTGTGCAGCGCAGTATGGCCACACAGAGGTGGTGAAGGTGCTCTTAGAGGAGCTGACGGACCCCACCATGCGCAACAACAAATTCGAGACCCCTTTGGACCTGGCAGCACTGTACGGGCGACTGGAGGTGGTGAAAATGCTCCTTAATGCACACCCCAACCTCCTGAGCTGCAACACTAAGAAGCACACCCCTCTGCACTTGGCAGCAAGGAATGGCCACAAAGCCGTGGTCCAGGTCCTCCTCGATGCTGGCATGGACAGCAACTACCAGGTAGCAGGGCGGGTGGGGGCTCCTCCAATCTCAAGAGACTCAGTCATTTTGCAGAAGGCACAAGGACCATGCTGCTGGGCTGTGCTCTTTATTTAGCACGTTTCACATCATGTTTCAAATG
This sequence comes from Homo sapiens, assembly GCF_000001405.40. Taxonomy (NCBI): domain Eukaryota; kingdom Metazoa; phylum Chordata; class Mammalia; order Primates; family Hominidae; genus Homo; species Homo sapiens. Next base: position 34,982,108 of record NC_000006.12, read on the forward strand.
CTTATTTGCCGACTCATTCTAATGTGACACTAAGAAACAAATGAACTCCTCAAGCAAGTCTATTATTTTTTTGTTTCTTTTCAGGGGGTAATCCGTAGTCATTAAACCCTGAAAAGATGTGCTTATGGACTGGCTCTCAAAACCAGAAAAGTTTCATTATCTTCCTATCCATGTGTTCCCACTGCCACCATTTAGCGCCTCCACAGTCTCATCAGCTTGACGTTGCCAGCAAGAAATGTCACATTTCCTTTCTTTGTTAGCCTTTCCCATTCAGATGAATAATTCCTTAGGTGTTGTGTTGACCAAACCACATTTGAAGTGAGGGTGTTTCTGTTGTACTTTTCTTCTTATTACTCCTTCCACCCAGGAAGGTGGAGTTCTGAGGCATTTCACCAGTAGATGGCTCTAAGAGTAACTGTTCAGTTATTCACACGTGGCCTGCTGGTGGCACAGAATGGCCTTGGTGTATGGGCCATGATCGTGGTTTTGGAATCCACACAAGAAAAGCTGGAAAGATAATGACAGAGGGCTTTGTGTAGTTTGTTTTATTTTGTGTCCCTTCTTGTCTGTGTCCCCTTTGTCACGTGAAGCCGCACCAAACTGTTCTGATGACATCCCGCTCTGCGCTCTCGTTTGCTTTCCAGACGGAGATGGGCAGTGCTTTGCATGAGGCTGCTTTGTTTGGCAAGACCGATGTGGTGCAAATCCTGCTGGCTGCAGGTGAGAGGTCGGCAGCGCTCTTGTCTACACAGCGTGCCAGGGTTGGGATTGTTTCTCCCTAGTCCCCTAGGGGGATTTTTGCTGGCTGTGTTTGAACTCAATGTATGTGTATCTCCACTGGTTGATTACAAGTGTGTAAACTGTTCTTGAATAGCTGGATTAAATGGCTCTGGATGAAAAATGTTGGCCATGCTGCTGACAGCCTTAAATGTCCTAAAATTTGACCCTTTTGGAGGCTGGCTTGAAAATGCTCACTCCCCTGGTCCACCTGGTGTGCCTTTCTAGGAACTGACGTCAACATAAAAGATAACCATGGACTGACTGCCCTAGACACTGTTCGGGAACTGCCTTCTCAAAAGAGCCAGCAAATAGCAGCATTAATTGAAGGTATCATCCTTTCTCCCTGTCTGGGTGACCAGGGGACACACGAATTGAACCAAGGCATTTGTATTTGGTGCAGCACTTTTTATTTTTATTTTTTGATCTTTCCATGTAGATCACATGACTGGAAAAAGAAGTACAAAAGAAGTAGATAAAACCCCCCCACCCCAGCCACCTCTCATCTCCAGTATGGACTCCATATCACAGAAGTCTCAGGGTAAGGTAACTCTCCCCTATGAGTAAAGGGGTGCTCAGCTTGAAAAGAGTTGAAAATTCGTGGGCAGAATGGAAAAATCTTAATTTAAATAATAATTTTGGGGGATTGTGAGTACTTAGTTTATATTCAGTTCATTTTTTGCCAACTACTATGTGAAGTTTTATTGGACATAGTTTATGCTTTTGACTGTGGGCCTCTTTCCTACTTTATTTTAGCCTCCACTTTTCCAGTTGGCTCTGTGAGATCTATTCTGAGATGTGTAGTAGAGAGGATCATCTCAAGATGAATTCAAATCTCAGTGAAACCTTCTTTTTCTAACACATAATCACAATCTAGTGCCTTGTACACAGTTGACGAGTAATAAATTTTTTTTTTTTTTTTTTTGAGATGGAGTCTCACTCTGTTGCCCAGGCTGGAGTGCAGTGGTGTGATCTCGGCTCACTGCAACCTCTGCCTCCCGGGTTCAAATGATTCTCCTGCCTCAGCCTCCCAAGTACGTGGGATTACAGGCACCTCCCACTATGCCCAGCTAATTTGTTTTTGTATTTTTAGTAGAGACAGGGTTTCACCATGTTGGCCAGGCTGGCCTCGAACTCCTGACCTTGAGATTTGCCTGCCTCAGCTTCCCAAAGTTCTGGGATTACAGGCGTGAGCCACCGTTCCCAGCCAATATTTAATGAGTATCATCTGATTGGTAGGGGGGTACATGGCAAATTTTGATAATATATCATATGAGCAACAAATGTGGTCTGGATGGGAGCTTAGGGAGTCTAGCCTAACAGTAGTCAGGATCCACCTTTTCAGATGCATTTAGCAGCCTTTTGGGTCCTTGATATGATGAATACAAAGATAGAATAAAGATTGACACCTTTCCCCAAATATAGATTACAATAAAGAAGGCTAGAAAAACAGAACAAAGCTAAAAATGAAAAAGGGAAAGGGATTTCCCAGAGGAGTGCAGGGAGATACGGGCTGAAGGGTGCCCAGCTCTCTGAACTGTGGAGTCCTTGTCTTCCTCCCACATGCACTTTTTTTCTTGACCACATAATCTGCTAGTAATGGGATTAGTAGTTCACTAACCTCTTCAAGGATTTTACATTTATGGTTTTGATTATTTACAGGTGACCCAGAGTTGCCTGGGCTCTAATAGTTGGTAACTTTGCAGAGTCACACATTTGGATTGCAGGTGCTCCGAGGCTGATAGTTATCTAACAGGCCAAGCTAACAGCTGCATGGGCCTCCAGCTCAGAAAGCCTTTGCCGTCCTCTATTTTGCTTGAGCACATGGAGACTCTTATTAAAGAATGTAAAGGGTAACTTAAGTTTTTCAGTTACACCTTGCTATATCTTATGGGTTAAGTTTATGTCATTATGGTATTGAGGTATTTTGGGACTTTATAAAGGCCTTGGGAGGTATCTCTTATAGATGTCAATGGTTTTTCATATTGAATTAAAGAAAAATCTGTTTAGATCTCAGGGTATAAAGAACAGCTGAAACTATACGTATTCTTGTCCATGGAACAAAGTAATCATTTTCTTGCTCTGGGTTAGTGTTTGTGAGCGCGGGTGACTAAAGAGGCTTTGGGTTGCTGCAGTGGTTGGAACCTGAGATTCTGCTCCCCTTCAGTGACTCTCTTGCCCTCCATCCTCCTCTCAGGTGACGTGGAGAAAGCAGTGACTGAACTGATTATAGATTTTGATGCAAATGCTGAAGAAGAGGGTCCCTACGAAGCTCTGTATAATGCCATCTCCTGCCATTCGTTGGACAGCATGGCCAGCGGGCGATCATCTGACCAAGACTCCACGAACAAGGAGGCTGAGGCAGCAGGAGTGAAACCTGCTGGAGTGAGGCCTGTATGTGACCCGGGGCTTACACCTCCTGGGGGCTGTGTTGGCTGGCTGGCCCCTGAGGTGATGGGGCACGGGGAAGGGAAGTGTGATCCCTGGTGCCAGCTCATGTTTCCGGGGCCTGGAGCCCACTTATTCTCTTCTTCATGGGGCTCTGCTGGGTCTCTCTTGCTGAGTGTACTGAAACTCTACAGATCACACTGAGGTTAGAGTTTCATTTTTTCTAGTTTCAGTATAAGCAGCTTGCATCTTTACGTGACTTCATTGGCCTTAGAGCAAATTAAACATCTTATTTCTATTTAGCCTTAGTGTTGCTTCTGTCTTTGGAATTTTTGCTGTATATTGTCTGTTTTCTCTCTGAAAAGCAGAAGCATACAGTGAAAGCTCACTGAAATGAGTTCCTATCTGTCCTGAGTGTATGCTTACTATCCACTTGCCCTGAAAGGATTCTCCATTTGGATTTGGGCAGGTTCTGGATTCAACAGGGTTGTAGCAGGGCTTAACATTGTATTTATTAGTATGTGGCATTCCTATTTTATCTAATTATAATGCCTCCAGCCATTGAGATAAGAGGATGAGAACAACTCTGAATTTTTCCTTCTCAAGGTCCATTTTCTCATCTTTCTGTTTCTTTCTCTAGTACAGATGCTCCTTGACTTACAGTGGGATTATATCCCGATAAAGCCATTGTAAGTTGAAAATCTCATAAGTCAAAAATGCAGGCAATACACCTAACCTACCAAACACCATAGCTTAGCCTAGCCTAGGTTAAATGTGCTCAGAATATTGCATGAGCCTACAATTGGGCAAAATCATCTAACATAAAGGCTGTTTTATAATAAAGTGTTGAATAGCTTATGTAATTTATTGAATACTGCACTGAAAGTGAAAAACAGAATGGTTTTGTGAGTACTGGAAGGACAGTTTCTACTGAATGCTTATTGCTTTCCCACGATGATAAGGTTGAAACATTGTACCATCGCAGGTCAGACAGTCTGTACCTGCTTTTACTTCTAGCCTTGTACATTGTTCTCAAGATAACTTACCCCTGGCTTCTCCCCTAGGGTTATGTTGGGAGTGTAGGCCCGAATCACTGGTCCCACTGACCCTCCTTCCTCCACTGCCACGCACAACAATTTGAGGTTTTGAGCAGTGCCCATTAGCTAAACTGACCATTGCTCTAATGAGATCCTAGTGCTAACCCCATCTGGAGACAAATTTTCAGGCCTGTGTTATTTCTTCCTGTTGGAGGGGCTGGCCTTTCCCTTTTGGTCTGAATCTGGCTTGTGACCATTTTGATGATCCTTTGGCTGCAGATAACTCTTGTTTCTTGCAGGTGTGCCCTGGGAATGACCTTATGATTCTTAGAGTGTTCTTTTTCATTAGGCTCTTTGCTGTGCCCTGCTATGCCCTGAAACACCATTTTAGTATGGATCTTGGAAAGGCCCGCAGTCTAGTGGTAGTCCACCAAAGTGGGTGTTATCAAGGACTGTGACAAAACTCCTTGTGAGCGGTGAAAGCAAGTGCATGTGCTGAGCACCACCAGTATAGCACTTCTATAGACAGCTAGTTATTTCACTTATTTTGCTTTTAGGCACAACGGAATTAAGCAAATCCAGGTTTGGAGGAAGGTGGTGTTTTAATTGGTACTTATAGGTGATGCCCATTAGGGGGCGCTGCAGTCTTTGCAAGAAGCTGCTCAGGGTTACTGAAGAAAGCTGAGAATGATTTCCTGTGATTGATTTACACAGGTCTCTTTGTTCCCTCCTGCTCTCCTTTTTGCCTCCTTCTCTCCCTCCTGTGGTCCTAAGCAGAAACGGGTGGATGCTTTGCCATTTTTACTTGTGTATGTTGTGGCTGTGCTGTCTTCCTGGCCCTTGGTAATTAACTATGGCAAAGGGCCTGTTTACCTCTTGGTAAACACAATGGATGGTATGTGTAAATCACTGTGGTACTTCTAAGCCCTGCTCCAAAGTTTTCACCTTAGAGAAAAAGACACAGGTATTTCTCTTTCCTTCCAGTGTCCCTGGTGATTGTTTCTTACACAAAAAGCTTCCATATTGTTCTTTCTAGGCTTTTTTGGCCTTAGGAAGGCTTCTACGATGAGTTCTTTTTGTTGTTGTGTTTCCTTTTTGTTTTTTTTTCCCTCAGTTACTTGATGTCCCAAGGTTGGTTAACTGGTGATGGATACAGGCCTGCTCCTTTTGCTGTTCCCTTCCTTACAAGGTGGCACTGGAACCAGGTTCCTGCACTTCTGGAGCAAAGAAGGGTGGGGAAAGTGGGACTTAGTGGGACATCTGATATAAATAGCTTTGTTTGGCTTGAACATACAGGCTTGTTTTGAAGTTGTTGCCATTGGGCATCCATCTGGTTCCAGGGTCTATGGGAATGACCGACTTATCAAGATAGAATACTGAGCAGTGAAGCCTGTTTTAAGAGAGAGATTATGGATGCCAAAATGCTAATGCGAGTAGCTCCTAAAACATGAGAAACATCTTTCCATGCAGATTTTGCTTGAGCTCTCGCGTAACTCAGCGTTCTGTTCTTTGACTTTCTGAAATACTCCTGTTTTAACAACACAGTGAACAAACCTGCAAGCCAGGGAATGAACCTGCAGGACAGCTCTTGTTTTGGGTCCCCCACTGCCTTTAGTCGGAACACTGATTCTCAAGCATGACCAGGGCTTTGGAATATAAACAGTGCTAAAGGCCCTGCAGGTACAATGGCAAATATCTCTTCAGCTTTCAGTTTTCCTTCATCAGGATCATCCTGTGTCTTCCTGAAATTGTTTACCCATGATCTAACTTATCCTGTGTCACCTTTTCAGTGACTTTCTTATTCTAGAGCAGGGGTTGGCAAACGACAGTCCACAAGCGTCTGTTTTTGTAAATAAAGTTTTATTGGAGCATAGCCACACTCATTTATTTACATATCATCTGTGGCTACTTTTGCATTATAATGGCAGAATTGACTGCAAAGCCTAAAATATTCACTATATGGCCCTTAAAAAGCTTCTTTTCCTTTTAAAAATGGGTTTAGATGGGCTGGGCACGGTGGCTTACGCCTGTAATCCCAGCACTTTGGGAGGCCAAGGCGGGTGGATCACAAGGTCAGGAGATCCAGACCATCCTGGGTAACATGGTGAAACCCTGTCTCTACTAAAAATACAAAAAATTAGCCAGGCGTGGTGGCGGGCACCTGTAGTCCCAGCTACTCGGGAGGCTGAGGCAGGAGAATGGCATGAACCTGGGAGGCGGAGCTTGCAGTGAGCCGAGATCGCGCCACTGCACTTCAGCCTGGGCGACAGAGTGAGACTCTGCCTCAAAAAAATTTTTTTTTCAAATGGGTTTAGATGAAATAGAGTTTCATATAATACTTATTATTGAAGGAGGCAACCAAGGATAAGAGAACAGGTTGAGCTTTTTGCTAATAAATGGGAGTAGACCAGTATCAGAGCGTTAACATTTCAACAGGAATTAACATTTTTGTCCTTGATTACTTTCCTCATTACTTCCTCAGTAACTTTGATTTGTTAGAACAAATTTCACAGGTTGATTTCTTTTGATCCAGTGTTTCTTCTTTCTAGAGTAGACTGAAAAGTGAACCACTGATTTTCCTAAGGTAAAGTTTTATGTATCAGTATTATGAAGGAAATTTTCTAACAAGGCAGTTATGTGTTCTCAGTACTGGCATTTCTCACTGTGGTCTAGGATATGAAAGAGGTGTTTATGATCTCTGCTACAGACATCAAAAACCATAGAGCATGCTAATTGAATTGTGTATGTATGCACAGAGTTCTCCATCTGTTCAGAGACGAAACCTTGACTTTAGTCTCTCAGGGGAGTTCCATACATTATTTTTTTCATTTCTAAGGGCTAAGATGAGGGCAAACCAAAAAATTAGATACTTAAAAAAGAGATCGCAAAATATTTATTTTTTTCTCTTCTGCAGAGGGAACGTCCACCACCTCCAGCAAAGCCACCGCCCGATGAAGAGGAAGAAGACCACATAGATAAGAAGTATTTTCCCTTGACAGCTTCTGAGGTAGAGGGTTGTGGGTTTATTCCCCATTGCTGAAATTTGAGTTTGTTGAAAAGTGCATCGATGTGTGCTTTAAAAGACTTTGCTTTCTCATCTTCTCATCAGCTCTTTGGATTATAAATTTGTATTATGTGTACTAGTAATCTGGAATAAGACCTTCCAAACTCACAAAGAATTTTAATATAGCTCTCGCAGACAGGCCCAGTATTGATCTGCCATACCACACGGAAAGTAAAATGTACATTTTTTCCTGGCTCCAATAAGCTGAACAGTCTCACTTTTTGCTTTTAAGCCTCTTGTCTTTTGATACAAGATGTAGAGCTTCCCTTTAATCACTGTTCCCTAGACTGTGCCTCATTAGCAAGCTTTAGTGCTTCTGCCCCAAACATCTTATTCCTGTTTTTGTATTTTTTCCTGTTCGTTTCACATGAAGACTCTACACCAGGACAAACATGAATTGAGCCATGAAGACTCAATTAGAAAAGACATAGGAGTTATGTGGGATGGCCAGGGCTGGAAGATCAAAGAAGTTTATTTGAAAAGAATAGTCTACCCTTTTGAAAAGGAAATGTCATCATGAGGCAAATAACTCAATCACTTAGAAGTGTGAAAAAATTGTGTTTTCCTTAATCTTTCATCTTCAAAATGCTCTGCTAACACTTCCTGCCATTAGAATATATCTATGGAATATTTATTGAAAATATTACATAATTTTATTAGTCATTTTGTAGCTCATTCAATGCCCTATTCTCTAATTTAAAAATCAGCTAATATAAAACAGTTAATTACTCTCATCACTTTGTCCCTAGAAGTTCGAGTTATTGATTTTTTACAGTATTGCCACGGACCATGGCAGGTTCTTTTATTCAGTATAAACACATGGAACCAGAAGGATGGCTTTAGTTTAACAAAATGTATAAATACAAGGAAGCCCTTTTAAAAACGTAAAAGTCAGTGTTGGAGATAGGGGAAGATTTCTATGCTAGGTACAAATTCTGTCCTTAATTCTTTCCTTTAGTTACAAAATGCTTATTATAATGTCTCATCTAAGGGTTTCTAGATTTGCAGCCTGTTATTACCACCTCTGGATAATAACACATTTCTAGTAGATCCAAGTGTACGCAGTAAATCCTTCCATATTTTTATATAAATAGAAGTTTGTCTCATTACCCCCCTCCTTTTTTTTTTTTTTTTTTAACAAGGAGAAGCCTAATAATAAGAATATTCAGTTGGGGCTGGTTCTCTGTAAATGCCTTCTGCCCCTCTTTAACAAGCACTTGAGTTAAAATTCATAATGCTTGGGCAAGGCTCTTAAAGAAACACTGGATTATACCCAGAACTTTCTATTCTCCCAAGGTTTTCTAAAGCATTCAATGTGGCAATAACACAGTGTCAAGAAGTGGTGGCTGGGAGAGAGAAGGGGGAAATCTTCATATTACTCTCCTAGATGGGAGAGTTTGAGATACATTTTCTAAAACTTGCTTCTGAATAGCCTGGAATTCTGGATCAGTTGGAACAGCATAGTCAGTATTTGGAAGATGGTGAAACACTGAATTTGCTAATTTACTGGTGATTATAGGTACCTGAATACAGAGGTGATACGGCCTGCATATGATCCAGGCAGATTTTATTCATATGCTGTAGTTTGTAGTCTGAATGGTCTTCTTCAAAGTGTACTATTATGTATATTTTTTGGACTTTGTTGTCTTTCCCTGTCTTTCCTTATACTGTTAAAGCTTTAATACCCTAGACTCTATCATATCTCAGGAGACACTGACTTCATCAAACTTAGGTTTTTGTCTTTGGCAAGCTATCTGCCCCAATATTTGTATTCCTATTCCTAAGCCTGGTCATTGTCAGATGACTCATAGAAGCCTTTAGGAGAAGCCAGAGTATACCTAGCTCTAGGAGTGCTTATCAGATTAATGACCTGATCATGAAACTGGCTTAAAAACATTAGACACATATACTCACACACATACACATGCTGTGTAGATGTTTTTGCCCACAGAAGGGGCTGCCAGCTGCATCAGGACTGGCCGTAGTCTTCTCTGTGCTCAGATATGCTAAATATTCATGGAAGTTGCAGCTGCTGGAGTATCTCTTCCCAGAAAGCTCCCACACCCCAACTGGACATTCCATTGGTCACTGTTAGGTGGTGACTGCTCATAGCTTTTCTCTGCAGCAGAAATGTTGCTTTCCACATAGCCGGGAAAAAAAAAATATATACACACACACACACACACACACACACACACACACACACATATACACATATATATATACACACATATATATACGTATATACACACACATATATACATATATACACACACATATATATACACATATATATACACATATATATACATATATACACATATATATACATATATACACATATATATACATATATACACATATATATACATATATACACACATATATATATACACATATATATACACACATATATATATACATATATATACACACACATATATATATGGCTTTGATTTATTGCCAGCCCTGGAGGAAAGGAAAAAAAAAAAAGATTAAGGAGTAATTTAGTAAAGAGCAGAATCCTTTCTGTTGAAAATCAGTTATTGCCGTATTGACTATGACATAGGGCTTCTGGAGTGGGAGCTAGGAAGGCTCAAAGAAAAGCAGTTTATTGCTTTATTGTGAGGATTTTTAATCCCATAGCTGGTAGGAGCCAGCACCAAGAAGAAATGATCACTCTACTTGTCGTCTGGGTATGAGCAATTGGATGAAGAAAAAAATGAAAGCCAGAAGAAAATGAGGCCATACTGGTCCAGGATCAAGGGAATTGACTTTTATGCCCATGGCTCTGTTGTGAGCTTTCTGTATAACCTTGGACAAGTCCCCAGACCTCTCTGGGAACCAGGTTTGTCATCTACGAATGAAAGAGCAGAACCGGGTGCTCTCTGGCTGTTACTGTGATGGTTAGGATCCCTTCCAGCTCTGGCATTTGATGGTTCTCTGCCTCTATTTGTCCTGCACAAGAACTAGGCACAGAGTGAAAGCAGGTCCAGTGGGCCTGATTTTCCACATGGAAGTCATCAGCCCTCTGCTGCATGAGAAGAAAGGATATTATAGGCTGGGCATCCAGGCTGTCAATTACCTACCTCTGAAGGAAGCATGCCGGAGGCTATATGAGAGTTCTTCCTGTGTGCGGAACACTCACTGAATCAGATTTCTAGGGCTCTGTGTAAGTGATAGCTGTAGGTGCGTAAACCTGCAGAACACAAATTCCTGCCTGTGATGCCTGTGGTATTAAGTTGACACAGTGTGAACTGCTTAATGGTCCCTCTTTGTTCCCTTAATTGTGTTCCTATCAAGAGGCAAGGAATAAGTAATATGAGTAAATGGCTCATTGTAATGAAATAGCTTTTAGCTTCCAGGTAGCTTGCTGTAAGTGGAGGTTCCTGCTGTGCTTAGCAGAATTTTGGAAGGAAACTGTCCTTTTGCCTTTAGAGTGGCAGCCTTGTTAACAAACAGGAGCTGCAGTTTCTTGTTTAGTCTGACGCTACTAGAGTCCTTGTTGTCTCATTAGGCACATAACACAGTGAGCTATGCCTTGAGAAGCAAAAACCCGATGAACCACAAACCTGATGCATTTCCAGTGGGCTAAGGGACATGTCAGTATGGAAGGAAATCTCTGTGTTTGCCAAGGAATCACATTTTTAGGGTAGCATTATTTGTTAGATGGAATTGGGAATTCCCCCTACTCCCACCCCCTTGTTTGTAATACGTTACTTGTCCTAGCCAAACTGATCAAGAAGAGATCTTGAGCCTTGGTTTGCTGTTCTAATAAGTAGGATTTGTCTTAATACTAGCTTATTCTTATTTTTCTTCTTATTTTGCCTGTGAAACAGTTTGGATTCTTAGGACAACTGGGCCAGAATTATCCTCTAAAGCAAGGACATCCATTGTCTCTCACAAAGTGGCTGTAGCACTAATTGTGGTATCTACAGCTTGATTCAAGGGAAAGCGTGGCTACTCTGGTACCAAGACAAGCCGTGGCCATCAGGCCCTCAGCTGGTCAAAGCCTTACAGTTGCCAGGTGTAGGAGCCAGCTCTGGTTCCGTTATTTCATCAGAGACACTTGACTGCCTGGATTAGGAATTTCTCAGTAGACAGCTGCTTTTCCCCCTCCACACTGAAATTCAAACTTTCTAGCCACTTGACTCTTCAGAGCAGAGATTGGTGGAAGTAATTTAAAATTGTATTAACATAAAGGTTGTAGGAATCCAGTTTTGGGGATATCCTTCCCAATAACCCTCAGGACCTCTGAAGAAAAGCTCACAAAAATAGAGATGGACTTACAGACAAGTTTGTTTCTAGTAAACGTCAAATGTTGAGGGTCAGTTGGAAGTCATTTTGGTTTCCTCTTGAGGAGGTGGGAAGGATTCCAGTCTTTGGATAGTATATGTGCATATTAGAAAAGAAACGTGGAGAAAGAGGTCTGCCTTCACGATGGAGCATGGCTAAGAGCTGCTTGGCAAGTATTAGCCTCAGAAAAGAGATTATGCAGAACACTGTAGGCATGGGAGACGCAAGAAAGGAAGGATCCTGGATTTTATTTAGCATTTTTTGAAGACTAAAATCAAAGAAAAGGGAGTTTTTTGTTTTTTTGTTTTTGTTTTTCCTTAGAGACAGGATCTTGTTCTGTCACCCAGGCTGGAGTTCTGTGGCACAATCCTGGTTCACTGCAGCCTCAAACTTCTGGGCTCAAGTGATCCTCAGAAAGGGGTGTATTCTAATCAAAGGCCTTTCAGATTGGAGGTATGGATATATATCCAGAAATGCAGTTGTGATTCTATGTGACACTTGAATTATTCACCTTCTCTTTTCCACCTTTCTTCTTTGATGAAAAAAGAGCCAATAATCTCGAATTTGTTCCAGACTGCCTGTCTTGGTATTAGCCACATGCACAAGATACACTGGATGTTTCTCTCCCTTAGGTTCTGTCCATGAGACCTAGGATTCATGGGAGTGCAGCCCGGGAAGAAGACGAACACCCTTATGAACTGTTGTTAACAGCAGAGACAAAGAAAGTGGTGTTGGTGGATGGAAAAACAAAAGGTACGTTCCCCACAACTCCTGGCAGAACCAACTCCAAAGGGATTTTTAAAGTTTGTGATCCTGAGTGGAAGGGGAAGATGTCGTAACTATGATATTCCTTGGGTTGTGGTGGTTGGGTTTCACGATGATCTGGGATGGTGGGTCCATTATGGCTTTTCATTTCCAATACCTGACCTATATGCTCTAGGTTGGAGTTGGCTGCCACCTTCAGTATGCGAAGCAAGGAAAAGGTTAGGTCAGACTAGGTGCTAACTGTGGGAGGAGAGACCACCAGCCCCACGGCAGAGATTGATTTGGGGTCTCAAATCATAAACCCTCAAGTTAATGCTGTGGAAAAACAAGCTCAACAAGTCAGTCCCTTTGGGTTCAGGCTGACGGCACAGACTCTGCTTTTGAGTCCTGACCTCAGAGTGAGACACTCCTGGGGAGGGGCCCGTGATTGGCTGCCACCCTGTAACTAGAGTGCTCTGTCGCCTTGGCCTACTTTCATTGCCTCTGCAAAATTCAGTTTCCTCTGTAAGGGAGTGAGTGCTGCAGTACTGAGATCCAGCCCGTCGATATAAGTGCAGTCACGACAGAGGTGAGTGTGCACTGCTGGAGAATTTGTGTCAACCCCTGTTCTAAGGAAGAATGATAAGGGACAATGCAGTTCCCACTGCAGTTTGAAGGAACTCTTGTGACCTTTCCCAGCTCTCTACAGCTTGCAGGTATTAGGGCCTTCATGGGGTATGCGTACCTTCTTTCAACCCTAAGACATTCCATGGTTCAGGTAAGAACAGAGGATGAGATGGTTTCCTTTGAAATGCCCTTTGCTGAGATCTGTCAGTGGGTAGAGGGCGGCAAAGAGAATGTGTGCATATGCGTATGACATTGTAGACTTTATTTTTAATGGTCCTGTTTAAAAGGTTTTCTCTTGCATGCAGACATTGTGGTCATTTTCATAGTGTTTTTTTTTGTTTTGTTTTGTATTTTATGGTTTCCATTCGGAGCTTTTTAAAAAAGTTATAATTTAGATACAGTAAAATTTATCCTTTTTGGTGTGTAGTTCTGTGAATTTTGACAGATGGAGTTGTATAACTGCCATCACAATAAAAATATAGAACAGTTTCATCCCCAAAATTTTTCCATGTTCTTTTGTAGTCAACCCCTCTACCTTCCCTTATTTCTCACAACCACTGCTCTGATGTCTGTCCCAATAGTTTTGCCTTTTCCAGAATGTCATATAAATGGAATCATACAATCTGTAGCCTTTTGAGCCTGGCCCCTTTCACTTCGCTAATACATTTGAAATTCATCCATGTCATTGCATATATCAATAATTCGTTCCTTTTCATTGCTACTATCCCATTGTGTGGATATACCCCAGTTTATCCCTTCTCTAGCTGAGGGATATTTGGGTCATTTACAGTTTTTGGCAATTACAAATAAATCACTAAAAACATTCACTTACAGATTTTTGTGTGAACAGAAGTTTTCATATCACTTAGATATGTACCTATGAATGGGATTGCTGGGTATCCCAGCAATAGATGTTTAACTTTATATGAAATATATAATATGTTTAACTTTATAGGAAACTGCCAAACTATTTTCCAGAGTGATTATACCATTTTGCGTTTCCATCAGAAGTGTATGAGAGTGATATACATCTACTTGCTATATATATCATCCCTAGCACTTAATATTGTCAGGTTTTAAAAATTTTAGCCATTCTAGTAGATACGTGGTGTTAGTTCATTATGGATTTAATTTTCATTTTCCTAATATCTAATGATGTTGAGCATTGATTAATGTGATTAGTTACCATCCTTAATATCTAATTAAATGTCTATTCAAATTTTTGCTCATTGAAAAAAATTAGATTGTTTTCTTATTATTGAGTTGTGAATTCTTTATATATTTTACATACAAATTCTTCATTAGATATGTGATTTTCTCCCAATCTGTGACTTGTCTTTTTGTTGCCTTAACAGTGTCTTTTGAAGAGAAGTGATTCTTAATTTCAATAAAGTTCAGTTTATCCTGTTTTTAAAAAATGGATAAGGTCACCAATCTTTTTTTTTTTTTTTAAGACGGAGTCTTGCTCTGTCACCAGGCTGGAGTGCAGTGGCCCAATCTCAGCTCACTGCAACCTCCACTTCCTGGGTTCAAGCAATTCTCCTGCCTCAGCCTCCCGAGTAGCTGAGTCCACAGGCGCGTGCTACCACGCCCAGCTAATTTTTGTATTTTTAGTAGAGCTAGGGTTTCACCATGTTGGCCAGGATGGTCTCGATCTCTTGACCTCGTGATCCACCTGCCTTGGCCTCCCAAAGTGCTGGGATAACAGGCGTGAGCCACCATGCCTGGCCACCAATCTTTTCTATTTTTTTTGCTAAAAATTTTATATCTTTAGGTCTTACATTTAAATCTATGATCAATTGTGAGTTAATTTTTATATATGGTGTGAGGTATGGATCAAGTTTCATTGTTTTACAAATGGCTATCCAATTGTTTCTGCACAATTTGTTGAAAAAGACCTTCCTTTCGCTATTGAATTGTCTTTGCAACTTTGTTACTTTTTTCAGAATTGTTTTAGATATTCTAGTTCCATTGTCTTTCCCATTTAGAATCAGCTTATTGATTTCTTCTCCATCCCCACACCCGGTTCTTAGTGTGCACAGCTTGTTGATTTCTACAAAAAGTCCTGTTGGGATTTTGTTTGGGATTATATTGAATCTATATTGATTGTGAAGAATTGATAACTATATTGAGTCTTCCAATCATATTGGTAGAATTTTTTTTTTTTTTTTTTTGAGACAGAGTCTTGCTCTGTTGCCCAGGCTGGAGTGCAGTGGCATGACCTCAGCTCACTGCAACCACCACCTCCCAGGTTCAAGTGATTCTCCTGCCTCAGCCTCTCATGTAGCTGGGATTACAGGCATCCACCACCATGCCTGGCTAATTATTGATTTTTAGTAGAGATGGGGTTTTGCCGTGTTGGCCAGGCTGATCTCGAACTCCTGAACTCAGGTGATCCACCCGCCTCAGCCTCCCAAACTGCTGGGATTACAGGTGTGAGGCACCAAGCCTGGCCATATTGGTAGATTTTTAATTAAAACATTTAGAAAAGGTGAAGTAGAACACTAATGCCCTCTCTAGTCATTCGATAATAAATTATGCTTAAAAAACTAACCCTTAAAAAACAAGCAATTAATGAATGCTGTGTTTGAAAATGGTTCATAGTGAAGGAATAATTTTTAGCATCATGGAGGAGGGAGATTCCAGTTCTTTCTTTCTTTCATTCAAAGGTTTCATCTGGAACCACTACAAGATAATTGACTCAACCTTTGGAAGAAAGAAAAGTGGAAAGTTAGACTAACTTCATAAGTGGGGCTGGTGTCCTTAGCTACCAAGTGTGCCTGAAAGGGATTTTGTATCCCCATATCAAGAGATCGTCAGGTTAAGGAAGGAACTGCCAAGGAGGACTTTTGGCTACACATCTGGTCCTCCTATGCTTTGGTTTCTTCCAATTCTGCAATATTGGGCTAAGTGTTGAGAGTGGGTGGTATAGAAGCAGATTTAATTGAACCACAGGCTGTGGGATGCGCCTGCCTCAAGGCTTGCTGTTTAGATCACTCAAAGAGCTTTCAGACAAAATACCTGAGACACTGAATATGAAAATGGGCTCTGCTAGTTTCTTAGAAGCCTTGCCTATCCTGGCAGCCTGGCAGGAAAAGCTAGCCTAGAAGGAGTGCCTGCTAAGGTTAGTATAAGTGAGGTACATCAGCAGACCATGTGGTAGGTATTACTGAATCTTTTCTGTATTTCCTTTAATGTCATTGTCTTATGCAGCTTTTATGAATTAATTAATCAGTTTTCAAAAGGCCATGTTAGTGAGACTGTCAGAGCTTTTAACCCCTCCTTAGTATAATTAAAAAAACTACAATGTGTGAGGGTGGTGAGGGAAGAGAGAGACCCTCTCATATTGTTTTATACTCAGAAAAGAAAAGAGAAGCAAAACTAAAGGCAGGTAGCCTGGCACCTAGGAACAGACCCAAAACCAAGGAACCAGACCCGAAACCAGGCCTGGGCCTGCCTGACCTAAGCCTGGTAGTTAAAATTCTACCCCTGACCTAGCAACTGATGTTATCTCTAGATTATAGAAAGACATTGTAAAACTTCCCGGTCTGTTCTATTTCACTCTGACCACCGTTGCATGCAGCCCCTGTCACGTACCCCCTGCTTGCTCAATCGATCATGACCCTCTCACACGGACCCCCCTTAGAGTTGTGAGCCCTTAAAAGGGACAGGAATTGCTCACTCGGGGAGCTCGGATTTTAAGACACTAGCCTGCTGATGCTCCCAGCTGATTAAAGCCACTCCCTTCACTATCTTGGTGTCTGAGGGGTTTTGTCTGCGGCTTGTCCTGCTACATTTCTTGGTTCCCTGACCAGGAAGCGAGGTGATTAACGGATGGTTGAGGCAGCTCCTTAGGCGACTTTAGCCTGCCCTGTGGAACATCCCTGCGGGGGACTCCAACCAGCCAAAGCAACGCGGATCCTGAGAGTGCTCCTGGGTAGGCACTTGCCCTGATGGGACGCCTTGCCAGAGCAGTGTGTGGCAGGCCCCCGTGGAGGATCAGCACAGTGGCTGAACACCAGGAAGGAACTGGCATTTGGAGTCTGGACATCTAAAACTTGGTAAGACTTGTCTTTGGAACTTGCCCACTCCATCTGAGTGGAAGCATGGCCTGATCATCCACGGTGTGCCTTTATCGGCACTTTGGTTTTGGTTTTGACATGGTTTGAATTCCTTGACAGGGTTGGTCTTGGGAATTTGCCTCTACCATTTGAGCGGAAGCATGGCCTGATCACCCATGGCGTGCCTGTACCGGCACTTTGGTTTTTGTTTTTGACTTGACTTGGGTTGCTTGATACTTTGGTTTTGGTTTTGACCTGGCTTGGATTTCTGGATACTCTGATTTTGGTTTTGATTTTGGTTTGGTGTAAACTGCAAAAGTGTGTGTGTGCCCTTTTTACCTGTTCTTTGTTTTGTGCGTGTGGTGTGAGCGTGGTGTTTTGTCTCAAAGAAGCATGGGTCAGGAACAAATAAGCCCACCCTACTAGGAACTATGTTGAAAAATTTCAAGAAAGGATTTAAGGGAGATTACGGTGTTACTATGACACCAGGAAAACTTAGAACTTTGTGTGAAATAGACTGGCCAGCATTAGAGGTGGGTTGGCCATCAGAAGGAAGCCTAGACAGGTCCCTTGTTTCAAAGGTATGGCACAAGGTAACCTGTAAGCCAAGGCACCCAGACCAGTTTCCCTACATAGACAGTTACAGCTGGTTTTAGACCCCCTTCCCCGCCACAGTAGTTAAGAGAACAGCAGCATAAGCGGCTGGCAGAGGCAAGGAAAGACCAGCAGAGAGAAAGAGAGGAAAAGACAGGAAGAGACAGAGAGACAAAGAAGGAGTCAAGAAAAGAGAAAGAGAGACAGAGAAAGAGAGAGGCAGAAAGAGGAAGAGACAGAGGCAAAAGGAAAGTCAGAGAGAGAGAGACAGAAAGTCAAAGAGAGAAAAAGAGAAAGAAATATACAAGTACTTAAGAAAAAAACAGTATACCCTATTCCTTTAAAAGCCAAGGTAAATTTGAAACCTATAATTGATAATTAAAGGTATTCTTCGTAACCCTGTAACACTCTAATACCACTTTGTTGTCAGTGTAGTCAGTGTAAACAAGGGCGTATCCCGAAAGCACTGAGGCCTTCCTATCAAAAATCCTTAACCCAGTAACCCGCAGATGGCCCAGATGCATTCAATCTGTAGTGGCAGCTGCTTTGCTAATGAAAAAAAAAAAAAAGCCATCTATACCAATTCTAAGTTAATTTAGACTAAACAAGGTCTTATTAATAGCAAAGGATAATTGAAATCCCAAACTAACAAGGTTTTCAACAAAAGTAAAGTTTGCTAAAAGTTAACAGTGTAACATGTATTATAGTAACTTCTAATCTTGTGGCCTTAGACAGTCTAGTCCACAGACGTAAAGAAAGTTCACTTAAAAAAAAAAAAAGAATGGTTATCTTCAAAGAAAAAAAAGTGGAGGGAGGCAAAATTTATGTAAAAAGAGTGTTATATAGTAAATTCTTGTCCTGAAATAAATTAACCGGTTGTTTAAAGAAAAAAATGTTTGTAATAAGTCAGAAAGTTGAGACATGTTGAAGAATTATCTGTGAAAGTCATGAAAGAAAAAATGTTATAAAAAAATTTATGCAAAAAATGTTGTATAATTTAAAAGTAATAAAGCCTCCTGAGTACTATTAAAGAAACAGTTTATGTGCAAGGTGTATAAGGAAAGTAAACTATACCTTTGGTAAAAGGATTATAAGGAGGCATAAGAATGTGGATTTTTACCTACATTAAAAGGTTAAAAAAAATTATTGCTTTGAAAGTTTAAGCAAGTTTTAAAATGTTAATTGTAAAAAAAAAAATTCTGTGTGTAAACATGTTAGCTAAAGTTAAAAAGGTATCATTCAGTTTTTCTGTGAACTGGACATTAAAGTAAAAATGCAACAGGTTTTTCTTAAAGCACCAACCTGCTCTTTAACAAAAATTATGAAAGGTTAAAAAGAGTCTATAAAAACTTACCTTATGGTCAAACATGAAAAATTGGATAAATATGTCTACAAGGTTTTATTAAAATTAAGTTTAACGTTAATAACACACTAATATAAAGGTAAAATTTAGCTTATCTGGTATAAAAATCATATAAGAAGCATTATTAAATATAAAATGGTGTTTAGCTTTCTTTGGTCTAAAAACTAATAAAAATTGGTGCTGAAGGAAACATTCATTTTACTAGAGGATGATAGAAGTTAAAGACTTAAAACAAACTTTGGCAATTAAGACAGCATACCAAGATGCAAATGCCTGGTTGGAATGGATCAAATATTCCATCTGCACATTAAACAAAAGCAATTGTTATGCTTGTGCACATGGCAGGCCAGAGGCCCTGATTGTCCCTCTTCCACTAAGGTGGTCCTCCAGTCAGCTCCATGGTAGCTCTTTTCCGGGATTCTACAGCCTGGAGTAATAAGTCATGCCAAGCTCTCTCTGCTATATCTCAAAGTCCAGCACCCTGCGGGGCAGCCCCTGAGGGCCATCCAGCTTCCATCTCCCAACACTAGGTTCACTTCGTGTCTCTCACGACAGGGAAGAAATTTAGCATTCCTTGGAGACCTGAAAGGATGCAGTGAGCTTAAGAATTTTCAAGAGCTTATCAATCAGTCAGCCCTTGTTCATCCCCGAGCGGATGTGTGGTGGTATTGTGGTGGACCTTTACTGGGCACTCTGCTGAATAACTAGAGTGGCACTTGTGCTTTAGTCCATTTGGCTATCCCTTTCACGCTGGCATTTCATCAACCAGAGGAAAAAAAAAATGGCAGTTGGAGTTTTAACCCAGACTGTAAGGCCCTGGCCAAGGCCAGTGGCCTATCTCTCAAAAGAATTAGACAGGGTTTACAAAGTCTGGCCCCCATGTCTAAGGGCCCTGGCAGCAACAGCCCTGTTAGCACAAGAAGCAGATAAGCTAACTCTTAGGCAAAACCTAAACATAAAGTCCCCCTGTGCTGTGGTGACTTTAATAAATAGCAAAGGACACTATTAGCTAATGAATGCTAGACTAACTAGATACCAAAGCTTGCTCTGTGAAAATCCCCGCATAACCATTGAAGTTTGCAACACCCTAAACGCCACCACCTCACTCTTGGTATCAGAGAGCCCGGTTAAACATAACTGTGTAGAGGCATTAGACTCAGTTTATTCTAGTGCGCCCAACCTCCGAGACCATCCTTAAACATCAGTAGACTGGGAGCTGTACGTGGATGGGAGCAGCTTCACCAACCCCTGCAAAGTGACTCTGAAGAAGACGACAAGCCCTGCTTCAGTTACACCCGGAAGCTGACTGGTCCACGCATGGCCGAAGCATGAGGAAACTCATCGCGGGACTCATTTTCCTTAAAATTTGGACTTATACAGTAAGGACTTCAACTGACCTTCCTCAGACGAAGGACTGTTCCCAGTATATACATCAAGTCACTGAGGTAGGACAAAAGATAGCTACAGTCCTATTATTTTATAGTTATTATAAGTGTACTGGTACTCTAAAAGAAACTTGTTTGTATAATCCTATTATATCCAAGGTATGTAGCCCAGTCTCTAAATGTTATGTTTGTGGAGAAACTGTAATAGAAGATCAATGGCCATAAGAAGCCTGAGAATTAGTGCCTACAGACCCAGTTCCTGATGAATTCCCGGCCCTAAAGAATCACCCTGATCATTTCTAGGTTCTAAAAGTCTCAATTATTAGACAATATTGCATAGCTAGAAAAAAGAAAGAATTCACTCATTCTGTAGGATGACTTAGTTGCCTAGGACAAAAACTGTATAATAATACCACAAAAACAGTTACGTGGTGGAGTTCAAACCGCACAGATAAAAATCCATTCAGTAAATCTCCAAAGTTGCAGACCGTTTAAGCCCACCCAGAATCCCACCAGGACTAGACGGCTCCCACTAGGCTATACTAGATATGTGGACATAGAACCTACGCTAAGCTGCCTGACCAGTGGACAGGTAGTTGTGTTATTGGCACTATTAAAACCATCTTTCTTCCTACTGCCCATAAAAACAGGCGAACTCCTAGGCTTCCCTGTCTATGCTTCCCGCAAAAAGAAAAGCATAGCTATTAAAAAATTGAAAAATAATGAATCGCCCCCTAAGCGAATCATACAATATTATAGGCCTGCTACTTAGGCACTAGACAGCTCATGGGGATACCAGACCCCCATTTACATGCTCAACCGAATCATACGGTTGCAAGCTGTTTTAGAAATCATCACTGATAAAACCGGTCAAGCCTTGACTATTCTGGCCCGGCAAGAAACTCAGATGAGAAATGCTGTCTATCAAAATAGATTGGCTCTCGACTACTTGCTAGCAGCTGAAAGAGAGGTCTATAAAAAATTTAACCTTACTAATTACTGTCTACACATAGATAATCAAAGGCAAGTAGTTAAAGACATAGTTAAAAATATGACAGAACTGGCACATGTGCCCGTACAAGTGTAGCATGGATTCGACCCTGAGGCCATGTTTAGAAATTGGTTCCCAGCACTAGAAAGATTTAAAACTCTTATAATAAGAGTTATAATAGTAATAGGAACCTGCTTACTGCTCCCTTGTTTGCTACCTGTACTTCTTCAAGTGATAAAAAGCCTCATCGCTACCTTAGTTCACCAAAATGCTTCAGCACAAGTGTACTATATGAATCACTATCAATCTATTGCACAAGAAGACAGAAGTGGCGAAAATAAGAGTGAGAACTCCCACTAATAAAAAGTGAGAGTCTCAAAGAGGGGAAATGAGGGAAGAGAGACCCTCTCATATTGTTTTATATTGTTTTATACTCAGAAAAGGAAAGAGAAGCAAAACTAAAGGCAGGTAGCCTGGCGCCTAGGAACCAGACCCGAAACCAAGGAACCAGACCTGAAACCAGGCCTGGGCCTGCCTGACCTAAGCCTGGTAGTTAAAATTCCACCCTTGACCTAGCAACTGATGTTATCTATAGATTATAGAAAGACATTGTAAAACTTCCCGGTCTGTTCTGTTTCACTCTAACCACCGGTGCATGCAGCCCCTGTCACGTACCCCTGTTTGCTCAGTCGATCACGACCCTCTCACACGGACCCCCCCTTAGAGTTGTGAGCCCTTAAAAGGGACAGGAATTGCTCACTCAGGGAGCTCGGATTTTAAGACACTAGCCTGCTGATGCTCCCAGCTGATTAAAGCCACTCCCTTCACTATCTTGGTGTCTGAGGGGTTTTGTCCGCAGCTGGTCCCGCTACAGTGAGATGGGAAATTTTTTAAATTACATTTTTAGGCTGGGTGCAGTGGCTTACTCCTGTAATCCCAGCACTTTGGGAGGCCAAGGCGGGTGAATCACTTGAGCCCAGGAGCTGGAGACCAGCCAGAACAACATAGCAAGACCCCCATCTCTAAAATAAAATTTTTTTAATTTTTAAAAATTACATTTTTATATTATCTTATTAGTATATGCTCACTGAGGAAGAAAACATTTCAAGCAATACAGAAATGAATATAAATAAAATGTTAAGGTTCTTCTCACCTCCCTGTTACTCATAGTTGCTAGAGGTGATCATTTGAAAACGTGGTAGGCTGGGCGTGGTGGCTCACACCTGTAATCCCAGTACTTTGGGAGGCCAAGGAAGGCTTACTTGAAGCCAGGGGTTCAAGACCAACCTGGCAACATAGTGAGACCCCATCTCTGCAAAAAAAAATTTTTTTTAAGTAACTGCCTTTTAATAGCAAAATAATACCATCCTAATCTAACCACAGAGTTAAAAAAGAAAGAAAGTGTGGTGTATATGATTCAGACCATTTGTTATCTTTATACAAAAGTGACTATGTGAAATTCTTTGTTTGTATTTAAGCTAACGTGGGATTATATTTTACAAAGTTTTTGTGAACTTGCATTTTGTATTTGCCTTGTCTATAGAGCACAGATACAATTTTATCTTGGTCCTTAAAATCTAGCTAAATATCCCATAACTCATTTTTTCCTTCTCCAGGATTTCTGTTATAAATTATGCTTCTGTGGACATTCTGTACATGTGTTCTTAAATACTTATAAAAGTATGTCTGTAAAAAAGATTGATAGAAAGTAGAATTAGCGGGTCAGAGTGTATGTGCATGTCTAGATCTAATGGGTGGAGCTAAATTGCCCTCCCTTAATGGTGAAGAGAAGTATGCTCTTCTCCATACCTTCCCAACATGGTGTATTATCAGTCTTTAATGTTTTCCACCATGTTAAGCAAAAAACGTGCTATTTGTCATTGAAACTGAGCAACTTACCTTATTGATTAGTGTTATATGTTTAGTCTATGAGTTGCCTGTTTTTTTCTATTTTTCTACATAGAAATTAGTGGTAGTGGAAACACTTTGTGTAAATACCTATAATACTTGGCCAAAGTAGTACTCAGAGGAAAGTTTATATTCTTAAATTCATTTGTTAAACAACAAGAAAGATTAAAATTTAACCAAAAGACAGTAGCAGAGAGTAACTAATAGATTGTTAGGGAATTATTGAGATAAAAGCAGATAGTATATTGCTGATATTTTATGTTATGTGTGCTACACCTTAGTGAAAGAAAGAAAAGTAAAAGTAAAGAAACCAAAAGGAGAGACTTGATCATTAAAATGAATTTGTATTTTTTTAAAGATTTCTGACAATTTTGATCAAGAAAGAGGAAAAAACCGCTACATATGAAGATGCTATAAAGAATATTGTTGGCCGGGCATGGTGGCTCATGCCTGTAATCCCAGCACTTTGGGACCCCAAGGTGGGTGGATCACTTGAGGTCAGGAGTTTGAGACCAGCCTGGCCAACATGGCGAAACCCCACCTCTACTAAATATACAAGAATTAGGCCGGGCGCGGTGGCTCATGCCTGTAATCCCAGCACTTTGGGAGGCCGAGGCAGGCAGATCACAAGGACAAGAGATCGAGACCATCCTGGCTAACATGGTGAAACCCTGTCTCTACTAAAAATACAAAAAATTAGCTGGGTGTGGTGGCACGCGCCTGTAGTCCCAGCTACTCAGGAGGCTGAGGCAGGAGAATCGCTTGAACCCGGGAGGCAGAGGTTGCAGTGAGCCAAGATCACTCCACTGCACTCCAGCCTGGGTGACAGAGCAAGACTCTGTCTTAAAAAAAAAAAAAAAAAAAATCAAGAATTAGGCGTGATATCACACACCTGTAATCCCAGCTACTCAGGAGGCTGAGGCTGAGAATCGCTTGAACCCAGGAGGCGCCTCTTTTTTGAGGCTCTGTCTCAAAAAAAAAAAAAGAATATTCTTAATTGTACATTTTAAAATAACTAAAAGAGTGTAATTGGATTGTTTGTAACATAAAGGATAAATGCTTGAGAGTATGGATGCCCCACTCTCCGTGATGTAATTATTCCTCATTGTATGCTTGTATCAAAACATCTCGGCCAGGCGTGGTGGCTCACGCCTGTAATCCCAGCACTTTGGGAGGCCGAGGCGGGTGGATCAGGAGATCAGGAGATGGAGACCATCCTGGCTAACAAAGTGAAACCCTGTCTCTACTAAAAATACAAAAAATTTAGCTGGGCATGGTAATGGGCACCTGTAGTCCCAGCTACTCGGGAAGCTGAGGCAGGAGAATGGCATGAACCCGGGAGGCAGAGCTTGCAGTGAGCCAAGATCGCACCACTGCACTCCAGCCTGGGTGACAGAGCGAGACTCCGTCTCAAAAAACAAAACAAAAAACAAAAACAAAAATCTCATGTACCCTACTATGTACCCACAAAAATTTAAATTAAAAAAAATTTTTAAAATTAAAACTTCAAAAAAGAATATAGCCAGGCACAGTGGCTCACACCTGTAATCCCAGCTCTTAGGGATGCAGAGACGGGAGGATAGCTTGAGCCTAGGAATTTGAGACCTGCCTGGGCAATATAGTGAGACCCTGTTCTCCACAAAAAAGAATAGAAAAAAGACAAAAAAGAATATATAACCTCAAATTAAGAGATTTTAAAAATTAATAATAAGATGATTTATAGGAATAAGTTTTATGTGGTTAATCAGAGTTGCTGCCATCCCCTGGGAGCATTTAGAATTGTTTTGGGGGCGTTTTGGTCCATCACAGTGACTGGTTAAGGTGGGGTTGCTACTGGCATTTTGCGCCTGGGGACCAGGAATGCTAAGCATCCTGTACTATGCAGGACAGTCCTTCACAGTGAGTAATTTTCCTACCCAGAAATGCCATTTGTGCCTATAGAAGAAACAAAAGCTGGCAGAAGTGGAAAGCCTTAATAGATCTATGAAGTAGAAAGCCCATCCTCCAAAAAGACACAAGGCCCATGTGATTTTATGGTAGTTTTATTTAACTGGGTATTCCTGTTGAATTATTTCAAAAGTAGAAAAAGTCTTCTGAAATCATCATACAGGGCAAGCATAACCAAGAGCAGTGATTCCTGTTTTGTATAGCGTAGTCATTTATTTCTCTTTCATGTTTAACTCTTTGCTCGCTGGATGTTCTGGACATATTACCACTTGGAGAAATAGTGGACAACTTTCCATGTTTGATAGTAAATGGGAATGTAGCCAAGAGCTCTAAAAGCCATCTTGTTCTTTGTGGTGCTTTTTTGTAGCATCCACTAATAGTGCTTGGGTCCAGGTGAAGTGGTACTTAACAGAGGACAATCATGAATGATTATCTGAAGACAGTGATACATGTGGACTTTCTGGCGTGCAGTTACACTTCAGAGGTTTTTGAGATTAAGTCAGTATTTCTGAGAGCTACGCATTTGAGTCTGTGCACAGTTTGTGCATGAGTATGAAGACCTTAATCCTTCCAAAGGGGAGGAAACGGTTTTTAGCTTCTACCTCTACTCCTACATCAGAGTACCAATTCCTTAGCCTTTGGGGAATTCTGGAGTGTAAATCTTGGCTTTTCCCTTTGCCAGTTTTGGATTGTTTTCTCAGGTGTGCTTCCGTCTGTAGTCCCACTTTTACTGTTGGTTTAATGAGATTTCAGGAAGAAGAGAAAATAGGTACCTGTGTTCGATCTATCATCTTTACCAAGAAGTCCAGGCTAGATTTTCAAAATAAATACCCAGGAGTATGTTTGGATGCTTTTTCCAAAGGGAAAACATATCAATGAGACAGTTTGACAATTAAGCCTTAACTTCAGCAGCTTCCTCTTCTCTCGCCATCTTTTTTTTAAATAGACGGGGTCTCGCTCCATTGCTAGGTTGGGGCACAGTGGCACAGTCATAGCTCCCTGCAGCCTCAAGCTCCTGGGCTCAAGCAATCCTCCCTCCTGCCTTAGCCCCCTGAATAGCTAGACTAAAGGCATGTGCCACCATGCCCAGCTAAAAGTGTTTTTTAGAGATGGGTTCTCACTGTATTGTCCAGGCTAGTCTCAAGCTCCTGGCCTCAAGCAATCCCACCTCAACCTCCCATGTAGCTGGGGTCACAGGCACAAGCCACTGCACTGGACTTTTCTCACCTTCTTGCATTAGAGGAGCTCCTGCACAAAGTCCTGCTGAATAACTGTCTTCTTATTATTAATTTAGGTTTCTGAGTTGGAATAGTTCAATTTTCTTTCCATTGTGGAACAAGTCCAAGCCTTATGAACTGTGCTTCTAAGTTTTCCTCCACCATATGTATTGACAGCCATTTATATACATGTATATTATGCATTTATATATATGAGACATATGTAAAGTAACTGAAAGATGACAGAATATGTTAAATTCATATAAAAGTGATTTTGGTGTCCAAAAGAGGGATAAATTATGTCAGTGTAAGAGATCATGGATGGCTTTATTAACGAAATCACACTTGAGCTGAACCCCTAGATAGAGTTATACCTGATAGGCAGAAGTAAGGAAGGAGAGAGCATTCCAGGCAGGAGGAGTGGCATAGACAACAGTGAGATGATGGGAGGAGATAGAGAGAACATGTCTGGAGAATGGTAAGAGTAATCCGGTTTGGCTGGAACAAAGGGAACTTGTCATAGAGCATTGGATCTCCACCGTCAGTGTTTATTCCCGAGACAATGCAGTGTTGTTGAGGCTTTTTGAATCCGGCGACAGGACAGGAGCCACGCTTCACAAATATACAATTGTGGACTCTTAGATTGGTTAGACTGGGAGAGACTGGAGGCGGGAATGCCCTAAAGTCAAGAGACTTCACAGAGTCTCTCCAAGGTAATTGGAGCCCAGACTAGAGGGGGAGTAGGAAGTTATAGGAAGGGAGGTATGAATGGGAGAAGTATAGAAGAAGCAGAATTAACAGGACCATGGAACAAAATGTATAGGAATGAGGAGAGGAATTTGAGGATGATTCTGAGGTTTGAGCTTGGTTAATTGAGAAAATAATGTACAACTAACAGAAATAGAGAATTGAGGGAGGGGGCATGTTTGAGGGATGATATTAAATCCGGTTTCAAATGTGTTAAGTTTGAGGTGTTTTAGGTACCAGAGAACATCCAAGTGAAGATACTTCATAAACACTTGGAAATATGAGTCTGATGAGAGATGTGAAGGTTAGAAATACAGATTTAGGAGTCATCCAAGTTGAGGTGATTCTTAACGTTAAAGAGAACCCAGGCTGGGCGCGGTGGATCTTGCCTGTAATCCCAGCACTTTGGGAGGTTGAGGTGGGTGGATCACTTGAGGCCAAGAGTTCAAGACCAGTCTGGTCAACATGGTGAAACCCCATCTCTTCTAAAAATATGAAAATTTACTGGGTGTGGTGGTGCAAGCCTATAATCCCAGTTACTTGGGAGGCTGAGTCATGAGAATCATTTGAACCTGGGAAGCAGAGGTTGCAGTGAACCAAGATCACACCACTGCACTCCAGCCTGGGTGACACGAGCAAGACTCTGTCTAAAAAAAAAAAAAAAAAAAAAAAAAAAAAAAAGTCCATTGCTGAGAGACGAGAGAGATTGAAGAGGTCCAAAACAGAACTTAGCCTGGGCAACATAGTGAGATCTTGTCTCTACGAAAATAAAAAATTTTTAAAAATTAGCTGGGTGTGGTGGTGTGCACCCGTAGTCCTAGCTACTTGGAGGCTGAGGTGGAAGAACTGCTTGAGCCCAGGAGGTCAAGCCTGCTGAACTCCAGCCTGGGCGACAGAGTGAGACCCTATCTCCAAAATAATAATAATAATTTTTTTTTTAAAGAGTAGAGCTTATGTTTAGAGGCACAAGGGGAAAGAAACATAGGAAGATAACTGGGATAATGCAATATCTTAGGAGCTAAGGCTGAATGTGACAGAAAACCCTCAATAACTCTGGTTGAACAAGATAGAAGTAAAGAGTGCTGGGCTCAACAACAGTTCATGACCATTAAGGACCCAGTCCCTTTCTGCCATCTCATGGTTCAAGATGGCTATCCAAGTTCAAGGCATCAGCATGGGAAGGAAGAAAGGGGAGAATGGCACTTTAAAGATAGTTCCCAAAAGTTACACATGCCACTTTCACTTATAACCCACTGGCCAGAACTTGGTCATGTGTTTACACCTTGCTACAAAGGAGGTGGGAAATAATTGTCTTTATTCTAGGTGGCTGTGAACCTGTCTAAAAGTCCCATAACCAAGGAAGGAAGGGGAGAGTGAGTACTGGGGGCAATGGACAAACAGTATCCATTGATCTAGAAAGAGCTAGAAGGATGAAAACTAGAAAAAGGGTTAGGCAGTTAGAAGGCCATTGGTAAAGCCTAAATGGGGTCTAATTTCTAAGGTAGGAGAGAAGTGATGAAATTACCCCCCAATTTTTACATGGTGTTGAGAGTAGTCATTAAAAAAGTTTGATCTGTCTTCTCGGGAAATTGGTGTGATTGTCCTCCAAAAAGTGCAGGTGCTGTGGGTAAAGATGATGGCTTAAAGAGAGCAGAAGAGATGAGGAAATCGATCTTACATAGTTTTCAAGAGATGAATGAAAAGCTCACTGAGCCTGGTAATCAAGCTGGCATTTGAATTATTGCTCTAGCACTTACTGGATGGTGACTATTATTTAGGGAATCATTTAACTTCTTTAAGCCTCAGTTTCTACATGTAGAAGGGATACTAATTCTTACCTCATGGTTGTTGTGAATATTAAAAAGAAAATGCTTGGCATAGTGTCTGGCACAGAAGGAGTAGTACTCAATAAGTAGTAGCTGTTGGAAGCCAGCTGAGTTAGGTGAATTGGTAGAGGACTCAAGTCAGTTGTTTCTTGAGTATTTAAAAGGGCTCAACATTCCAGCAACTGGAGAAGAGAAAGCAAATGGCTATGAATACCCACTACAAGAACTGGCAGAAGATCAAGGGGAGCAAAGACAGCAAATATGCTATTAAATTAGGCATGGTTAGAAATCGTGGCTGGTTGGAAGCTGATCCAGGCAAAGCTGGTATATTGAAAACTAGGGAAGTTTGGGGGCCAGAGGTCAGAGGTCCAATGACAGGTAGAGAACAGACGCTTTAGGAGTTCAAGAAGAAGGGGGAGATGTAATGAGGTAATCAAGACCAAGTCAATGTGAAACAGTCCGAAGTCCCAAAGCTGGGCTATACCTATGGGCCCCAAGGTGAGTACAGATGGCTCCTAATCTGAAGATTCTCCACTGTGCTATTACATGTAATCCCAAACCAAACTTATAAGAATACTGGCCTTCCCTGGCATTTGAGTTTTATTCTGCCTCTTTAAAAGGGCTACTCAGAATAAATCAGTCTCCTTTGCAGAGTCAGGAGAAGGGAAACCAGCCTCTCTGTGCAGTGTTAGCATGATGAGCTAAGAGTTCAGAAATGACTGTAAATGAAAAATGGTGATAATGATAGCAGCTATCATTTACTGAATGCTTCCCACGGGCCAGCTGCCATGCTGATTTCCTTTATGTTGATTATGTCATTGTATATCTTGTGACAGATCTTCAGGGTAGGGGCTATTTTTGTCCCTGTTTCAGAGCTGAGGAAGAAAAGGTTAGGTATTGGAGCTGAGACTTAAACCCTAGTGTGACTGAATCCAAAGCCTGTACTTTTAACCATGAGGCTAAAACCATTTCATCAAAAGCCTTTCTGCTATTCATGTTCTTAACATCATAGAACTGGTAGGGACTATAGAGAGGTCCTTTAATCACAGATTCAAACTAGCCTAAATCCCAAAGCCCTGGAGAATGCATCCCAGGCATTCATTTTTTGAAAGAGACCTAGAGAGGAAAAGTCACGGGGCTGGAACTAAAACATGGGCTTCTTGAATCCCTGTCTAGCTCTTATTCTATTTCTCAGGTTGCCGTGGACCAAAATGAACTCTCAGTCTATTTGTCTTATCAAATTGCAGTCTTCAGCAAGTGTCTGAATAACTTGGTCAGGACCTTCCTTCCAGGAAGAGCCTGGTGACCCTCTGAAAGCAGCCATGTACTTGGGAGTTCTCCTGCACACCCATGGTTTTTGATGCTCACTATAGTGACTAGGCAGCTGGAGGATTCCAATCCTAATGATACGGAGAACACAAAACAATATGAGACACTGGGTCCCCCAGCCTTCTTCTCTGGGCCTGAGGGGAGATTTGAATTAGCAACTCCTCACATGAGCTGCATTCTTTAGCCTTAATTTAAGTGGGCAGAGGTGAATGAAAATGTGTAAATGTTGAAGTGTTATTATTCAAAAGCCCTTGAGATCCCATAGCTCATCGTAGTAATTAAAATGCAGCACAGAAGACCCCTTGCTTCAGTAGCTCACAGGGTATAAGGAAAATGAATGAGGATCACAAGTTGATGGGATTGGGAATTAGCATGCTGGTGTGCCATATTGAGTAGAACAGCTGGCCTCGATGTATGGGTAGCATAAGAAACAGGCCTCCCTCCCTGTGTGCCACTATCTCCTTGTTTCTCTCCTAGAAGGGCAGACTGTGGGGAGGGCAGAGCTCGGGGAACATGGGAAGTAGTGTAGGAGAAAGGCCTAAGGGTCTCTTCTGCAACTTCACTAGTCCCTGGGCGTGAGGTTTGTTGCCCAGGGTGGTCTCTAACTCCTGAGCTCAAGTGATCCTCCTCTCTCAGCCTCCCAAAGTGCTGGGATTACAGGCATGTACTGCCACACCTGGCCCTTCTCTGCCTTTTCTAATGTATTTTTACTTCTCTGTAAGCCTGACAAGGTCTTATTTCTCCTTCAGTGCTCAGCTCGAAAGCTACCTCTTCTGAGAAGCCTTCTGGTTCGAAGTAATCAGGCTTTCCTTTTTGTCTGCCAAGCATATGATTTATGCCTGTCTTAAAGCATCTATTGAGGCAGACTTGGTGTCTTTATTTTTTTTATTTTTTATTTTTTGGTGAGACAAGGTCTCGCTGTGTCTCCCAGGCTGGAGTGCAGTGGCATGATCACAGCTCACTGCAGCCTTGAATTCCTGGACTCAAATTATCCTCCCATCTCAACCTCCCAAGTAGCTGGGACAGCAGGTGTGCACCACCACACCCAGCTAATTTTTAAATTGTTTATAGAGATGAGGTCTCGCCATGTTGCCCAAGCTGATCTTGAACTCCTGAGCTCAAGCAATCCTCCCACCACAGGCTCCCAAAGCGTTGGGATTACAGGCGTGAGCCACCACACCCGGCCTCTTTATCCTCATATCCACCTGGGTGCCTCCTGAGGACAGACACTTCATACATTTGTCCATGGGATGAGTGGTTACAGTGACAGTTCTGGGGCCTGTCTCAGAGTTTCTCACTTCAGCCCTCTCACCATATTACCTTCTGTCCCTTCCTTCTGCTGTTCAGAGTTATAAGGATGGTGAAGGTAATGAATGCTTGTGAAGTGCTTTATATCTTACAGAGTACTTTCATGTACCTTATCTTTGATGATCCTTGTGACAGACCTGTGAGGAACGGAGAAGTAGTTGGTCTCATCTGTGAGCAAAGTGTGTTGTAACGGACCCTGTGTGGAGGATAATAACAATTTCAACATCTATTGAGAGCGTGGCATGTGCTAGACACGGTTCTTAATGCATTACACGTATAATTTAATTACCGCAACAATCCCCCAATTAAGATCCCAGAATTGCACAAAGAAGTGATTTGCTTAAAAACTGCTTCTTGATCAGTATATTCTATTGTTAGCACCTTGTCCCTAAGAGACCTTATATTATCCTTACTTTGCAGAAGGAAGAAACCATTGAGTAATTCTTTTCCCACCCATTGATCTGCCAAAAAAAACTCATCTTGGCCTTGGATGTAGTTTTTAATGGGAACAAGAACACCAGCCTTAGGGTCTTGGATCTCGGCAAGCTTTTCAGATACCAAAGTGTCTTTCTTAGGAATTGCCTGGCTAAGTCATATGATTATAAGAATTTCTTTCCATCATTTCTTATATTCCACAAAATATTGGTGGATTGTGGTTTCTCTAATAGGATTATGACCCTCAGAGATTCTTCCTCCACATATTTCCTTCCTCCGTAAGTTTCCATTCTTTCCTTCTACCCACTTCCTTCCCCTTGGCATGTGTCTGGTATTGAGCCCTTGGCATCTGTCTCTCTTTCATCATTGATAGCTAGCATGAATGGGTGGCTGTTTCACAGGGCCTGCATTGTTGGCTCCCACAGCAGCAGTTAGAACATTCTCTGTGGCCTGGGTTCTGAGGTCCACCCAGGCAGTGTGAGCCAGGCTGGCCCCCAGTTCTGAGCTGTGGTGTTTCCTTTCATTGTTGGTGCCTTAGCTCCCAGTTGTTAAATATGAAGCTGGAAGTTGATACAAAGCAGTAGAAGCCTGTGCTCCTTTTACCAAAGTCATCTTGCATTCAAATATAGTCAGAGGGACATTGTACCTTGGGCCAGGATCTGTAGGAAGTCGGCTATTAGAATGTGGTCCCAGAGATGGCAAATTTTACAGCCTGATTAACTCTCCCCATCAGCTTCTCCTAGGAAGTACTATTGACCTGAACCACATTAAATGGTCATGTGTCATCCTCACTGTAGCCCCACCATGCAACATCACTGGGTAGCTTTGTTCTGGCTGCCAGTTGTTATATGTAATATTCGTAGCCATGAGTCGTGGCTTCCTGGGGCCTTGGTTAAGCTATATGAAACTCTTATGTAATCAGCATTCCTTCTTCCCTAGAGAAAGGATTCAAGTTTTTCAGGGTTTGTTCATTGCTCAGGACCTGACCTTTAAGTTGAGTTGAGGTGTGAAAGTCCCAAAGTGGTCAAGTTTGAAAGTCCCAAAGTGGTCAAGTGTAGAGGAGGGGCCCAACACAGTGGCTCACGCCTATAATCCAGCACTTTGGGAGGCCAAGGCAGGCAGATCACTTGAGGCGAGGAGTTTGAGACCAGCCTGGCCAACATGGCAAAACCCCGTCTCTACTAAAAATACAATAAAATTAGCTGGGCGTGGTGGCACACACCTGTACTCCCAGCCACTCAGGAGGCTGAGATGGGAGAATCGCTTGAACCCAGGAGGCAGAGGTTGCAGTGAGCCAAGAGTGTGCAACTGCATTCCAGCCTGGGCAACAGAGCAAGACTTGGTCTCAAAAAAAAAATAAAGAAGTGTAGAGGAGAGAGATGCCAAAGTTGGTGCTTCTGTGCTCCTGTGGATAAGTAATCAGAGCCATAAAGTGGAGCTAATTGGCTGCCCCTGGCCACTTCTCTAGACTCGTGAAAAGCTGAACAGACTGTGGAGACTGAACTGCTCTTCTGGAGCTGGGAGGGGAGAGGGGGCGATGGGAGAACTGTATCCCTGCTCAGACCTCAGCGAGTTGGGCTCACTGTGAGAGCTGGTTGTTGAGACATTTCTTAAAGGCTGTTTTGAAAAAACCACTGTTGCAGGAGAGTAGCGTCATGCTTGGGCATTGGAGACTGTGTTTTAGTACATTGTGTTTATAAAGCACTGCTCATTTTGCACCCCTCCTCACCTGGCTACCCTCTCCAGTTGCAGAACTGAACCTCAAGAAGGGGCTTTGGGCCTTCAGGCATGCTGATGAGGGAGAGTGGGTGCTGTGTAGACAGCAACAGGAGAGGTACCCAGGCAGGCATCTCACATCCCTAAGGGGGAGAAGTGTGCCATCATGACATGGTGGAGACCTGGATTCTCATCACTATCATGACATTAAAGGGATTTTTAAGTATCATGCAGCCCAGCCCAGTCACTTTAGACGCTGAGGCCCAATAAGATGAAATCACTGCCAAGGCCACACAGCTAGAGAACAGCTCAGCCAGGACCAGAGCCAGATCTTCAGGCTTCTAGGTTGAAGTCTTCTCCTGCACCACCTGGGGTAACCACTAAGACTCCTCATCTGTAAACATAGTTGACCCTTTTGGTTCTAAGATTCTCTGAGCTCATGAATAGTTCTTGAGAGTTTTGAGCAAACTAGGGAATTGTTTGGTATAGGTGCAATAGATCCCACTTATAGAGAAGGTTAAGTTGAATATTATGGAATGTGAGCTAGTGCTGGACATAGTGTTATTTACTCTGATGATGTGGGTTAAAATCTTTAATGGGGCTGAGTTCATGCAAGGAAAGCCCCTGGGTGTGCCAGTGTAGTGCTGATGTTAGATTCTGATTTGGCCAATTATTTATGCTACTTCAGGGCGAGGTATTTGAGTGTACAGTAGTAGCTGGCCTCATGAGCTAGTAGTGTCAGATTTCTAGGATGTTAGGGAAGTCTCGAGAGAACTGCAAATGTCTCCTGGCATTGACAAATTAGACCATTTTGTTTTCAGTGGATCAACTAAGGTTAAACTTAAACAAATATGAGCAGCTGGGAGATTTTGGAAGAAGCAAGATGTGCACATTCTCAAAAAAAAAAAAAAAAAAGAGAGAGAGAAAGAAAAGTCTGTGCTCCCTGAGGAAGGAAGGATGAGGCGTGGAACTCGGAATGGCCCCCTCCGAGGAAGGAAGCAGTTATTTCTCTGCCGTTTTGTTTCTGTTAAGGAATTCCAGAAGTTGCAGGTTGTGGATCATGACCTCTTTTTTTTTTTTTTTTTTTTTTCTGTTGCTGCTTGCCAGAGGAAGGGAGGGCGGGTGGCCTTTAAATAACACTTTGGCCTTTATGGAAATGTATCAGATGTTCCAGGAGTGGGTCTCCCTGCTCGCGCTTGCTCACTGGTGCTCTTACTTTTGCTTCATGTTCACTCACTCTGTCCTGACTTGTGTCCTTTCTCTAGGTTATACTTAACACTCTTCTCGCCTTATATAGCAAGGTCTGGTCGTTAATGTTAACAGAAATCTAACAACAGGGAAGGCTGCCAGATAGCATTAATCAGGCCAGTGTTTGGAATTTCATAAATGCTCTGACTTTGGGTACAAATTGAACATTAAGAACAATATGAAAACTGTCTTCCTTCCTCTCTCTTCTTCTCTCCTCTCCCCCTCCCCAGCCTATCCAGTTTCTCTCTCTGTTTCTCTGTGAATTCCTCTGCTTTGCCATATGCTTGCTGCATTGGAACTTTGTTGATTTTTGCCACGTTTAATTTTTTATTTCTCTGTCTCTCCGTCCACTCCAAGACCACAGGCGGAGCAGCAGCAGCCGGAGCCAGGACTCTGCGGAGGGGCAGGACGGGCAGGTCCCAGAGCAGTTCTCAGGCCTCCTCCACGGCTCCTCCCCGGTGTGCGAGGTGGGGCAGGACCCTTTCCAGCTGCTCTGTACCGCTGGCCAGAGCCATCCAGACGGGTCCCCCCAGCAGGGCGCCTGCCACAAGGCCAGCATGCAGCTGGAGGAGACGGGTGTGCATGCTCCTGGAGCCTCCCAGCCCAGTGCCCTGGACCAGAGCAAGAGAGTGGGCTACCTCACAGGCCTGCCCACCACCAACAGCCGCTCGCACCCTGAAACTTTGACTCACACAGCATCTCCGCACCCTGGTGGTGCTGAGGAAGGAGACCGGAGTGGGGCCAGGAGCCGAGCGCCTCCCACTAGCAAACCCAAAGCTGAACTCAAACTCAGCCGCAGCTTGTCCAAGTCTGACTCTGATCTCCTGACCTGCTCACCCACAGAGGACGCTACCATGGGGAGTCGGAGTGAGTCCTTATCCAACTGCAGCATTGGGAAGAAAAGGCTAGAGAAGTCACCCTCCTTCGCCTCGGAGTGGGATGAGGTAAGGCCGACATGACGTCACAGGGAGCTGGGCTGGCCAGGCTGGCCGCAGCCCACCACAGCTCCCGTGAGTGCCAACTCTCAGGCCCAGGATCTGGGCAAGGTTGCTCTGGTTCCTTCACTCCGTAACTAATGTATTTCTGACAATCGTAAGAAGAGGCGAGCCTCAGGTAGTCTGGATCACAGAGGACAGGTCCTTAATGGTTAAATTAGAGGGTGGAGGCCCCAGCAGAGCAGGGCTGAGGGAGGGGCACTTTCTAGAAATGACATGCTGTTTGGAAATATTTGGATCCCATCAGCCCCATTGAGAGAATCATGCTCACCCTGGAGATGCTTAAGAGCTGGAGTACTTCCTATGAGTCCTTCAGGAGAAAAAGAGAAGATCCAGGGTTAGTTGAGAGGTGTGAGGGGTGTTTAGGGGAGGACAGGGTAAGTCTGGGGGGAAAGCTGCTGAAAGGGGGCTTTTCTTTTTTATATATATAATTTCAACTTTTATGGTAGATTCAGGGGGTACATGTGCAGGTTTGTTACATGGGTATATTGCATGATGCTGAGGTTTGGGGTACGATTGATCTCATCACCCAGGTAGTAGACATAGTACCCAATAGTTAGTTTTTCAGCCCTTGCCCCCACTCCCTCCCCTCTCCAGTAGTCCCCAGTGTCTATTGTTGTATCTTTATGTCCATGAGTACCCAATGTTTAAGGGAGAACATGCTGCACTGTTTGGTTTTCTGTTCCTGTGTTAATTCACTCAGGATAATGGCCTCCAGCTGCATCCATGTTGCCTGAAAAGGACACGAGCTCATTCTTTTTTATAGCTGCAAGAGGAAGGCTTTTCTATTCCCTGCTTCTCCATGGTTATTCTTACTGTGCTGTCCTGGAAGGCCAAATACTTCTTCCAGCAGAAGGGTCCTGCCCATCCCACATTCCCAGATTGGTCAGGCAGAAGAGGGATAAGTGGTTCAGGAAATGAAGATTGGGGAGTAGAAAACATTGGGAGTCAGAGGCCCAGTTTTCTTTCATAGCCATTATTAGTTGGAAATATGTACCAATTTCTCTGTGACCTATGGCATGTCTCGCTGAGCAGAAGAATGTGTTTCTCAAAGATAGGTAAACACCATGGGAATGTTAAAGTACCACCCTTGCAAGCTTCTTACTGAGTGGAAGCTGCCTTTGAAGTGGACTGGGTCTGTCTCTGAGGAATAATTTCAAGAACTCCATTTAGCTCTCCAAGAGGAGGGGAACACTACAGCTGACATGTCCATTTGAACAATCTGTACACTTAATGCCCTACCCAACTCTATTTGGGTAGGTGCTGGAAAGTTATGTAAACCAAAGCCAATCCATTTCCAGTGAAGGAACTGGGTTGGGGGTGGGGGCTGTGCTTCCAGCGCTACCTCCAGATAAGGTATAAGATGAAGCTTAAGATTCTGATTAGGCAGAGACAGAGGAATCCTGTGCAAAAGATTTTCATTGCTTAGTAAACAAAGATTTGGTGAGCCTGTGCTAGATGCCTGGCCACTTGTGGAAAGTCACTATGAGTGAGATAGCTCTGGGGGAGGGGGGTGCCAGGAGATTACACACTGGAGTGTGTATATTTGTAGGAATGTATGCTCTACCTTTGTTTTTTAAAACAGAGTTTTACTAATTTACAGTCAGCTATAGGAAAACTTCAAGATAAATTTAAGAGGAAGGTGAAGATAAGTGCAGTGTGCTCTGAAATGGCCATAGAGGTCAAGAGAGAAAAACATCAGTGACTCTTACCCAGGTCTGAGATTTTTAAAAAATCAGTGGGTGGGGGAGTGGAGACAGGAGGTGTGAGAGGGTGGGAAGAGATTCAGGAAAGACCACTAGAGCAATGGGATTTGACATGGAATTAAAAGACTGAGTCTTATGGTTAAAACCAGATTGAAGCTGGTGGGACGAGGAGAGGTGGGTGGAGAGAGCGGCATGAGCAGAGGCATGGAGCCAGAAAAGTTCAGGTCATTTGGTTTTTCTAGGGTGCTGACTGTGTGTAAGGGCAGAATGAGAAATAAGAGTAGAAAGCGAGATTTGCACCAGGTAGTGAGAGGGCCTCGAGCATCAGGCCAAGAGATGAGTACAGCCAGCCCTCCATATCCATGGTTTTCTGCATCTGTGGATTTAGCCAACTGTGGATAGAAATATTTGGGGGAAAAAATAACAAAACAACAATAAAAAATAATGTAAATAAAAATACAGTGTAACAATTACTTACATATAGCATTTACATTGTATCAGGTATTATAAGTAAACTAGAGATGATTTAGAATATACAAGATGTGTGTAGGTTATATGCAATGTTATTTCATGTCAGGGACTTGAACATCCACAGGTTTTGATATCCAAATGGTGTTCTGGAACCAATCCCTAGTGGATACTGAGGGATGACTCCTGGATATGCTATCAAGGCAGTATCTCAGAATCCTTTAAACGGGCTGGAAGACAGCTTTACCAGTCTAATGAATCACCTCTTCTTTATGGCTCCTTCTGAGCGTATCCCAAACCAGAGAGGTCAGCAGTGCTGGGCGATTCTTCACAGGATATTTATGTCCTGTTAACATGCAGCATTTCTGGGCAGCCTTATGGGCTCCACTGTTTCCTCCTGGCCAAGAAATACAAAATCACCTGGGCAAAGCTGGGCTTAATTGAGGTTGGCTGTGTGGGCTCGTAAGCCAGTGTCTCTTTGCATCGAGAGGAGTTTCATTTGCTGATATCACCTGTGCAGATAAAGGTTGCAGGTGCTTACAATGGCCCAGGGATCTACATCTATCCAAGATCTAGGTGCTGTGGGCCAGTTCTCTAGTGTGACTGAAATGCAAAAGCCCTGCTACATTTTAAATTTGAAAAAACTTAAAGGCAATTGAGGTCTTATTGGAAAGAATTCAGAAGATCAAGGTTTGCTTACGTCCTAAACATTAACAGGGCCCTTTATGTGTAACCCTTCAATGTTGTTTCTTAGTGATACTGTACTTGGTTTCTGTGGATATCACTCTGTAAAGAGAAACTCCAAAAGTGTTTCCCCCAGTGATTGGCCCTAAACCCAGGGCCTTGGCAGGCTTTCCTGGAATAGGGCATTAGTTAATGGCTGCTCCCCACCCTATCCCTGACCAGTGCCTGTAGCCGGCTTTGCCATATCCTGTTCTTGCTGATTTTTTTCTTTGTTGTCCTTGGACCCCCGGGAGGTGGGGAACTCTGCTCTGAAGGCTCTGAAGGTGCTTGGGCCTAGCTCACCTCTTCACTGTGAGACCTGGGGAGGGAGAAGGAAGGCTGTCGGGTGGGAGCCCCTCAGGCTGCTCCTGGAAAGAAGTGCAGGACCACAGATGGGCTCAGGTTCAGGAGTCAGCAGATCCAGCTTCAAGCCCCAGCTCCTCCATCTCCACCTCGGTGCATGGACTACCTCAGTAAGCTCACTGTTATTATTCTTATTTGTGAAACTGAGGCAGTTAGATCTGTGTTTCAGAGTGTTTTACCAATTAGAGATGTGTTTAACTGCCTAGCACAGTTCCTAGCATGCATAAAGTGTTGACTAAATGGTAGATATTAATGTTACTATCTTGCTTGGAGCTGCAGAGAATGGGAACTGAGGACTGGAGTGTGTTCAGACCTTATGAAATGCAGAGCTCAGGCCGGGTGCGGTGGCTCACACCTGTAATCCCAGCACTTTGGGAGGCCAAGGCAGGTGGATTACCTGAGGTCAGGAGTTCGAGACCAGCCTGGCCAACATGGTGAAACCCCCTCTCTACTAAAAATACAAAAACTAGCCGGGTATGGTAGAATGTGTCAGTAGTCCCACCCACTCAGCAGGCTGAGGCAAGAGAATTGCTTGAACCCAGGAGGCGGAGGTTGCAGTGAGCGGAGATCACACCACTGCACCTCAGCCTGAGCGACACAGTGAGACTCTGTCTAAAAAAAAAAAAAAACAAAACAGAGCTCTTTGCAGGAGGTTCTTTGTTGTTTGGTGGTAGCAGAGTCACGGGGAACCCCTGGAGTTCAAACCCTTCAACTGGTGATCCTCCTGCACAGCTCTGCCTCACTGCAGGGATGGGAGAGCCCACCCAGCCTGAGAAAGTCAGGCAGGCACCTTCCCCACTGTTCTCATTTGAGAAATTAATGAGCTTTCTGTTGAACTCCCTGAGAGGAGAAGAGAGGTTGGAGAGAAATCTACAGCCTTCTCTACAATTTGTTTTTCAAATATATTCTTCCACATAATGGCCAGCAAATGGCTGGTTGGTTGAGATGATGTTCTCCAGTTGGGGAACATGTATGGCTAATAGATTTGGGAGTCATTTTCTCCAAATACAGACTGCTCCTTATTGTGGGTTAATGCAGCCCTGTTGAACTACCCTGAGCAACATGACTTCTGAAAGATGGCCTGGTTAAGGTAAACCTCTGTGATCATATCTGTTAATGACACTAGCATTCTCCCTATTTTCTATTGTATTTTTGGTGACAAAGAAGTCATAGAGTTTGCCTTTAAAAGAGCTCAGCCTAAGAGGAGATCTGAATCCAAACTTCAGTAGTTATTTTCTGTGTTCTCCAGTCAAGTCAAAGCACTCTTTGTTGTCTTAATGATGCTTGGGACATAATAGAGGGCAAACTGAGAAGGTGTACGTAAATAAAATTTTAAAAATATACAGATAAGGAGTGGGAAATTCACCCACATCCCTCCATGCATACTTAACCTCTGTTAACATTCAATACATATCCAAATTCGGAGTCTTAGTGTATTTACTGATTATAATTTGCTTTTCTTACCTAATAACTGCACGTTGTGGATATCTTACCATGGCAGCATCAATAAGACCTGGATTCAGATCGTCATTCTAAAAAGGCTGAGTATTCTCTTGTATGGCTATATCATAAGGTTGGTTAGTTTGTTGTTGTTGAAACTTCTCCAACCATTAGATACTGCACAGGGCATTTTCCACCTGCCCTTCAGGTCCAGTTCCTACCCTTTTCTATCTGCTTATGTGTCGTGCATTAATAGGCCAAGGGGTTGTTGGATTGGTTTTGTCCCTCTACTGAAAGCCACCACTCCTGGGAGGGACCTTCTCCCAATAGCTGTTCTCTCTGGGTTCTAGTAAACAGTCCTTCCCTTTGACCCTTCTGACCTAAGGCTCCTCACTGTGACTAGCTCCCCTCCCTGCACCTTACCCAAACCTGTGTAAATAATCCCATTACTAAGTTCCTTCAGGTGCACAATTTGTGCCGTCTTTTCCTGCAGGGACCCTGAGTGATACAGCAGTTTTTGGCACTGTTTCTATCAACTCTGAGCAAGCATAGATGGCTGTATGCTGGAGCAGTAAACATGACTCTAGCATGTAAATTGTAAATTAATCTTCATTTGCAAATGAACTGAAAGGCTTAGATATTCAGGGTGCTGGGAAGCAGGAGAAATTCATCATTTAACTGGAAGCACCAGAGCTGTGGCAGTAGAGTCATGGCGGGACCAGCATTTAGAAAGTTTCTTTCACTCTTTGACTGAATATTGGTTGAAAGGAGTGCAGCTGAAACTGTAACCAAAGGAGGCATTATGCCTCCAGGAAAATCTCAGGGAGAAGTATCACAAGCAGCAGTGGTAGCTGTTGGATCAGGCTCTAAAGGAAAGGGTAGAGAGATTCGACCAATTAGCGTGGAAGTTGGAGACAAATTTCTTCTCCCAGAATATAGAGGCACCAAAGTAGTTCTAGGTGACAGGATTATTTCTTATTTAGAGATGGTGACATTCTTGGAAAGAATGCAGACAGAAATAAATCACTATTGAAATGGCATCACGTGAAGCTGCTCCTTCCACTGAAGTCCTAAAATATTTCATAATATAATTTCCATGTCTTTCTTTATAATAAACTAAATTTCTAAATTTTATTTTAAACTTTCTTTATAATAAACTAATGATATATAAAGTAATGGCATCCAGTGTCTCTAAAACTTTGTTTTTCTGCACTGATATAGACATCTCCAAATAAAAATATGTAAATTTAACAAAATTAAAAATCCAAAACTTTAAGCCTTTCCCACTTCCTACTATAAGAAAGAAACCTGTTCTCCCTTCATCAAGCTGGCAGTGTCCTCAGCATCTCAGCTGTGTGTTCCTGCGGCAGAGTCTCCTTTTGGTATGTCTTTATCCTCTGTCTCTTGCACAGTGTGATGTACCCACAGCACACACACACAGCACCAATTAACATCTGAGATAAATACCTTGTAGGAATAACAAAAATGGCTTTCTGGTCATATTGTGGTTTGAATGGATAAAAAGTTTGTGATGACCAGATTAGCCTCTCACCTGCCTTTGAATGGGATTAAAGTTTATGAAAGAGAAAACCACAGAAGGCTGTTTGTCTACTTAGCATAAACATTGGAGTCATTTAAAACTTGGCTAAAGGCTTAAATGATAAATTTGTGTTTTGTAATCAGCTTTCATAAATATTAAATAAGTGGGAGATGGGTGAAGAGCAGGGACATGCTTTGTATGCATTTTGTATAAGATGAGAATAATTTCTGGCACAGGATTTTGGGAATGTCCTGGCTTTGTCTGAAATGGTAGCTGAGGAAACCCTTGGCTCTTGAATCCTTTTCCTGAGAAGTGAAGTGGCAGCAACTGGGAGGGCACCCTTTCAGGCCAAGTCCAGAAGTGGCCTCGCCACCTCGCCCTTTCCAGCTCTTTCTCATTAGAGGCATGATGTCATCAAGAGACAAGCTGATTGGTTCAACTCCATAGAGGCTTTGGCTGCTTTTAACCCTTGGGGGTTAGGTGTGCAAAAAGAAGAATGTAAAATAAGGAGATTTGCATTTCCACTGATGATGACTAAATTTCCCACGCCATATTCTGCAATGTGCATTGTTCCTCTTTATGTAAACAAGCATGCTGTGTAGTCTTTTGTGCTGAGCAAAGCCCTCCCGCCCTGAACAAGAATGTGACACTCCTACCTCTGGGGAAAGATTAGGACCTGGAGTGTCTATTTAAGTTGTTTCCAAGTATACAGAGTAGTCACAAC
Organism: Homo sapiens; assembly: GCF_000001405.40. Classification (NCBI taxonomy): domain Eukaryota; kingdom Metazoa; phylum Chordata; class Mammalia; order Primates; family Hominidae; genus Homo; species Homo sapiens. Next base: position 35,025,075 of record NC_000006.12, read on the forward strand.
TGTTATCCTAGATGAAACACCCTTTATATTTCCATTGGCTTTAGGTGGTCTGGTAATATTGAGGTAATTTGTTCATATTTTTAAAATAATCTCATTTATTTTATAGGCAGCCCTAAATAAACAGTTTTGGCCTTTCTATCAAAGTGATTTTTGTTAGCCTAGATTATATATGTGTATACACACACACACACACACACGCATATATGTATGCGATGTGTGTGTGTGTGTGTATTTATGTATGTTTATATGCATTTCCATGGCCTTGATGCTAACAGGAGAAACTCCACGGTGTTGTGAATGAGCGGGAGTTAGTCCTGGCTCTGCAATTGACTGGTGATGAGAAAACTGGTGTGTTCAGCACCTCTCTCTCCCGCTTGCTGGTCCCTTGCTGCCATCACGTCTCTAACTGGACAGGTGCTGGAAAGCGGGGTTGGGGGAGTGGGGGAATGCACCCTCCCTGCTGCTGCCACTTCACTTCCCACCGATGCATTTCCCCATTGCTGCTGTCCCTATCTGTTACTCATCTGTTTCCCTCTTTCTTTTTGCCTTTGCTCTTTCTCCCCTTTTCTTCTATGCTTTTTTGTCTTTTTTTCTTCCTCCCTACTTTTCTCATTCATTTTTCCTTTTCATTCTTATTTTTACAGGTGGAGTTAAGGATAGGCTTCTCTTCTAGCCTCTCAGCCCTCTGTACCAGAGGGATTTTGCTTTTATTTTTTCTTTTTAACATTTTTTCCAGGGTTGACCCACATTTCTATTCTGCACCAGCATTTCTGCCACTCGTGGTATCCGCAGGCCACCACACCCACCGCCAGCCCCAGTCCCCCACTAAACAGCCTGGTTCCCTTTAGCTGCAGCAAGAGGGCACCATCAAGCACCAGGGAGGGAGCTGGGGTATTTGCAAAATCACCAGCAAAAGGAGAATTTTCCTTTTCTCCCTTTTTTGTTATGTTACAAACTGAAAGCTTGGGTGACAATGAATGTAGGTGACTATAGATGAGAGGAATTTGACCTTTATTCCAGTCCATACAAATGCTGAGAATCAGAGAAGGAAACATTTTCTGGGATATTCTTTTTATACTTTGGTTCTGGTTTTGTATCTTGTTTTTCTAGTAAAGTATCAGTAGGATACAGAGTGCGTGATTTTGTATGACTTTGGGAATAATAGTTCATTTTATATTATTCTAAGCAATTGTGTCTAAGAACAAGTAGAGGTATTTTACATAATCAGTAATAGTATAAAATTGAAGTATATTTGTATTACAGTTACACGTTCAGCTAATTTGTTGAGCACCTGCTCTGTTCCAGGTAGGCTGTAAGTGCTGGGGATACAGCAATGAACAAAACAGACAAATCCTCTTGCCCTCATGGAGCTGGCTTTCTAGAAAGCTAGAGGGGAATGAGAATTTAAAAAGAATGAATAGGTAAAAATCGTAGTATGTAGTTGATGATGGGAGTGGTTATGAGAACAATACAGCCAAGAACAGGATTAGAGGGTGCGGTGGGAGGATTGCTGCCGTTAGGTGAGTCAGCCAAGGAAGGCCCCTTTGAGGAGGACGTGAAGGAGCAAGCTGTGCATGCTTGGGGTGGGGAGGGAGAAGCATGAGTGGTTATTGGGCTACTTTCTCTTAATTAATTTCTCCTGTAAGAGAAATTTAAAATCCTACCCTACACTTAATATTGTCTTACAAATATACCTTATAACTTGACTTTTACTTTTAACTTCCTTTTTCTTTAGTCATGATTGCTACCTGTTGCCTTTCTCATCTTGGTTTTTTTCCTTGATTTCTTTATTTTAAGCTGTTGGGTGCATGCTTTTAAACATGCACATACCCACATTTTTAAAAAGCTATTGAACTAGAATGAAATCATAATTTCTCAAACTTGATCATTGTTCTTGTTGTCATCCTAGGCAAGGATGTTGGGTGAGTTCTGGCAGAGGGGCTGGGTTATAGGTCATTGTCTTAGGAAATGCCTTTCCATAAGCTCATTGCATACTCAAGGCAGAAATAAAATCTGAAAACCAGGATCACGAAGCAAAGGGAAGAGAATTCAAAATTACTAAGACCAGAAGATGGCCAGAAATCTCAGAAATGGGAGATCCAGTGAGGGAGGCCAACTGATTGGGTGTTCATGGAGGCAGGGAAGGTGAGTTGAGGGTATGCCACCACCACTTGGAACACAGAAATGGTGCTGATGTCCTAAAAGAGCACTCACCACAAATAATTTGCCCTGATGAATCTTAAATACATCCTCTCAGGAGCCAGGCCCATAGGTAATTACAACCAGTAAGAGAGGGAGATGCTGGTGGCCTCAGACATTCTCTGATCCTGGGTGGACTTAGGGGACATCAGGGTAGAGGGAGCTTCTTAGAGACCAGATATGAAGGTGGTCTGTGTGTATGCATGCACGCATGTGTGTGTATATATCCCAGAGAAGTTTAATTTGTTTAGAGATATGCTGTGTGGTCAGAGTGGCAGCCAGATGGTGGGGGATAGGCTTTTTATTATGTAAGACTCTGAGAAAACAATTAATCTGGACCTCATTTGCACTTCCTTTGAAATGTGTGACCCTCAGAAACAACACAGGGTCTTTTCCTGACCCCAGTGTTATGCCAGCATCCTCAAAGATGTGCTCTCTGATCTCAGCTCTGTGAGATGAGATCAGATCATGGACGACTACCCTCCCTGCCTAGGGCTCCTTTATCCTGCTTTCTTCTCCATAGATGTTCCCTTTTGATGCTACCAGGTGAGTAGCCAGTGGGTAAGAAGAATGTCTGTGGCCTGTAGCTGCTGGGCAGGGCCAAGATGCTGAGCGAATCTTTCCCAGGTATCCTACTCTTGCTCACAAGCTCTAATGACCCAGTCTCTGGCGCCACAGGGCCCACCTGTCCATAACTCAAGGCAGCCTGTTTTATTTGCCTGGACAGGTGGAAAACTGCCTAAGCTCACTAGGTGCCTACAAATGACAATTTATCTGGCAGTCTGTTCTTGGCTGTCCTGATTTAAACAGGCAAGAAGCCATTGTAAACTCAGCTGAAATGTTGTGGTTTGTGTAAATGTTCTGGTTCCTTTCCTTTCCACTTTGGATCTAGTTATTTTCAACAGAACTTCCCCCAAAAGCATGGAAGAGCCTTATATCCATTATGCAGTGGGCATACAGTCCTGGTTTTGCAGCTTGGGCCCTCTGTACTGGGCCAAAGGACAGTGAAGAGTGCCGTGGAACTTGGGTGCAGTGGCAGAGGACTGGCATCCCATCTTCACACTGTACTTCAAGGGTGGAGATCTCCCAGCCTCAAGGTCATAGGCTGTTTCTGTGTCCTTGGAGGGAATATATAGCTTAACCTCCATATCTAACTGTATGTAGAAATCTAGGCAAAGCTAACCCTAGAAATGGAATGTTTATACCTTAGGGATTTTGTATTTTTAAAATTATAATACCTGAATCTAGGTGAAATTTTAAAGGTACCAAAGACTATATAGTGAAAAATAAGTCTTCCAGATTTTCAGTTCTTCTCCCTGGTGTTTTGAATATCCTTCCAGAAATATTCTCTGCATGTAGAAGCATTTCTGACATGTTAAGCATTTTTCTTTTTAAAAGACAAAATGGTGCTGTCTCATGTGTACTGCTCTGAACCTTGCTTTTTTCATGTAATAGTAATTTTTTGAAAATCATTCTAATTGAGTACATGAAGTTTTCTTTTTTATTGTTCATAATATTCCATGGTGTGCATATACTATCATTTATTTTTGTTTCTTGTAGGTGGACATTCTACATGTTACCAAGCTTTTACTGATTAAAGCATTGCTGCAATGCAAATCCTTGTACAGAGTCATTGTAAGATGTTTCTAGAAACTGAACAGCTGTGTGAAAGAGTTTGTGCGTGTTAAATTTACTTTCCTACCCACAACATGTAAACACCTTATCAACATGAGGGTGGTCAGCCTTTTAGTCTCTTTTTGGTTAACAGATTGGTAATGTTATCTTATCTTGGGTTAGTTTTAAAGTGTGTTTCTTATTATGAGTGACATTGGCATCTCTTTATATGTTTACAAAACACTACTTTCTATATTCCTTTTCTCTTTTTTTTTTAAACGTTGTTATTGAATTGATCTCTTTGTTACTAATTTGTAGAAGCTCTTTGTATTTGAGAAAAATTAGCCCTTTATCTATGATATGATTTGTCTTTTGGCCTTGTGGTATTTTTATGTTTTTTTTAACATGTGGAAATTTAGAATTTTTATGTAGTTGAATCTATCAATCTTGAATGACTTCTGCTTTTTTTTTTTTTTTTTTTGAGACAGTCTTGCTCTGTCACCCCGGCTGGAGTGCAGTGGCACAAACTTGGTTCACTGCAACCTCCATCTCCTGGGTTCAAGCTGTTCTCCTGCCTCAGCCTCCTGAGTAGCTGGGATTACAGGCACCTGCCACCACGCCCAGCTAATCTTTGTATTTTTAGTAGAGACGAGGTTTCACCATATTAGGCCAGGCTGGTCTGGAACTCCTGACCTCAGGTGATCCACCCACCTGGGCCTCCCAAATTGCTGGGATTACAGGCGTGAGCCACGGCGCCCAGTCGACTTCTGCATTTTGTATCCCAGTTAAGAAGACTTTCCTTACTCTAAGATTACAAATATATGTATATTATTTGTATATATACATTATATATATTATTACATATACATATATAATTACATATATAATATATACTTATATGTAATATACAAATATATATTATTTGATTACAAATCTATTTTTTATATATATATAGTTACATATTCTATATATATACACACACACAAACACATAATTTCCTCCTGATATTTTATGGTTTCATTTTTCAGGTATAAATCTTTGTTTCTTCGGAATTCATTTTGCTATGAGGAGTGCTAGACATCCTGTTGATTTTTAGCAACAATTTGATCTAGCCCACTATTTGATTCACTTTTCCTGGTGATGAAACTAAAGCTTTGAGAGCTGAAATGACTTGCCTACGGTCTTAGGGTTGATAAATGTGGGAAACCAGTTGGAACTACATCTTCTAAGGATTGTATTTAGAATATAGGTGAGCTAAACCTTTATTTCAGCATTAATTAGCAGTTACTTTTCATTTCCTCTTGTTTCAACCCAAATTATTGCAGCTTTATCTTACTTTTTCCCTCTAACTGCAGACAAAAATATTGGTCTTTGTGTATGAAGGAAAGCAACTTACGAAAGGAGTCTCCTGGGAGAAGCATGTGTTTCCTTTTTTACCGTAATATTAAGACTCAAAGCATTTCTTCCCTTTACTGCTCTCTAAGATGGGGGGCTGTTAGGTTTTTCTTTTGTGACTTGAAAAGTGAGGTGATGATTTCTGGCAAATTCTAAAATTTGGAATTTGGAAGGAATCCTAGTTACCATGTAGTCCAGCTCCCTTATGAACAAAGTCACTTCTGTGTTGTCTAAAAGTGACCTTCTTTACTACCGTACTTGACTGGTTTAAAAATAATAATAGTAACTAACTAAATAAATAAAAATGATCTTCCAACTTTTGCTTGTAAACCACAAGTAACCCCCTCTACCATCCACCGTTACGTCTATGAAATAATGAAAAATCCTTTCTCATATCCAGCTAAAATCTGTGACTTCCACCCCATCAATTCTGGTTTTACCTTCTTGGTAGGTCATGCATGCAGTCCTCCATAATAGTTGTTCAGATATTTGAAGCTGCAATTATGTCCTCCCACCCTCAAACCTTCTCGTTTCCTTGCCAGGCAGGCACGCCAGTTTCTTCTCTCTCACCTCAGATGGCTTATTTTCAAACTGCTTTTGTCCCGGCCCTTCGGTGAACATCCTCTTGAAATCGTATGACATTGTTACAGATGCTTGTACATAATGTACATTGCATGGTACACTATGATGAGATTTACATGTTGCAGGCCACCTGATAATGCTTCATCAAGGGGTTTGATGCGCATCTTAGTCTCCTGAAAACTTAAGGGTTCAATCTGTCCGTGAGCCCAAGTCAAAGACAGTGTGCACAATGCTTCCAGAGGTACCACACCTCCATCAGGAGGCCATACAGAAAGCGGTTCTGTGGAGTGGAGGTGTTTGTTGCCTTTTAAAGCTTTATCCTGTGATTTCTGCCCTGGAGATACAGCTCAGCCTCTTCCCTGTTGTGCTCTTTTGGCAAAATCAATGTAGCTTTTCCCCATGTCCCATCACATAACAGTGACTCTACCTACTCTCCACCTAACAGCGTAATCGCCTGCTCTGGGCCCATGAGACTTGCTCAAGCATTTTTTAGCAGCTACATGACTCACTATGACCTTAATTTGCAGGTAAAGATGCTTTTGTACCAATTTTTCATTTGAAATCAATAGGACAGATAAGGCCTGAGAAAGCCTATGTTGTCTAAATGACCCTGAGCCAGGCCTTGTAAAGGGTCACTCAAGTCCCCTTGTGCTCTTGACCAGAACCCTTCCTCCTCCTCCCCATTTTGTGCCAGTCGCCAGGGTTTCCTTCCAAAATCTCTCTCCTCCATTCAGACTCACGTATCTGGGATCCTCAGCGGCCACCACCTCAGTATCTCCCTGCTTGCCTTTGGGCTTCTCTAGCTCATCTTACTTGTGGCTGCCTTACCATGTTCCTCAAATATTTTGTGTTATCCTCCCTTGACTAAAAACATCCTTGCTTCCCTATTGCTATGGTTCAGAGTCCAGACTCCTTAGCCTGGAGTGCATGATTCACCAGAGAATGAGCCCATGGCCCAGCCTCTATAACTGGCCTTCTCTTTCATCTCATACCCTATTTTTCCAGCTCAGTTAATTCCTATACTCACTGTTTTCCCCTACACGTTGGTTTATACTATTCTCCCTACTTGGGTGGCTTTCTCCATTTCTTTTTGTTGAAATTCCACTGTTCATTAGAGGCTTAGTCACTCATTCACCACACTGATGGAGAGCCTACTGTGTGCTTAGGCTGGGCATACAGAAATGAAATTGTAAACAAACATGCAGCTTTTGAGGGACTTAGACCCTAAAGGGAGAGATAGATATTAAGCAAGTACAAATAAAAATATTACCACAAATGAAAATAAGTGCTCTTGAAGAAAAGGAGCAGAGTGCTGGGCAAGGTGTGGGAGGTGAGGTGAGGCCCCATTAGATGGACTGGCCATGAGGCCTCTCTGCAGTCAGGCTTAGGGAGGCTGAAGGAGCTCAGTAGCCCAGTAAACAGTGTTGGGGCTCAGGAGAGGATGAGGTCAAGTCTCTGTCTGCCATAAAACCTGCCCCCTTGCACTTTGAGCTTGACAGGTCTTTCCATCAGCAGCTCTTTCCGCAGGCACTACATGCTTTGCTGCTCTTGTTTGTGTGTGTGGCCCTTCTCCCCAGTCAGATGAGAGACCTTTCCAGAGTAGTAATCACAGTTCATTTTTACAAGCCCTGCGGCTCCCCAGCCCCAAACGGGTGCATAGAAAAAATGCAAGTCCTTGATTAAGGGCCTCAGAAAGATGTGGGATGTCCTGAGTCCTTAAAATGTCATGTTTTCCCCCAAAGAACTCAAGGTGTGGATTGCTAAAGACTTGCTGCGCTTGGGCATAGATAGGTATCTGTTTTTCTTCTTCTTGAGGGAGATATAATAATTAAGCCCTTCTCCTTCACCTCACCCTTAAATTTGGAATTTTCTTTTCTTTTTCTTTCTCTAATAATAAGGTAGAGCCCTTTTTTATGCCACAACTGAGAGATTCTAAAGCATATTCAGAATAATTTGCTTCATAGATGTGAGCACAGAAATTTACAGATTTTGGGAGATGTATACTGAATGTCTTATGACTTTCTCACTTAATAAATTAATCCTCCCTCACCCATTTTTTAAAGGTAAAAATATTTCACTAAAACAAGCTGGTTCGGAAAGGGGGAGATGAATTTGGCATTTAAATGTCAAATATGTTTTAAGCTAACTTCATTCACTGCCCGTTCCTGCCTCCATATATAGTTAACATTTATAAAGAATGCAAATAGAATCCCCCTTGATAATGTCACATTGGTGTTAACAGTCTTTCTGCTTCTAAGTATCATATACGTAAGTCAAGAACAGAAATAGTTTGGACAGTTCTTGGCCCCTATTATTCCAAATTAGATTGAAAGAAGAAAAGAACCAAACCAGATATGGTATATTTCTGTTAAAATATCAGCTCCTGCTCAGGTAGCTCCATATGTTCCCACAGGTCTCCAGAAGGACTTGCTGCAGCAGAGCAAAGCAGAACTAAGCAAATCCTCAGCTGGGTTCATGTGCTTACAGCCATTACGGGCTTTACAGGCACTTAATAGAGCAGAGAGTTCACATCTCAGACATGTATGATGCTGGTGGAATTCATTTGGTTAAAGAAAAATTTTTCCAAGGCCCATTTTTTAAGAATCAAAAATATTACTGCTGATCCCCAAATAAGGTCTTTGATGAGTCTCTCCTGTTGGGGTATTAACCTAGGGGTCTGGCCATGCTCCAGTTCAGATAACGCTGTTTCTCTGTACTAAATTCTTCCTGAAGGTTCAATTAGATTTTGGCCTTCTTTCATCTTGGGCAACAACTCAAGAACTGCCCATTTCTAAGGCAGGAGCTTAGTGATGGATGCATTTGTTTCACCGCTGACAAAGATTCCAATGTAAAATCTGCCAGGCCCTTGAGGATGGAAACAGAGATTGATCTCAATGAAGAACGAGTCTATTGGTCCTCATGCAGAGATGCATTAACGTCTCTCTGTGCTCTGGAAGGGGTTCACTTCCCCAGGTGGACCTGAGCAGGCTGGATGTTGCAGCCTGTTCAGCGGCAGGATCGGGCCCTGTTCCTGGAAGAGAGCTCCACTAAGGTACTTGTTAGAAGTCATCAGTGGTGTTAACACTCAGGTTCCTTTGGTCGGTGGTTCCACAAAGCAACATTTACTCAGCACCTACTATTGCCAGGCTTTCAACTGCTCTATGTGGCATTATGAGAACATAATGTTGCAGGTTTAGGTTTGCTGTGCCCTTTTTACCAGGGGTGTGTCTGTGTGTCTGCTGATGAATTTCTTAGAGGTATATTAGTTTGCTACCTTGGTACCTTTTGCCACTTAGTTTTGCTTTCTCCTTTTCAAGGAACAGCATATGTGTGTTTGTTTCATTGTAGTGATCCACTGCAAATTGTGTATAAGCTTTTGTGGGTGGTTTTCTATTTTGACATCACCGTAAGTGTTTTGGTTCTTTTTCTTGAATGTTTGTTCTCTGTCTGGAGTCAAACCCGAGACAGACTTGGAAAGTGAATAGTGTGGGATCAGCTATCCCACAGTCACTAGCCCCAGCCTTGTTTTTCAGGGACACCCTAAGTGGCATTGGGGAAGGCAAGTGGACCTGCAGGGCACTCATTGACGTTAGTCAGAGCATCTGAAACAAGAAATTACAAGATTCCTGGGTCTAGACCTGGCTTGTGGGAAGTTCTGTCTGCATCTGGGGAGCACCATGTACCCTTGTCAAATTTGTGGCTGTGCCTTTTAGTTTAGTTTAGACAGTGCCTCTCACTTACATTAATTAAAAGATATTTTTAAGCCTTTGTAGTCTTGGTATTACTCAGGCCGGTATCATTGCATCATTTGCTAAATTTTATGTAATAAGGTAATTGTGTCTACATTTCTTCACTGTTGTGCTAGAAAAGGAAATAAAACATCATAAATCTGAAGTGAGCTTGGTCAGAGGCAGTCAGATCTACAAAAGTGAGGCCGAAGAGAGGAAGCCTGAGCCGAGTGATGATTGATCCCTGTGACATCACAGAAGGACAAATGGGCTAAGGACAGACTTGATCACGAATCCTGGCATCCTGAGCCAAAACCCAGATGCAAAAACTTAAAGGGGATATTTTACAAAAAGTGAGGGAAACAGCTCACTTGACACTGGTGGCGATAGCCTGTGGGACTCATTACCCGCGAGTAAGTGGCAAATGTTGGCTTGGGAACGGCCTCGCCCTGAGTAACAGGAAGAAAGGCGTTGGCTGGCCTCCCTGGAGCCCTCTTCTCAGCTGCACTGCCAGTGGCTGAGCAGGCTGGCCGGACCGTGCACTTTACTTTATCAGCAGGTATTTACTAGGTGCCAATTATGTGTCAAGCTTGGTGCTAGGTGCTGGGTGCAGGGGGTAGAGTTAAAGGACACAATTCCTTCTCTTAGGAAGTTTCCTTGAAGGAAGTTGAGTGGCTCCTGAATTCTATCTAAAGAGGGCTTAAGAGCAGCCATCTGGTTGAAGTAGGGGCTGGGGGCTCATCTGAATGGTGTGCTTCACTGTTTGGCTTTGTTTTACCTGTTTTATGTCTTAGATCAACAAAAAGAATTTTCTAAAATACACTTCTATTTATATCTTAAATAAGAATAAGAAAACATTAGTTGTTTATATGTAAAAGCATTTTATTTTTATTGGTGTTGGCTTGGCAGGAGGCTATTGAGCTTATAGGTGGGTAAATGTGCCCCACCCCCTGGGTACCCCTCTTGACATGGCCATTGCTGGCCTCTGTTTCCACCCTCATGTCACATTGACACATGGGTCTTAGGGTAGATGTTTGTTTTGAGTTCTACCTCAAGGCTGGCTGCAAACTGCTCAGAGGTTGCCAACCTGGGCGAGTCGGGAATCAGCCTCACTTCTCAGTTCCACAGTTGATTTACTAGTCATCCCTGGATATCAGTTTGTCTTTCTGTTAAACAGAATAAAACAAGAGCGTTTCCTGCCGGTTTCCTGTGGAGTGTGGCAGGCCAGTGCTTGTTGGCTTCATTCAGAAACCAGGCCTTTTGGAAATACAGAGCCATGTCCTCAGTGACTGCCCTTCACAGGTGGCTGCCCCACCTCTCTCCGCTTGCCTCCTGCTTTACATTCAGAGCAGGAAAGCTGTTAGCACAAGGTTCATTTAAAACCCCAGTTGAGGAGGTTATCATAGCATCCTTAATTCTAGTGAATGGCTCTAGTTTTCCCTTCAGCAGTTGGAGTGATTAAATGTCATAATATATCAGGGGAGTACCAATTATGAACATGGATTTCATGCTGGGTGCTTTTACATTCTTTGATTGGTGTTGGGCATAGTACTAACTTACCTTGGCAGCACCTTTAATTGTGGCATTCATGAATTGAATTGGACTCTGAGCAGCTGGAAGGGTCTGGGGCTGAGGACTGCTGCCAGGGCTTCACCTGCCCTGTCACAGTTGGCCTGATGGGGCATCTAGGATCTTACTCACGTTTGACTTCATGCTGCCCAGGCAACTAGGCAGAATATTTTTGCTTTGAGCTGAGATGCTGCGTTGGTTTTCATTGTAAAACATCAGAGTCAGAAGGTTCCCTAAGTGTGAGTTCTCTCATTACAGGTTAGGAAACTGAGCCCATTAAGGATGTGACCTACTCAGAGTCTCACGAGACCTTTGACAGCGCCCAAACCTCTGCTGCATAGCAACATCTTTGGCGCAGACTGGGTACTTGATACCCACTTGTTGAATAAATGAGCAAACCCAGGTCTCTCGAGATTTGTTTAACAGTTATGTTAACTTTTTTTTGGTTTAAACTGTCAACATACCAAATCTGGTTTTGGTTCAGTGACTGATCTAAAATATTAGAAGATTCTGCCAGTTTTCTAGAAACAGTACACAGACTGGTCAGCCTTCATGTTGCTAATGCTAAGTGGAAAGTTTAACCCTGTAGTTCCTTCTTTCTCTCATATGTGGTGCCTTACAGCAGTGGTTCTCAAAGGGCAATTGCAGACCAGCAGCATCACCCGTCCCTAGGAACTTTCTAGAAATGCAAATTCTTCCCTCCTCCCCCAGACCTTCTGAATTAGAAACTCTGGGGCTGGGCCCCGGTAATGTTTCTACAGGCTCCTCAGGTGGTTCTCAGGCACGCTGAGGTTTGAGAACCAAGGCTGAAGAGCCACGTCCTAACAGTGTTCCCTCTATTCGTGAACAGACTATGCATGTGAGCACACAGTTATGAACACGCAAGAACCAGGCATGGGATTACATAACACTAGCAATCAAATAAAATGTAATGCAAGTTTTATCTGACATATTTAATATATACATGGTAGTTCTCGTGCCATTGGTAATTAGGCAAATGAAAAGCAGGTCATATAAATGGCTATAATGAATATTACCTAGGCAAATCAAGTTTTTATAGTTTTTCCCTATTAGCTTTTTAGTATCTGCTAGCAGCCATTACTGTTGATGACTTCCCTAATTACACAGATGTACATTCTTCAGACACTCACAGAGATACACTCACTTACATTTGAAATTCTGGCTCAAATTTCCCAATTGTTAGGATTCCCTGTGACCACCTATCTCTGGCTGAGTTTTAAAATCTCAAAAGCAGGATTTAAATGCAAATAGCTTATTTGGGAGGTGATCCCAGGAAGCACTGGTAGGGGAGTGGGGGAGTGAGAAAGAAAGGAAACCAATAAAGGATTTGTTACCCAGCAGGTTACCCCTTGGGCCGTGGCCTGCTGGGGAACTCTGGGAGACTCAAATTTACTTTAGATCAAGGGAGCTGGGGTATTTATGTACCACTTCCAGTCAGTCTGGGTGAGGGCTACTCACCTAGTGGGAGTAGGGGCAGGACGTTAATTCCCTCTTGCTTTCAGTCTACCCAGTGTACAGGTCTAGAGGGCTCTGGCAGCCTAAGAGAATCCTCAGTCACAGGTGCTTGCAGTTGGAAACTGGCAGATGGGAGGGTTTAGAAATGACAAATGCCTACTGTCTGCTTTACCACCCATTAGTGGCACAGGAAGGGTTTTCCCTGGGGTCCTGGTTCTGGAGGGAACATGGGCAGGCAACTCAGGGGCTGAGAGCAGCTGCCAAGGATGGTGGTAAGAGAAGGGAGAGGGTACTGTGAAAATAGACTCTGGGTCTCAGAGTCTGGGCCAGGGAGAGGGCACGATGGAGTGAATGAAAAATCCTGGGGCACATAGATGGCTGGCGTCAGGTCTCTTTGTCTCTTGGGGAGGGGAAAAGGAAAGCAGAGGGTTCTGGGCACTGGTAAGAGTAGTAGAAGACAGAAGAGAAACTTAAATTTCTTGCCAGCCTGTGCCTTTCCTCTAACTCCAACCCGCACCCCCATCTTGTCCTACTGTTGTTTTCCATTTTCTCTAGGCTAAGAGAACTGTCAGAAGCCCATCAGTCTGGGAAGAAAGGGAGCTTCATGCCTGGCCTCCTTGTGGGTGGGTCCGCTGGCACATTGTTTGCATGCCACAGTGGTGAAGATGGGGAAACTGGAACTTTGCATTCTTACTGAGATAGTCCTCAATACAGTTTCGACCGGTCCACGATGAAAGGAGAATGAAAGGAGAGAGTTAAGGGCAGTGAAGAGTGCTGTGATAGTGCTGATGGTATTTGATTGCCAACCACCTTTATTCTGATTATGTTCATTCTTTCCCTTTTTTTAATTTTATTTTTTTTAGAGACAGGGCCCCACTCTGTTGCCCAGGCTGGAGTGCAATGGTGTGACAATAGCTCACTATAGCCTCAAACTCCTGGGCTGAAGTGATCCTTCTGCCTCAGCCTCCCCAGTAGGTAGGACTATAGGCGTGCGCCACCATGCGCGGCTGTTTTTGTTTTTGTTTTTTTGTAGAGACAGGGTCTCGCTGTATTGCCCAGGCTGGTCTTGAACTCCTGGACTCAAGAGGTCTTCCTGCCTCAGCCTCCCAAAGCACTGGGATTACAGGCATGAGCCATGGCACCTGGCCACTTTTCCTTTTTCTGTGCTTCAGTTGTTCTTTCTTTTATAAAACAAAGGGATAGTTTTCATGTTGATTGTTAAATGTTTGTCTTTATTAAATTTATTTTGAAATAATTATAGATTCACAGGAAGTTGTAGAAATAGTCCAGAGAGGTCCTTTTTTTTAGTACCCCTCACCTAGTTTCTGCCCATGGTAATATATTATTTAACTCTAATACAATACCAAAACCAGGCGATTGACCGTGGAAGAATCCACACATCCACACACCTTATTCACATTTCACCAGTTTTGCATGTATGTGTGTGTGTGTGTGGGGGGGGGTTATATGCATTTTTATCATGTGTAAGTTCATGTGATCACCACCACAATCAACATGCAGAACTATTCTGTCACCACAAAGATCTCCCTCATACTTTTTTTTTTTTTTTTTTTTTTTGAGATGGAGTTTCGCTCTTGTTGCCCAGGCTGGAGTGCAGTGGCATGATCTCGGCTCACTGCAACCTCCGCCTCCTGGGTTCAAGCGATTCTCCTGTCTCAGCCTCCTGAGTAGCTGGGTTACATGCATGCGCCACCACACCTGGCTGATTTTGTATTTTTAGTAGAGATGTGGTTTCTCCATGTTGGTCAGGCTGGTCTTGAACTCCCGACCTCAGGTGATCCGCCCACCTCAGCCTCCCAAAGTGCTGGGATTACAGGCGTGAGCCATCACGCCCAGTCCATCCTGTTAATTTTTAAAGTCATTTGCCTTGATAAAAAGTTGACAGCTTTATAACATTTCTGTTCCTCCCAGTTAGGAAGGAAAATGGCCCACACACTTACCAAATTAAGGGGCTACTGCCACGTGCGTCCCTGTTGAAGTGGGACAGCACAGTGCTCTGCACAGAAGCCATTCTCCTGAAAGAGGCAAGTGTGTGTTTCTGCCCAGGGCTGTAGAGAAGGAAGGGTGAGAAAGGTCATTTTTCCCAGGTCTTTTTCCTTCAGTGCTCAGCCCTCGAGAGGCCTAAGTCATGTATTAGGAAGCTCAGGCTTCTGTAACAAAATACCATAGATTGAGTGGCTTAAACAACAGATGTTTATTTCTCATAGTTCTAGAGGCTGGGAAGTCCAAGATCATGGTGCCAGCCAGCATGGCCCCTGACAAGGACCCTCTTCCTGGCTTAGAAACGGCTGCCTTCTCACTATATTCTCACATGGCAGAATATATGTATCTCCCTCTTCTATATAAACCCTACCCTCATGAATTCCTCTAACCCTAATTACCTCTCAAAGGCCCCATCTCCAGATACCTTCATAGTGGGGGTGAGGGCCTCAGCATATGAAATTTGAGGGAACAGAACTCAGGCCATAGAAGGTATCTTCATCAAGGGCTGCTCCATATTCTGCCACCTCCTCAGTTGCAAAATCAGTGGGGTATCTTGGCAGAGAGGCAACAAGAAAGGTTTAGGCCCTGTATTGCTAGCCTTGTTACCTTGGTTAAACTATTTAGCCCCTCCGAGCCTGAGTTTTCTCACCTGCAAAATTGAGAGATTCATGTGGATAATGTCTGAGGCCCTGCTTGCTGAATCTGCAGCTGCCTGCCTCCTGCGGCCCTCGTCTTCCTTTCCTCCATTTCCACTGACTTGGTGGTGAGAGCCCAAGGGCCAAGTTTGTTGATCCCTGTACCAGCTTTTCTCACTTATTCCCACTTCTGGGGGCAAAGGAAAAAAGAGGAGTTTGAGATTTTGAACTTCACAGTTTTGACCAGAGCCATCCTGTTTATTTTCAGCTATGTAGAAGCATATTTGAGATTCTGATGCTTGTGCCTGCCTACACACAGACACACATGGCCTGAGCACAAAAGTATTTGAGAAAAACAAGGCTCTTATTGATCATTTCCTTCAGTCTCAGACTCTCTCTACACCAGTTCACTTATTACTCAAGCATCTGATTCTACAAGAGGCAGAATTTTCGAAGATGAGATTCCTATGCCCTGGCTGACAGTGGAGCTTTGAAGCCCAGCCTGGGACCCTCTGGCCTTTAGCCAGGGACTCTTTGGGGTCCCAGTAAGCTTCCCCTTCACCCCTTTCTTCTCTCCCGTAGACCTCAGGGATTGGCCCACCTGTCCAGGTGTCTGCCTCCACTGTGTCTTCCCTCTTCCCTCGTATCCCAGAACTCTGGGGAAGGAATAATGTTTTCCAGTGTCTCCCCAGTTTTGCTGTGTTTGAAATAAGCACACAATCCCCTTTTAAGATTTTATTGCATGTTAAAACAAAAATGGGAAACTGAGAGGTTTGCGGAAAATAGCCAATAAATAGCCAACAATGGGGATGTTATAAAGTTATGAGAAATACTAAAAATAACAGTTGTCCTGGGTCTTGGTCAAACGTTAATAAACTAGCTCTTTCCTTGGCTCCTCTGACTGCCTTCTCTCTAGATATTGTCTTGAGGTTGTAGCTTCCACTCCTTTTCTGAAGAGCCCTACCTCCTAGCACATACACAAAGCCCCTAGAGAACAGTTGTTGGCAGCAATCAATGCTTACAAAACAGCTGAGACTGGTGGGCTGTGATCGCTCTGGAATCTTCTTGCAGGCTGAGATTGGAGATGGCCTTTGAATTGTGGGCAGCTCGGGGGTCTCCCACTGCAAAGGTCTCACAAAGTGTAGAGGATTGCATGACCATCTTTTCTGCCTTTCCTCTCCCTTCATGCCACTTTTCTTGATGTCTTTCCTGAGAAAATTTGTACACTCCATAATTGCAACTTGCAAGACTCACTTGCTAACAAACCCAAGGGTGTAAGTCCACAGGGCCTTTCCTGGAATAGGCACTCTTCACTGGCCTGTTTTGAAAAGGCTGTGTTCTTCCTAGTAATCCCATGGGGTTGTACACTTTAACCTGACACTTAGCCCCCAGCTGTTGCATGTTGCTGCCCATATAGGCAATGGATTTTCTCAGGAGTCCTCACACTACCAGCCCAACAAGAAGCCAGGGCTTGTTGCTCTCTGCCTGCCAGCACCACCCTTTCTTCAGATGCTGAGCTCTTCTGTGGCCTCCCATTTTCCTGCCAGCCAGAGGGAGGTGACCAGTCTGAACTTCGGTTCCAGAACCTATTGGGCTACTTTGAGGACATCAAGTTGTGTTCCTGTCCACTTGGCTGAGAAAAAAAGACAGAAACCTATATGATTTAGGAATACTGACATAGATGGTAGGTTAAAGAAAAGCCAGAGGATAATAACATTTAATTCAGGATGGTGGTGGCCTCAGAGGAGCAGAGAAATGGGGGGAAGTGATCCCAGGAAGGGCATTTTCTATTTCTTAAACCAGGTAGTAGGCATGTGAATGGGTCATTTATTATTGCTGTTGAAATCACAATACTATAAAATATGTTCTTTGGAATTTAAGAAACATTTCATTTTTTTAAAGAGGAAAGAACACAGTTCCTTGTTGTTGAGGTCAGCATGGGGCTGATGTAAGAGGATATCGACACAGGAACTTAGCAGTAAGGCAGTGAGGACGCAGTTGGAGGAATTTCAGGTGGGAAGATGCCACACATTTGCTGGGTTAGCCACCATGTCTCCCCCCTCTCATTTTCTCTTCAGGAAAAGTCTCAGATCCAAGAAAGATGTATGTCCTAAACAAATCCCTCCCTAAGAATCAGTTAAGGTGTAACCACTTTTAAAAGCTCTTTGTCTGTTTTTCCACTGGGTGTTGACTGAGCCCACCCAGTGCTTAGTACCTGGTAGGAGCACTAGTGAGAAATACAAAAGAAGCTGAAGAGGCGTGTCCATGTGTCTAAAGACCGGGAGCCATCCTCGGACCTTATGTATGTGTGAGCAGGTTTGCATCAGTGTGGTACAGCCAGGCTGCCTCTGCTGCAAGAATTCTAAAGCAGAAACCCTAGATGCAATCAGTCCACAAAGGGTGCCGGCAGGGCACCAGTGCTCATCAGTGCTTGTTATGTGCCAGCCACCCTCCCTGTGTCATCGCATCCTCCCCACACCGTCCTGCGAAGCAGGCATTAGCATCCCTGTTTACAGGTGAGGGTTACATAGGAAACTGAAAATAATTATCTTCCATGTATCTTTCCTTCCCATGGAGTGTTTCTAATGTATCCTCCATGGTTATATTTGGGGGACATAAGGTTGCCATTTCCATAATTAATTGTCTGTGATGGGGTTGTGGGTGGGGCAGGGCTCACATTGGTTCCTAGCTCAGACATTTTCTTTTGGATGACCTTGGATGCCCTTGAGCCTCAGAATATGTCTGCGAGACTTGGAGGATTCCCCCTGCTTTTGCCTTCGTGCCTTACAGTCTGTCAGGGTAGGTAGGAGGACTGTGTTGGGGAGAAGGGTCTTAGTTAACTGAGTGACCCTCTGTCTCTGTGTACTCAGCTTGAGAACTGGGTGGGCTAGGGGCAGTTTCTTTTCACCCCTTGCCACATGCAGATGAATAGAAGCTGGAAATTTGACTTGCGTGAGGTAACCTGAGTTGACAATGAGAGCCCATGACTTGCTAATGCCTGTGATCTGTAACCCAGAGATCATGGCCTGGCTAGTTGGCCCTGGACAGAGGCAGTGATAAATAATGTGTAAGGCATTGTTCAAACAGGAACCTTGATGAGGAAGAAAGAAGGGCTGAAAATTTCGGGAGTCACCTGGGGTGGTTTACCAGCCTGCAGGGGAGAGACTTCTAGGAAAACGCAGCCAGAGAGGGGTTCTGTGTCTCTGGGAGTTGACTTATTTGATGGTGAAGGTGGTTTGAGAGTTTCTGCAGTCATAGCGGCTATCTTGTTTATGAGGCACTGCTGCCAGTTCCTCCAGAGGCTTTCCACATGTGCCATTGTTCCAGTAGAAGCCTCTTACATGGCCACTTGGGATGAGGGTTGTTTAGTTTGGTTAATTACAAAACCAAAGGAGGAAGTCATTTTTTAAAAAGAATCAAACAATTTAACCCCAATGGATAGATGTGCACCCTTTTGATGTGGATCTGGGCCCTTTCTTCCAATGTAGATCTACTAATTTGGAGTTCTCTGCCTTCCTTTTATTACATGAACCACATCTATAAAACACCATTGACTAAAATTTCCAGTTTGTTTCTTAAAAGTAAAGCCAGAATTTGACCACTTGTGAAGCAATCTGAGTATAGATTTCTTTTGGAATTTTTTACAACTTACTTCCCTAACCACCCTTAATTCAAGAGCACATTTTAAAAAATGATCTCATTATTGAGTCTCTTCGAAGTACTTACTTGGTTGTCACAGAAAGGTTCTTTTACACTGGTTCCATAATTTATGTAATGTTTAATTAAATTTTCTATTTTCATCAACAAATATAACCATCCTAAGCAGTTTTGGAAATGACCCCAGCTGACTCTTGGTAAGGGTAACACTGAGTGTGTGGAAGCAGAAGACCATGGGTGTGCGGGAGCAAGCCTGCCCAGTGTGGACATAGCCGTCCGCTGGCATCACTTACTGAGGGACAGGGTGGCATGCAGTTAGCTCGCTGGCAGATCACTTAAGCGGAGGTCAATAACAGGTTTGCCAGGTAGGTGTCGTTATCCCTGTTACAGATGACCAAGCGGAGGTGTGGGAAGAACAAGTTCCTTGCTCACAGCCGCGTTGCTGAAAGCGGCAAAGCTGATTCCACAGTCTCAGGCATTTCACTACCTGCAGACTCTGCCCTGTGGGAGCCAGCTCTGTCTGAGGTGAGGGAGTAGAGGCAGGCCCACAGCCTGCATGAGAAGGAGCAGGCCTGAGTTGAGACCCTGTTCCCTCTCCTCACTTTGGTATTGTCTTGGATCCTCCGGTTTGCTTCGCGCCCCAAGAGCTGCCTTGTAGAAAGGCGTCACTCCCTCACATAAAACGTTTTGTCCTGAATGGAGAAGCTGCCTCCAGCTGAGTGTCCAGGAAGTGAGCTATTGTTCACACAACATGTTCTAAACGTTCTCTGCCAAAAGGAAGCCCTTTCCCTCTGGTGTATCTTTTAAAACAAAACAACAAAAAACAAAGGAACCTGGATTTTGATTAACTTGTTTTTTAGATAGAATTTTGTTTATTTTGGAACCAGATAAATGTGAATGGCAAGTACAAGCCCTGTCTAATCGCTGTAAACTGAAATGTGCAAGGGAGGAGGGTGGTGTGGACTATTTGCCTGGCATCTGTGGTTTTACGAGGACTACAGATGTTTCCCAGTGTAAGTAAGGCTGGCATCTGGTCAAGTTACAGAGGGAAACAGGCACAGTATCTCCTGCTATGGCCCTGGGAAATGGCAGGGACTAAAATCCCCCAGCAACAGAGGTAGACAGGCATTGCCTTTGGAGGAGGAACAGATCTCACCATCCATGCTTACAGCAGCAATAACCTTGCATTTTAGGATGATGTCACTCAGGGAATGAATGAATTACACCAAAACTGTGTCTTTTAGGCAATGCACAGCTTGCTCAGACTTGTGTCATAATAAATTAACTCCTCATTAGAGCCCTGCCTTGAAAGCAGGGCTGCACTCAGACCTCTTGTACATTGTCTCAGATCTTTACAGCAGGCCTCTGTTGATATGTGCATTTTGTGTTTGAGGAAACTGAATCTTAAGGAAGAGAAGTCAGGTCATTTGTCCATAGCAATGATCCCATGAGTGACGACTTTTTTTCACCTTATAGAAGAGGAAGTTGAAAGTCAACAAAGTTAAATGACTTGTCCAAGGTTCCACAACTAATTAGGTGGCAGAACCAGAACTTGAACTCAAGTTTTTAATTCATAAGTCCTTGTTCTTTCCACCCCTACACACTGCCTTTCCAATGTTCTCGATCCAGTACATTCGAAATCCTATGCTGAGCTTTCATAGAGTGAAAGCGAGGCTTGAAACAAGCTGGACACCATGAATTAGGTGGATAAGGAATTGAGCAGTGCCCACATATGGCTAGTGCTGTGATCCACGGACGTTATTTTGATTTTCTCATGTTTGCTTTTCTCTTCTTTAAAGTGGGAAGAATGCTAGCTCCCCACCAGGGTGCTTGTGAGGAGGGACTGGATCACCAGGAGGGCAGTCAGCTAGTGCCTAGTGCAGTGAGGACCCCACTGAAAGAACCCAGCCCAGGACCTAACACCCTGCAAGTCTTGAGTTTTCACATTGTTGAACAAAAGTGCTTTCAGGGTCGGTGGTCGACCTTGCTGTGAGCACATGAATTCTGTTTTCAGGAAAGATGAATGAGCCTTCAATGTAGTTCACATAGCTTTCACATACTCCAGAATTTTGAAGGTGTATTTGATTTTCTAATTTTATTTGATTTCAGGAGACAGAGGATACAAACATATTCTACTAGCTAAGTATTCTAATGTGCTGCTTATCATGCTAAAGGAACTCACAGATGTAGGGATCCATTTCTTTTGACCCTGATTAATATGAGCCAGTTTCCCAGGGTGTACTCATCCTGGGAACACTGATAATTGAGTTTTCAGACTGTCAAGTCTGGGGTTAGCCTGGGTTCCAGAATAGAGAAAGCCACACCACAACACAGAAGCTGTGCTGAGAGCCCTTCACCCAGAAGGCTTTGTGACAGGGAATAATGGTGCCATCGACTTTCCCACATTCCTTTCTCTTTGTTTCCTTCGCCTCTCGGGCATGTCTTTGCTTATTAGCATGTTGAACAGAGTTCATCACAAATGAAACTCAGACCAGTGTTAATCTTACAATTTATTATCCTCTAAAAGATCTGATCCTGAAAGATTTTTCCAGTATTTCAGTATGAGACTTTTCAAACTACAGAAAACTTGAAAGACTTGAGTAGTGAATCCCTGAATATCCACCACGTAGGGCATGGATTCTATAATTAGCATTTTGCTGTACGTGCTTTATTGCATCTATCCATCTGTCTACCCCTCAGTGCACTTAGCAATCATGTTATTTTTTGATGCATTTCAAAGTAAGTTGCAGACATCAGTACTCTCATCCCCAAACACTTTAACGTGTATATGATTAACTAGAGTTCGATGTTTGTTTATAGTTATTTGGGGGTAGGGGGGTAAAATTTATACAAAGTGAAATCCATTAAGTCTGTTATTCCATGAGTTTTGATAAATACGTACATTTGTCTAACCCAAATTCCTATCAAGATACTGAACATTACTGTCACTCCCAGAAAGTTCCCTAGTGCCTTCCTTAGCCAGCCAGTCCTCACCCAGCCTCTTCTGGTAGTTTTCCACTCTAAATTTTGCCTATTCTAGAACTTCATATAAATGGAATCACTGCAGCATGTGCTCTTTTGTATGTCTTATCTGAAAGGTTTTAACTAGTGCTTTAAACTGAAGTCTAGGGACTCTGTCAACTTCATTTATACACCTTCTTCCTGTTTCGCAAGTTCAGAGGTAATTAGGAGTGGTAAACTGCAGGAAATCTCAAGGCAGCTGATGGATCCTGATAGTGTATTTGTATTAAGTATGTATGTATGTATTTTTAAACCTTAAGTATATATAATTTGGTACTCAGAATCCTACATTTGACCACCCTGATATTATAAGACAGGTGTTCCCCTGTAGAATCTGAGGAGCTAAGACCCCTTTCCCTGGCCACACTGCTAAGGAAATTGATTCTGAGTAGAAGTTTAGGATGTTTTCTTTGGCCTGGTTTTATCCACAGCCAGACCAGCAGTGTGCTGTAATGACATTCAGATTGTGAAAGAACCAGACCGAGAGACAGTTACTTGGAGGCTGGTGGGGGTGCCCGAAGGACCAACTGGCAGATTAACCAGTGTTTTTAGGTAACTGCAGGCTTTCTGAGGTTTGTGTACTTCCTCCTCACCCCTCCCCACCATGCCTGGGTGAAAAGTAGATTGTGTACATTGAACTAGAACCCAAATACATAATCCTCATTAATCTTTTAGATTCTTGTCCCACTTATTGAAGCCAGTACTTGGCTTATAACCCAGAGTTATGTGGCAAGCAGTAATAAAGTTAATTGGAATCTAGGTCTCCCAACTTTTTTATTCTTTCAGCAGTTTCTTGGCGCTTTGAGTAAAAGATTACTTTTACATTAGGCTGTTCTGGTATGAGAAGGTCATTTGGCAAGTATTGGTTCCGTGTATTTCCTTCACGTCATGTCAAGTCAGGGCCATGTATTTCCTCCCGGTCATGTTCATGTCATGTCCATGTATTTCCTTTCTGTCAAGCTGCAGATGTGGGCCTAAGCCCTGACCTCTGAGTCAGGGAAAGGGCCAGCTGGTAGTTGCGGGGTGTGAGGTGCTTTTGGGGAGCAAGACCAAATATCAGCAACCCAAGAGGTATAGGAAAGACAAAAATGAGGGGGCAGGTGGGAGGTTAGAGCCTTAGACCACGCTCTGGAAGCCAGAGCTCCGTGGCTTTCCTCTCTCCACCAGCCTAGCCTGGTGCAAAGACAAAAGGCAGGCTTTAATTGGAGCCTTTGTCAGGGAAGACGGACAAAGCACTTTTGAAACAAAACAGCTCTGTTGTCTCTCAGCCTAGTAGGAAAAGGGGAGTTGAAAAAGAAGGTGACGATGTAAAGGGGATTGAAGTAGGGGGACACAGCAATTAACATGGTAACAACCCAAATGCCCCACGGTAAGACACAGCTGAAGTGGAGACTGAGCCCGCTCTGTGGAAAAGGGAGTTCCTCATTGTTAGCCGCCATGTCTGGTCGCCTCGGCAAGGACAGCCCTGAGCCCGCTGGCAGATAGTTACTCATTCCCTGCCATGCGCCTTTCCCCTCCCCCATCCCCTTCTGCCTCCCTCTCCTAAAAGCAGTTGACAAGGTTAGAAAATCAGGACAAATAATTTACTTCAATCCATCTTTGTTTTCCTGAGGCCATGCGCAATTCAGTCTGGGAGGAGAAGGAAAAAAAATCACCCAGACCCTGGCCAGTGACCCTTTTTCAGATGTGGAATCAAAGCCCACTCTAGGCTGAGAGGCGTCTGCTGCTAAGAGGCAGAAGACAGAGATGGTGATGAATTCTTATGTGGTTTCTGGGCCTGAGAGTGCAGCTGTCAGCAGTCTTTAGGGTTCTCTGCACAGCCTAAGGAACTGATTTTGACGTCAGCAGTCGCCTGATGGGATCGGCACAGAGCATCTGGTGAGGCTGAGGAGGCTGCGGCTCAGTCGCTCAGCCCCCGGCTCCTGGGAAGGGGGAGCACTGTCCAAGCAAGGCCATCGAGCCAGAGGAGAGGGTCTGCCACTTTGCCCCCGTGCAGCAGGAAGCAGGTTCGGCTGCCAGTGGCACCAGCGAAAGTGAGAGCACTGCCCTCTGTGGGCAGTTTGGGAGTGCCTGTGGAGGAGAGCTTCAGTTTCCTCACCTGAAAAGTAGGGTAATAAGTTTGCTTGGCTGTGAGTCGAGGCTCTGCAGGATTGCTCAGAGAAGGGATCAGCTGAAAGTTGTGGAGTGTGAGGTGCTTTGGGGGAGTGCCAACCTTGTGCCAGCAACTCAGAGAGTCAGAAAAACGTAAAAATGAGGAGGGAAAGGGAGTTAGAGAATTCATACTGGTCCAGAAGGGAGAGTGTTGGCTGCCTTCCCCCCTTCCCCTGTTAGTGTAAAAGTGACCAGTGTATTAGCGATAGCTAACAAACATTTGTCATCGAACACCACCAGTGTGCTAGCTGTGTACAAGGCATATGGTGGGATCTAAAGAAAACAGCGTGGCGCAGGGTCCTTACCCTGAATGGTTCTTTAGTGTCTCTGGGACACACCATAAAACAGTTAATCAGGGAAGTAATCCTGCAAAGCAGAAGGTGTTTCTGGGCCAATAAGGTCATCAGTGCCGAGTGGAAGAGGCGAGGTGGAAGGTGTCTCCCGCCCCGTGGCTCAGGCCTAAGGAGACTGATGTGTGTTTTCCAACTGGCAGGGGGTCCTAGGGCACCAACAGCTCCCAGGCAGCAGAAAGGGTGTTAGGAGGGAATGTCTGATGTCAGGAGCCAACTCAGTTATAGAAACTTCTCTCGTGCTCCCATTTACACCAAAGGAAAGTAAAAGGAAAGTGATTCCTTTCCCATCCTCCTCTACATGGGGCCCCAACGAAAGACATATTGACCAGACTGATTCCTGCTCTCCTGATATTTGGCCCCATGTCGTAGCCCTGCACACAGCCGTGACTTGTACTGCCTCCTGAAAGGGAGCCAAGTTACACCAAAGCTTGAGGTCCGCCTGTGCCCAACACACTTCCTGGCACACAGAAGACCCATCAAAACTCTTTCTTTCCCCTCCTTCAACTCCCAGTATTTATTAAAAAGCTAGTTGTCATCTGCGTGGCTCTGCCGCCTGGTGATGGGGGATGGAGACCTCTCCATACAGAGCTCCACCTCCCATCCCCACCCCGTGGGCAGCCAGAATCCTGCGGTCTAAACAAGCAGATGTCAGATGGCCTGAGCAGCAGTATCTCCAGTGTTTGTTTTTGTTCTTGTTTTCAGCCATATGGGGAATACATTTTACACAGCCCTGGCAGGGAAAAATAGTCTAAACAGAGTCGTCCTGAAAACTTTTTGAAAATGGAGTATTTCCAAGCATTTTTTGAAGACAAGAGTCCATTATGGTGATAACTTTCAAGTCCTTATATTAACAAACACGAGTATAAGTTTTCAGTCAGTTCACGTGAAGTGCACTAATAAGGAAGCATGGCCATTTCTCATCTCTCTCCAAAAATGTCACTCATCCAAAACCACAGAAAAAGAGGAGAACACTAAATGGTGCCCGTCCATTACACTTAACCTGCCTCTTCCCCTGAAATGCAGACCATTTCTGGGAAAGCTGCCTGTTCAGATTTTTTTTTAACTTAAAGCTAGGAGGTTAAACTGCATGAAGTGTATAGATCAGAATGATATCTGCTGTGTCTGAACGCTCTTCTTTGTGTAGATTGAAATGATCTTATTTCCTCTCTGCTGGTTCTGGGCATGAGGGTGAGTCTGAGGCAAGGAGAGAAGATGAGCTCCGGCTTCTCCCCATCTGCACAGCTCAGGCTGAGGGCTTGGGCAGACCACAGCTCCAGACACTCTGTGGTGCCAGGGTGGGGACCTGCCAATCTCTGCCCAAACAGGACCTCTTCGCTGCCATGTCCCTCCTGGCCCTGAGCTTCCACCAAGACAGGTTCCAGTTGCTGAGGAAGGAGTCCAGGGTTACAGGCTGTGAGTCCATTGCCGAGGACCCTGAGTTTTTCTGGAACTAGAACCAGCTCAGCTTGACTTAGCCATGGCAGTTCACAGAACAATAGAACAACTTCCTAGCCTGGGCAAAATCGTCCTGAGAGCATCCATTAGCATTTCCCAGCCGGTCTGCAGTCTGGAACACCTCACATGGATACCCGGGTTTCTGGGTCAGGCACCTGTAACCCCAGTGCTTTGGGAGGCTGACGCGGGAGGATCCCCTGAGCCCAGGAGTTCAAGGTTTCAGTGAGCCATGATTGCGCCACTGCACTCCAGCCTGGGTGACAGAGCAAGACCATGTCTCAAAGAAAAAAAAAAGAAAAGAAAAGAAACCTGGGCTTCTGCTGGCCTATGTCAGTTGACTAGTGGGTGACTCCTGGGGCAAGCAGGAAAGAGCAGAGCGGAGAAGCAGCGAGGGTGCTCAACTCTGTTCACTCTGATGCCAAAAGGCCCTTCGGCAAAATTTCACAAATTGTACCACCAACGGATGCTGATTGGACAGGCCAGCTGGGGCTTCGGATGTTAAGTGATTATGGTGATAATGAAATATATAATATGACTTTATTTCAGAGGATACCCTGGAGTCACCCCACCATTTCAGCCCTTTCCTTCCCCAGCACGCTGCATGGCCGTGGAGAACAGCTTTTCCAGTGCAGACTCTAAAGAAATGGAAACTACACTTTGGTTCATTCACAGATTCATTCAATAGGTTCTCTATTTACCATGTGCCAGGCCCAGCGGGTGACAAGGCAAATAAAATACGCTTGATGCCAACCCTCATTGGTGTCTACAGTGTTAAGCTCTGCGTGTGAGTAGAATAGAATGCGGAGAGGCAACTGGGAGATGGGTAAGGGAGACTTTTCTCTGAATAACATTTTGTATCTTTTGAATTTTGAATCATGTGAATGTATCAAAAAATAAGTGTAAGTAAAAATATTTTTACAACTTTAAAAATAGGTTTTACTGGACTGGAGCACTCAGAGGACAACAGAGCGGAAGTGGAAAGCAAACTAACCTTTTATTGAGCATTTACTGTGAGCTAGACCTTCAGCCAGGTGCTTTATGTACATGATATCTTTTAATCCACACAACCCTGGACAAAGGCAGTATCATCCTCATTTTTATCCATTTTAAATGGAAGCTTGCCAGGTATGGTGGCTCACACCTGTAGTCCCAGCACTTTGGGAGGCCAAGGCAGGAAGATCACTTGAGCCCAGGAGTTTGAAACCAGCCCAGGCAACATAGTGAGACCTTATCTCTACAAAAAAGAAAAAATAGCCAGGTACAGTGGCTCATGCCTATGATCCTAGCACTCTGGGAGGCCAAAGTGCACAGATCACTTGAGTCCAACAGTTTGAGACCAGCCTGGACAACATGATGAAACCCCGCCTTTACAAAAAATAACAAAAAAATTAGCCGGCTGTGGTGTTGCACGCCTGTAGTCCCAGCTACTAGGGAGGCTGAGGTGGGTGGATCACTTGGGCTCAGGAGGTCAAGGTTGCAGTGAGCCGTGATCACACCACTGCACTCCAGCCTGGGCAACAGAGCAAGACCCTGCCTCCAAAAAAAATAAAAATTAAAAAAAATAGCAAGGCATGGTGGCACCTACCTGTCGTCGTCGTCTTAGCTATTCAGGAGTCTTAGCTATTCAGTGGGAGGATCACTTGAGTCCAGGAGTTTGAGAGCAGCCTGGACAACATAACAAGACCTCTTCTCTGTTAAAAAAAAAAAAAAAAAAAAAAAGAATAATAAAAATAAAAATAAATGGAAGCTTTGGGAGGTCTGGGGAGTTTCCCTTGTATCATGCTGCCCCTGCTGAAGGAGGCAGCACTTGAAACAGACATGGCCAGAGAAAGAGATGGGGGTGGAGGGAGGCGTTTTCTTCAAGGGGCAGAGCCAGCCTGCTCTGACACTATCCTTCCTCCCTGTGCCTCTGGGCTGCTGGGGCCAGTGTTTAGAGACACACCCTCAGTTTGCTGCAGGGGTCAGATTCGTTTCCCTCTGCCTTGCTGAGCTCAGGGAAGGAGCTTGCAGTCTGGTTAACAGGCAGTCAGATGACAGCCTGAGCCAGCAGTCGATTCTGTGGCTGGAGGAAGATACCTCCCCGAGCCCCCAGCTGCCCAAGGAGAGATGGCGCTTGCTCTGTGCTCTTCTGCTGGGTGTCAGATGCACGGCTTTGTCTGCCAGCTGAAGGCTGGCTGGAGAATTGTTTTTCCAATTGTCTGACCCAGGCTCCTTACTTGCACTTAGAGGAAAAAGCATCCAAGCCCTGGTACAAAAGGTCCTCTTTTCATTCCTTTGGAAAAAGAGCAGTGAATGAGCTCATTATCACTGCAACCCAAAAAGGAGGAGGAGGGGAAGAAGAGAAGGTGGCTGCTCCCCACTGCCTAGTTCTGCCCCTGGCCAGGTTTCCTGGGGAAGGGGGCCTGGATCTGGCCCATAGTGGCCAAGGCCAGATGGCTGGGACAGGTGGTCCATACTGGGGGCAGCGCTGGAGCCATTGGATGCTTTGAAACTAGCTTTCTCTGCTGTGGTCCAGAAGAGGGACAGGTGTCTGTGCCCCGTCTCATCTCCTGAACGCAGAGCTCTATCCAGGACTGCTGGACTCCAAGAAGCAAAAGGCCTTCCATTTGGGCCTAAGTGCCTGCCTCACCTTTCCTTCCCAGAGGTTTCTGTATGCAGGCGCTCTAGAAATCATCCTCACTCCCCAGAGCTTGTGGTCATACAGTATCAGTTATCTGTTGAATGCTTATGATTTGCCAGGCACTACCCTAGGCACTCAGGGTAGCATGGAACAAAGCCGGCAAAGTCTTCACTCTCATGGAATTGAAATTCTAGCGTGAGCAATGAGATGGCCAGGTCTGGCCTGTGATTGCAGCCTCTCCCCAGTCTCTGCTGGTCTGGGAGAACTGCTGGGGAGTGACATAGAGATGCCTTGAAAGGGAGGCTCTTCAGTATTTCTAGCAGCTAAGCCCAGACTGTCACCATCTCACTCCCTTCAGAGCAGTACATCGGACCCTGTGGGCTGGGGCCAGAGAAGGCCTCTCTTAGACCTGAGCAGCAGAGTCCTGATACCTTGCAGGCTGGTGCTGGTCCTGGGAAGCATCTGAAAGAGACCTGGAGGTCAGACCCCACTGGCGCTGTGGTGAGCTGGTAAGGTTTACCCCAAGCCTGACTGCCTCTCCTCTTTGTTCTTTCTTCCATTTCAGATTGAGAAAATCATGAGTTCTATTGGAGAAGGGATTGACTTTTCTCAGGAACGGCAGAAGATCTCAGGTACCGTACTAAGTGGCCATTTTCCCCACAGAAACTGGCAGTCTGGCTCTTTTCTGGCTCAGGCTTTCCTCTAACACAGAAGACAGACATTCAGTGGGTGGGAGAGGTCAGCTTCAGACCACGTCATGCTCCTATAATTCAGTCTCCAATACCTAGACAGCCCCATCTTGCTGTTATTTTTAGAGCCATGACTCCTTTTACATATGGGAGGGGAAAAGGGACAAAATGAATTTTAAGCTGCCTATTGGGAAAAATTTTTAGATCAACAATCGTAACTTATTCATTATTTTATGGGCTTTCTTAGATGGGCTTAAATCAGAGTGCACCTCAGCGTTGGTCTCTGCAGCTTCCAAGATGGCTCTCAAGAGTCTCATCCGTGATGGTGGCGGAGCACTGGGTTAGACCAGGGGTCTCAGACTCGTAGCATGCATGTGAATTGCCTGGGAGGGTTGACTGTGCTGTTTCCTCTTCCCACAGCTCCTTGTGCCTGACTCAGTTTACTTCATCACTTACCATTCTTACACTGTATCACTGCTACTTTGGTCATTCTTTTCTAAGCCCTAGTAGTGAGGCCAGCTTCTGTTCTCTTTGTTTGAAACAGGGAATGGGGAGGCCATCTGAGCTGTTTTATCTGATGATAGGATTGTGCTGTGTTGCTTTCTCAGGCGAGATGCTCTTAAAGATGCCTCTCAGAGCAGATCTCACACCTCTCCCCCAAGCATCCAAAGATGGTCTGGGCACTGGGGCATCCAGGCTGAAAGCAGCCCAGCTGGGAGCCTGGCCTGTCTTCACCTTCATGGAAATGCCTCTCTGCCCTGAAGGGGTGGAAATTCTTGCTCACTCAGGAGGCTCCATCCAGGATTGACCTGTCAGTCTCAAGTGACACCTCTAGTTCCTCCATGGGCTTCTGTGGCCCTGGGCAGGAAGTCTGATGGGTGGGCTTGAGTGTGCACATCAGGGAGAAAGGAACATCAGAGACCACGGGGCCTGGTGGGGACGGGCTGGGCTCTGGAGCCTCACAGCCCTGGGTTGAAATCTTGGCTCTAGAGACATATGTGTCTTGGCAAGTCACTTAATGTCTCTGCACCCCTCACCCCATATCTGCAACCTTTGGATAATAGTGTCAACCTCACAGGCTTGCTGTGAATAAGTAGTAGATAAAAAAAAATTTTTTTTTTTTTTGAGACGGAGTCTCACTCTGTCACCCAGGCTGGAGAGCAATGACGTAATCTTGGCTCATTGTAACCTCCGCCTCCTGGGTTCAAGCGTTTCTCCTGCCTCAGCCTCCTGAGTAGCTGGGATTACAGGCATGTAACACCACGCCTGGCTGATTTTTGTATTTTTAGTAGAGATGGGGTTTCACCATGTTGGTCAGGCTGGTCTTGAACTCCTGACCTCGTGATCCGCCTGCGTTGGCCTTCCAAAGTGTTGGGATTACAGGTGTCAGCCACCACACCCGGCCCTGTGTTCCTTTTGTCCATGAAATCATTACTTACTCATATCGAGAAACCTAGAGAACAGAGGCTTCTGCTCACTGGCCGTGGCTCCCTCCACAGTTTTCAGTCCTGGTTCCCAGAGCCACCATCGCTCCAGCAGCAATGTTTCCCTGGGTGCTAGCAGAGAGGGCTGAGCTGAGCTTGGTCCGTTTTCGTCAGTCTTGGATTATGCTGGAGTCTGCAGAGGTGGCTTTCCTGGCTAAATTTGTGGATCTGTTTTCAGGATCTGTTGCTTACACTCAGTCAAGCCATCTCACACTCTGTTGTAGCTTGCAAGCTTTTCCAAGGGTCAAGTGTTTGCGGGAAATGGATGTTCAGGACTGAGACAAACACTGTTACCATTTTCAAAGCTGTGCTTTGACCACAGGGATGGGAGGGATAGCAGTCAGTTCCATTGAGGATGGTTTCTGCTTTCTGTGTCCAAGGAGCAGGAGCCAAAATCACTTGCATATGCTTGAGAGCTGTGAGTCAGAAACAGCCATTGCCTCTTGGATTTGATAAGTCGGGAGATGTGGCAGCACCTCGGGAAGAGCCCTCCCCTTGGAAGGGTTAATGCTGAGCTCTTCCCGTGACATCTGGTCTCCTGTCTGATCCCACCTACTAGTTTTTTGTTTGTTTGTTTTATTTTTGTTGTTGTTGTTGTTTGAGACGGAGTCTCGCTCTTTCGCCCAGGCTGGAGTGCAGCGCGGTGATCTCCACTCACTGCAAGCTCCGCCTCCCGGGTTCACACCATTCTCTTGCCTCAGCCTCCCGAGTAGCTGGGACTACAGGCGCCCGCCACCACGCCCGGCTAATTTTTTGTATTTTTAGTAGAGACAGGGTTTCACCGTGTTAGCCAGGATGGTCTCGATCTCCTGACCTCCTGATCCACCCTCCTCGGCCTCCCAAAGTGCTGGGATTACAGGCGTGAGCCACGATGCCTGGCCCCACCTACCAGTTTTTGTCCCCCGTGAACCCATATGAGTGTTGAGAGGCAGTCTGTCTCTACCCTTGGGTTTTTGGATCCCAGCACACAGTCTTGTTTTAGTACTCATTTTCTTGAACCATCCTCTATAGTCCAGCTTGGGAAAGTCAAGAACAGGCACATGTGGGGGACCACCTAAACAGCGGGTTCATCCACCCGGGCTGCAGAGCCCCAGGCTGCTGTGTCTGCACCACTGCCAGGTGCTGAAGCGTGGAGAGGATGGGCTCAGGCCTGCCCATGAACCCTGTCTGATGGGTCAGGAGGGGGCTTTCCCCAGGATCTCAGGGAGTACTGTCTTCAGCTTGGACCAAAATGGAATCACTGTTTATTTTGACTGGTCAGTATCAGGGTTCAGATTGTCCTTGGGTTGGGCGTCAGGATCAGGGAGAAAAGATCTGGGCTCTGGGGTTAGTCTGGGTAGAGGAGGAGCAGGCCCTCCAGCAGGCAGCCCTGCACCAAGTGTGGGATTGCCCAGCACCACTGGTTTTGCAGAGGCGCCCGCACCCCCCAGCCGAAGGGCACGACCACAGCATTGGAGTCTCAGTTCTGTTTTTAGGGCCACAGGCCCCTGGGCTGCCACCACTGGAGCTAGTTAGCTGAATCGCCAACAGAAGCGTTTACAGCTAACTCATCCCTGTGCCAACTCCCATTCTCAGGAGTCCAGGAGGGTATGCCTTCCCACTGGCCCAGGCCACTCTGGCTCTGTCAACAAAGGCCTTCTCCGTCAAGCAGAAGGGAACTTGCTTGGCTGTCTTCTGATAAAGCCAGCCATGTTAGGTATTGAGTAGCTGGTCAAGCAGGATCCTTCTGGGGCCTGATGAGAACCCTCTCTTTTCCAGGGCTCATCTACAGCCTATTGGGATACCAGTATCTCCCAGCATATTTAGAGGGTAATGTGTCCAGGGCATATTTAGAAGCCCTGGACTTCTGTCCCTGTACCTGTTTTATCTTTTTGGCCTGTCTCCATCTGTACTTGGGATTTGGCCCTGGTTTCCCCCTTGCCCTTGGCCATCGCTGTCCTCCCCCAGAGTGTGAGTGGCCTGCTCTGGGGTGGGGCACTTCCCCTGGGCTCTAACAGGCCCCAAGAGAAGTCCGTCCCCAATTTGTTTGGTATACTCACCTAAGGAACATCAAGTGTAACGGCCTTATTTCATTGCCTGTTTTTATAAGAAGCACAGTCATTCGTAAAGTGGCAAGTAGGGGGGTCACTTACCTGTGGGCTATGCCCTTTGGGTCTGGTCATTCCTGTGTCCTCTCCTGGCTGTCCTGGAAACTGTCGAACAAAGCTCTAGGAGCAGTCCCTCTCTATTCTTCCTGACAAGCTGTTTCCAGCCCCTGGAGCTAGAGGTAAAGTTTCATATCTCCGCCCTTCATATGCATTTGTGCAGCCAACATCGGCTATTGGGAAATCTGTCATTTCGCTCTGATGCTAGTGCTGCTGTCTCCTTCTCCCTCAGCAGCCACAGCAGCAGTTGCTTCTGCTCCGATGTGATGTCCGATCCCTGATGTATTTTCCTGAGCTTGGAAGGGGGAGGGTGAGGAGGGGAGGAAGGGGAGGGCCAGACATTACGAGAGTGAGCAAGGACTGTGGAGCCAGCAGCAGGCAGCGTGGAGCCCAGGAGCCTTTAGACAAAGCATTCTGCTGCGGCTCTGTCAGCGCGCACATCCACCGGCAGCAGGCAGGACCACAGCTGCCCGGCTGGGGGATTACAAGCAAGAATGAATCAGCACCCGGGGACACTTGACTTCATGGGCATAGAAGAACCTGCCACGTAGGCTCCTGGAGCAGACTTCCCCATTCAAGGGCAGGGGAGCTCAAGTATCCCCCAGACTCGGCATCTTGGAGCGCTGCGGCAGCGTGCATCCAGAAGGCCGCCGGGTCCCTGACCATCATCTGTTCTGCAGGAGACAGAGGAGAGGGAGTGGAGGCTGGCAGAGTTGGTCACCAGGGTCTTGTAGATAACCAAGGAAGTTGGCATTGTCCTGCCCCAAGGGGCAGAAAGTACCTGGGAACGGCAGAATGACTTTCACCGTGTCAGGAGTTCACTGGAGGTGATGTGTTTATAGTTGGTTCTTCCTTTTCCTTCCTTGTACCTCTTTTTCCTCCTTTTCACTTTTTTCTTTCTTTCATCTGTTCTTGCCCACAAGAATCAGAGAAGTAGGTTGGGGTTCAGGCATCCAGCTCAGAACATCCAAGGTCTGCCAGAAAGGGCTGAACTTCTGTCCTCCCTGCACCACCAAAATCCCCATGCTGATCGAGGAGCAAATAGATGTCCTCCCTTCCCTGCTCATCCTTAGAGGAGAACGCCAAGATCCAGAGACCCTGGGACGACTGTGGCTGTCTTTATCACTCAGCCAAAGAGAGAACAGCGCAGGACGTGAATAGACTTAAGCCGCCACAGCTCAGCTGACAGAGGACCACTTCCTTTTTCTCTCTTTTATCTGGTTGGGTTTTGTCTTCTTTACCCAAGAACTGAATTTGCCTGCCTGCTTTCTACCTGAGCAGGCAGGTGAGTCACTGGAACAGCTGTTATCAGAAGAGGAAAATGAATGCCCAGCCCCTGAAAACCAGCCTGGCCCAAGAAGGCAACACTTCAGACGGCGTGCTGGCCCAGGAGACGCCCTGCTTGCCAGCTGCCAGAGTCTAGCTGTGGATCGGGCTCCTGGCCCACTGGCCGCGCAGCCCGGCGGAATGCGATGCTGCCGTCCCAGCAGAGCCACACCTGAGCCTGACCCCCGAGCCCCGGCCCATGTGCCCCATTCAGCCCCTTGCTGCCTTGAGCCTCTGAGCACAAAGGGCCGGTGGCCATGGTTTGCTTATTCCGGGACTGCTGGGGGAAAACAAGTAAAAGTCTCTTTTCTCCCCCTGCCGTGTTCTGTGCTGCTTGTGTTGCATGTGCTGGGTCCCGGTGAACAGCCGCCGCTGCTGCTTCCCTCCCGGAGCCCTCGCTGTGTGCCTGTGTCCCTCAGCTGCATGAAGATGTGTGCTCTCTCCTGACTGGTTTATGCTGCAAGGTCGCAGAACTTGCCCCTCGCCACGGCCCCACAGGGGCTCCAGAAGTTGCATGGATGAGAGGAGCGGCGGGGCTTGTGGGCACTTAGGAGCTCCCTCAGCCCCCTCTAGTGCCTGTGGGGACAGACTTTCTGAAATATCTTCAGCACGCACGCTGATGAGGAGTTGACCTGGAGACTGTTGGGATTTGGCTTCCCCCACCCCCGACCTGTGGGCAGAGATCATGCATGTGCAGCCGTGGCCCTGGAGCAGCTCAGACCTGGGGGTGTGAGTGGGCAGCAGCCGCCCGAGGCTGGGCAGTGTGTGGACAGCACCAGGTGGTCCTGTCCTTGGCTGTACACAGAAGAGGAGCTGCGTGTCTGCTGCTCTCTGGTCTCTTGTATATAGTTTGGCTGTTTGATGGTAATGACTATGATGTGGCAATGCCATCTATCTTCCTCTGAGTGCCGCTGCTACCGCCTTAATGGTTTTTCCCTTTTCAAGCGTCTGCCGATTCCTCTCTCATCAGGTTTACGGACGCTGGAGCAGAGTGTCGGGGAGTGGCTGGAGTCGATTGGGCTGCAGCAGTATGAGAGCAAGTTGCTTCTGAATGGCTTTGACGATGTCCACTTCCTGGTAAGTGGCTGCAGGCCTCCTCAATGGCAGGGTGCTGCTCAGTGGAAACAGGCCTCCCTGGCCTCCCCTCTGGCCCCACAGGAGTCTGCAACAGTACGTAGACCCAAATCCCAGGGAAAGCTCACTGAGGTCACTCAGACACCAGGAAGTCAGCCAGGTGGTATGTGCCTTCTTCCCAAACTGTCCCTCTCCCTCTGCCCCAGAAACGGCTCCAGAGGGAGCTCTCTTTGCAGATCTGCTTCCCAAGAAGGAGGGTCCCTGATTCAGCCCTGTGTCCCCTCCCTGGCTGTGTATCCCATCAAGGCTGGGTACGAGGAGTTTTATTTATTTCTCAAAACTTGGTGTCAAGTGAGTTGTCACTGAAGCAAGGAGCCTTGCCTCCAGCAGAAAGACCCCTTCCCTGCCCAGCCAAGGCCCAGTGCCTGGGGTAGAGTCCAGAGTTACACAGCCTTATATACCCGTGGCCTCAGAGATGGCCCAGAGGAAAGGCTGAGTTGATGGCCTGGAGGATTGGTTGCTTCTTTGAGAAGCTCTCTCACAAAACACAAAGGGCCAAAAATAAAAAGAGAAACCAGGGTGTTTCCTCTGGATCCCTGCAGAATAGGGACCCATTTAGGACCCTGGGCTCAGGATCTGGTGCACACTCTGTCATTTCAGAAAGTAGCTCTGATCAGGGTACCTGTCACTGTCCCTCTCTTGGAAGCCCTTCTAGAGGCATCTGCATGCGCCGGGCCTGCTTCCAGGAGCAGGCATTTGAGCCAAAGTTAGTGATCATGGTCGCTGACACTTCTCACTAGCGCTTACTGTGTGCTTGGCGCCGTTCTTAGTGGTTTGCGTGAATTAGCTCATTGAATCTTCCCAGCAGCCCTGGGATGTGGACTCGTATTAATCCATTGCCCAGATGAAGGAAATGAGGTAGGTCCCTTGCTCAGGGTCACACTGTCAGTCATTGGCAGGGTGGAAATGTGTGTCCAGTGCTCTGGATCTGGAGATCAGGCTCCAGCCACTCTGCTGCACAGCCTCTTTCTTCTCTGTGGATACAGGGATGGGGGCGTGGCCACCTATGTGCTTTATGTCACCTTCTAGCCTGAGTCATCTTGGTTTGAGTTAGACCCACCCGCTCCGAGGGGATCTCTCTCACCTGTGCCCGCCTTGCTCCGCTGCCTCAGTTGAGGGCTGGGGTCAGAGTCAGCATGCAGCTCGCACCACCTGCACTCTGTTCTCTAATGGGGGCTTCTGAGGGTTTCTCGCTGATCGGGTTGTGTTTGGTGCCTCCTGAATAGTGGCCTGCCCAGGGAGCTGGCCTGAGGCTTCCAGGAGGGACCCACCTCACCCAGAGCCATCTCCAACTCCAGGGCAAAAGATACTGTGGTGTGCAACAATGCACCCTTTCCAAGCCAGCTTTGGGACAGTTAATTTTCAGCTTTTAGAAATCTTAAGTTTTAAAATAGCAATTTTTTTTCTTTTTAAAAGTTAAACTGAATGTATTTATGGTTCTTATGACCTAACTCCTGACTCACCACGTTCCTCGGGGAAGGATGACAAACTCGGGGTGGAGAGGGGGCTCAGGCAATGCGTGGGGACCCAGGTTGGCCCCTGGCTCGGAGTGTTGAGGGGCCTTCCTTCTCTCAACTCACCCCTTCCTCAGGCTGGCCGTCAGATGGGCAAGTGAGGGTGGTCTTAGGGTGTTCCCTCCCTGTACTTCAAGATGCTAGAGGCTGAGCTGTTGCTTCCCACCTCTCCTTCTGCTGATTTTGGAAAGAACAGGATTCCTACCCCTCAAATAGCCCGAGACTCCGTAGGACTGGAGCAGAGAGCAGCTGAGCAGGCCTTTGGAGAAGTGTGGCCTTGGGCCAAAGCTTCATGCACAGGGCAGGGCCTCTGTAAGATGCGTCTGTTCCTATGCTAGAAGGACCCTCATTGAGGGCGGCCTGCAGCTCAGTCCTTCCAGGGGCTCTCAGTGCTGGCAGGTGGAGTCTATACAAGAAGGAACGTCGAGCACCCCTCGGGTGAGCCGGGACCTCAGATACCTAGAGTGGCCTGCTGTGCACAGCATCCTGGGTAACCACGTGTGAATGGCCAGGTGGGCTGTCAGGCAAATTATGTTTTAACAGCCTAAAAAAAGAAGGCAACTTGGGAAGGGGAGCGTTTCTGTTATTGAAATATTCCCTCATTGCATGTGGATAACTTACATTGCATTAGCTACAGTGGATCCCATGTGGTTAGGTTTCCAATAGGCTACAATGTTTCCCTTGGTTCTGAAATGCCCTGGAGACTCTTCTACAAGATGCAGAAGTAGCTTCCAGGAAGCCAGGCTGGACATGTCTGAGGAGCGTCTGGAAACTGAGGCTGTTTGACAGTCATGGTGTTGCTGTGGGATCTCCCTGTGATAGGGCCCTGCGAGTTGTCATAGGAGAAGTACAGGGCATTTGTGCACATCACACAGCTCCCTCTCAGAGTGGAAGGGACTGTAACGCCATGTGGTCTGATCGCCCTCTCTGCCCGAATCCCTTCCAAGTAGTCTCTGCCATGATGGTTTTTTAGTGACAAGGAATTCACTACCTTGTAAGGAGGTTACCCATTCATTCTTTGCATTGTACTGGCTGATGTAGAGCATTCTTTATATTGAGTCAAAATCTGTTTCCTGTGGCTTCTGTCTCTTGGTCCCAGGTTTACGTTTTGGGACCACACAGAACATGTTTAAGCCCTTCAGAAAATTGAAGACCTCTGCCCCAGGCTCCAGGTGCCATGCCCTCTTATTCTCCTCTTGTGATGTGGTGATTGAGCTGGACAGGCAGGCAACTTGAACTTTATCCACACTGTCTTGCTTACAGACAGAAAGGGCCTTTGATTTAGAGGGGCAGGGCCAGGGCAGTGGGGGCTGCCAGGTGCTCCCTAGGATGGTGGAACTGACACCAGACGCAGGGAGAGAGGGAAACGTGGCTCACACATCTGCCAGCCAGCCAGCCCACGAGCCCACCACACTGCACCTGCATCGTAGCTGGTTCCATTTTCACCACAAATCTTATCCACAGGAAATGGGCTTTCTTAGGAGAAGGGAGGAAATGCATTTAATCAGCACGGAAGGAAGGTAATTGGTGGTTGGCAAATTTGTAGCTCCGGGCGTGCTAGCGCAGGTCTGATGCCCTTCACTCAGCCTGACGCCCTTCACAGAAGTGTTGATTGAATAAACGATGGTGGTCCTGATGCTGGAGTGCTAAGTAGATATTTAAAAAACCACATTTTTGAAGAATTGCTAATGTGGGGAATGTCCCCCTTGTAGTGCTGAGTGAAGAAACTGACACAGAAATTCACAATATGATCTTAATTTCTGAAAAAGAAAACATGTATGCATAGGAGGTGCAAGGGAGTGAGCCAAGATGTTTTCAGTGGCTATCTCAGGAGGACTCCGGGGGCTTCATTTTCCTCTTTGGAGTGTAATCGTTTTTCTCCATTTCCCACCATGAATAGATGTGAAATCAGAAAAGCAAATAACGTAGGTGTCTTAAGGAACTTGATGGTCCAGCTGGGAAAACAAAGCACATAAAAGAGCAGCCAGTGTCAAGTGCAGCGGAGGCTGGCAAGCACCGCCAGCAGAGGAGGAGGCCTGGATGGCAGAGATGCTGCTGCTGCCCAAGTGGCAGAGCCAAGTCCAACCTCGAACCTCTGGGTTCTGCTGTCTGTCCCAGGGGTTTCGTAGAGATGGTGGGACTTGGAAAGATCACAGAGACAGGAAAGGCCTGCTGAGAGGGGCCAACCTGTCTCTGGTGAGGGAGGAGGCTGCTGGGGGGCAGTGACGGGCAGGGCCCTGACCAGGCGGGAGAGATGGCTGGGCCTGACCTCAGGGCTCTCGAAAGCCACGTGTGGGAGAGTCCCAAGGTCTCTGAGCCCTGGGCATGGGGGGATGGTCTCTGCTAGTGCCCCACACCAGGCAAAAAGCCCCTTGAGTGAGGCATACCTTAGACATCCAGGGCACAGCTGAGAGCCCACGTGTGGCAGGCAGTCATGGCTCGGGGCAGTGGACAAATGGAAGATGGAAATGAGGCTGGCAGCAGGCTCAGGAAGGGTTAGAAATGGATACTGAGTCGGCCAGGCCGGATGGGAGGCCGCCTGCTCCTCCCGTCAATTTCTTTCTCTGCAGGCTCCTGCTACGTGGCAGATAGGCCCCCGCTGTCTTCCTGTGTGTTTCTGAGGTGGTGCCAGCTTGTTCCTACGTGTTGGAGAGAAATGACAGATAAAGAGAGGCCAAAGGCATAAGCTGGGGCCAAGAGGTTCTTCTACTGGCTTCTTTGAAACTTTCCAACCAGGTCCCCAAGCCCCTGAGGCTCCCTTCCTGTTCCTGTCCCCTGGATTTGCTCCTCACTCTCCAGCCCTCTAAACCAGCTTCACGTGAACAGTGGGGCTTGTCATCACCTCCTATGACATCCCTCCTTTTGCCTTCTTCTGCCCCAGGCCCAAGAGGCCACTGCCAGCCTAAGCGAGCTGCCACTGGGCACCATTATCAGAATGGTCATGGCCAAGAGGCCCTCTCCCCAGCCCCCACCTCCACCCCCGTCCCATCTCCCTGCACAGCACTCCATGAGCTGACTGCTGTCTTGGAGTTTTCTGCCCAGTTGAAGCAGAGCCTTAAACAGGAGGATCAGTGGAGCTGAGGCTTGGAAAGGAAAGGAATCCTCTTAGACAAGTGTGGATCCAGCCTCCTGGACTAGCTAAATTCTGTAGTCACTTAAGAATGTAATTCCTCGGTATCCCAGGAGGAAGAATGTAATTCCTTGCTATCCAAGGAGGAAGAATGTAATTCCTCGCTATCCCAGGAGTTGATGCTGCACCAGGGCCTCACCATCTCTGCCAGACTCTCCCTTGGTCTCGGGAGCCTGACCAAGGGCAGCCCTTTTAGCAAGTGAGACAAGGGACAGGCTCATTTGGGGCCTATTTCCAGCGAGTGCACCTCTTGCCCCCCCTCCCTTTCACTGCCTGACTGCAGCGCAGGCATTCCAGGTGACCAGCTGGAATCACTCAGGAGCCCTCCTCTGACTGCCCCAGGTACTGCTCTGGCCTTCTCCAGTCCCCTTTACAGTAGAAGGAACTCTGGGAACATTCTGAATGCCTGTTTTCATGCCTGCTAATTTGACCAACTGCTCTTTAAAGTGGAGTTGGACTGGCTGACAGATCCTCTTCCGTCGCTCCTGATTGCTGGCCTCGTTGTGAGCAGCAGCAGAGGCGTCTTTCCTGGCACCTCGAATGTCTAGGTACTCACTCAGCCAAACCCCGCATTGCGGGCTCTCAGTACGGTAATGTGCCCACTGTCACCCCTCAGGTGGCGTGGAGCTGGGACTGGCAGCCACGTCCCTGGACCTGGAGTGGTGCTTCCACCTCCCAATCTTCCCTTCCCAGGAAGATGCAGCCCCTGGGGCTCATGCTCATGTGCCCTCACAAGGTTGGAGCCTGGCACTGGGGCCCATCAGGCTGGGTGAGTGCATCACCCCTGGGCTGGTCCAGGTCAGACGTCCACCCACTGCATGTTGGGAGCCATTCAACCATAGGCTGAGAAAGGAGCTGGCAAGGAATGAGATGCAGTTCGGCTCTGTGCACTGGCTCAGGCCCCCCAGGTTCTTCTGGGCCTGTGCAGCCACCACCACTGCCTGGCCCGTTGCTTCTACCCGCCTCCTCCCCACCCTGCTCTCTATGAAGCTCCGGGTTAGTTAAGTAAACTGGATGGGGGAAGCTCAGGAGAACTCAAGAGTCTACTTAGTGGCAAAGGGAACTGGACCAGGAGTCAGGAGAGCTGGGTTCCCCTCCAGGTCCCCGCCCTGTGTGACTTTCGGCAGGTTACCCTTCCTCCCTGTTCGTCGTCTGTCACGCGGGCCTTCATTTGACCTACTTACTTCATGAGGCATAAACTCCGAAGAGGACACAGTGTTATGTGTGGTGACATCGTGTCAGAGAGCAAAACCGCATGTAAGGACGCAAGGTGGGAAGGTGGTGTTTTTCTGAAAAAGGCAGTGGGCAGCAGTCTTTCTCTGCAGGCTGCAGAGGTTGGTTTTGTCTCAGTCTTGTCCTCAGATCCATGAGTTAAAGCTGCTTTGGGTGGTCTTGGGACCAAGCCTCTGACTCCAGACTCACTTGGTCCCAGCAGATCTACACGGCTGATTTGGGGGTGACTGTGGCACCTTGACCTCAGCCAAGACCTCAAAGAGGAAGGTGTTTCAGGATGGCAGGCAGGAGATGAGTGGGAAGGCTGCCATGTCTGCCCACAGAGAGAATGGGGGCACCAAGGACCTGCTTGGGAGAACAGGGGTCAGAGTGGGGGGGTGCTTTCATGAAACTGGGAAGAGTTTCCCAAACCCATGTGCTGTCATATCCATCCTTGAGAGCCCTTCCCATGACGTGACAGATAACAAGGGCCTCAGAAGTCACCTGCAGAGGCCTTAGGAACTGGTAACACTTGACTCTTCCTGGTGGCTGTCACCACTGAGTTTTATCCCTTGAGGTGAGGCCAGGGGTGGCTGGGGTATGGGATAGGAAAGCAGAGAGCTGTGGGTGGGTCAGGCCAAGTGGTTCCTGCTCCTTCTGCCAGCTGTTAGTTGAGGGTAGGATGTCAATGTGGGGCTACTTTGGGAAATTCTGTTGCAGAGTCCTGGCAGAGCAGATGAACAAAACAGCCACTGAGCGCCTGATTCCTGCCCTCAGGCTGATGCTGGGTAGCAAACCCTGTGAGGCAGGCGGTTCCACTCTTGTTTAGCAGGTCCTGCTTTCTTAAGAACCTTGAGCAGCTGAACCGGGATTGGAACCCCTTTCTACCACAGCTGCTTTGCATAGTAGCTGGTACTGGGAAAGCCCTCGCCCCAGGTGGGTGACTGCACGCAGGCCTCAGGGAGCATGGCTTCTATTTCCCATCATTATTAAGAATTGGGGCCATAGTGGTGAGTATTAGAGAGCCCTGTCCCCTCCTCTTTGCTTTCTGTCCCCTCTCCCGATGGTTCTTCCTGCCCCCACCCCCGGGCCAGCCCCACAGCAGATGCCCTGGGACTGGGAGGAAACATGTGCTCCCCCTCCTCTCTGGGCCCATGCACCATGGCCATTATAGCCCCAGCCTCAGAAGTTGGTCCTGGCTGAGACCAGAAACCTGTTGTGTGTTTAGTCACCTGCACCCCAGACGAACGTGCTGAGTAACATGTTCTGGGGACTGCATAAACCACCTGTAGTAGCGGCCGGCCAGCATTAGCAAAGGCCGGAGAAGCCCGAGTGCCCAGTGGCAGGGTGAGTGACGGGCGTGCTTGAGTTGGTGCCGTCGCCACAGGTGTTGATAAATACAGTGAAATGTCATGGGGGATATTCACATGCAGTAGATGGGCATGTTAAAAGAGGCAGGTTAAAGAAACAGGTGGCAAGTGGTGGGGAAAAAAAAGAAAAACTGTCTGCATTCAGCCTATAATCCCAATTTTGCTGAAGTTTTTTTTCCTAATATATAGCTCAGAAAAATACACCAAAATGGTAGAAGTGATCCCAATCTTCCTTTTTTAAGAAAATTAATTAACT
This sequence comes from Homo sapiens, assembly GCF_000001405.40. Taxonomy (NCBI): domain Eukaryota; kingdom Metazoa; phylum Chordata; class Mammalia; order Primates; family Hominidae; genus Homo; species Homo sapiens. The sequence continues at coordinate 35,067,793 of NC_000006.12, forward strand.
TAGGAAGATAACACCGAACAGTGGCCTTATGTTTCCCCCTGAGGTGATAGACTTATGGGTAGCTTTTACATTTTTCTTTGTACTTCATTTTCAATTTTTTTTTTTTTTTTTTTTTGAGACGGAGTTTCGCCCTTTCCCCCAGGCTGGAGTGCAGTGGCGAAATCTCGGCTCACTGCAACCTCTGCTCCGCCCCCAGTTCAAGCGATTTCTCCTGCCTCGGCCTCCTGTGTAGCTGGAATTACTGGCGGGCACTACCACAGCCAGCTAATTTTTGTATTTTTAGTAGAGATGTAGTTTCACCATGTTGGCCAGGCTGGTCTTGAACTCCTGACCTCAGGTGATCCACTCGCCTCAGCCTCCCAAAGTGCTAAGATTACAGGCGTGAGCCACCGCACCTGGCCTATTTTCAAATTTTTCTACTAATAAACTTGTATTATTCAAGAAACTCAAAAGAATCTTTTAGTGTAGGGAAGAGGTCGAGGGCCAGGAGAAATCCATCACGTTCTTAGAGACAGCGTCAGTGTCACAGTGTCACGGTGAACCAGCCTGTGCCTGGGGAAGCTCTGGGGTGGGGAGGAGCAGGCAGGGAAGAGGGCAGGGCCAGCCATGCCTCCCACATCTGCCCGGGGTTTGTTACTAAGCTTTGGCAGCTCCTCTCCCAGAATAGGCAGGCCCCAAAACTCAATCCAGCAAGGGTGTGGCTTTGTCCCCGCACTCAGCTCTTCCTACCCTCCCTACTCTTGGTTAGCGGAATCTGCCCTTGTGGCCTAATTTGCAATTTCTCGTGTGTCCAGGTTCTCCCCGCCACATACCCCCTCTCCCCTCTTAGGAGGGTCCCTTCCCACAGTGCCCTGATCCCTGAGTCTGAGAAAGGGAATGGGTGGTGAAGGGGAGAGGCTGGAGGGCTGCAGGGAGAAGCACCTTGTAAGTCCAGGATCATAGCTCTGTCTCGTTTCTTCTCTTGCAAGAGAGGAGAGTTCAGCCTTGAGTTTCCTGTGACTGATGGGGCAGTCAGGGGAACTGGCAAAGTGACCGTCTGAGAAGAGACAGGCAGACTGAACATGGAAAGGAGGGTGGAGGGGGCTGCCGGCCGAGTGTAAAGTCTGGAGCTAGAGTCCAGGCTGGCGCAGCTCTGGCCCCAAGAATCAGAATCTAGTGGCCTTGGTTTGGGTGAACGTCCAATGCAAGAGAGGGCTGACGTCTGGCCATTGGTGGGCCCAGGACTGCCCCTCCACACCATGGCCCATGGATTTCATCACAAGACTCAAGCCTTCCTTCCCTGGGCTCTCCAGGACAGAGTGGGGCAGGTGATAGGGTGGTCCCAGGCCTTTCCCACTGGTTCAAGGTCGGTAAGCCCTGGGCCCTCTGCCTTTTCCCAGGCTCCCTCTGGAGACCCAAGAGTGGGAAGAGTGACATCCCCCACACACTAGGCTTTCTGATTGTGGTTATGAATGAAGCCTGCTTTCCCAAACTGCTTTTTATCTGCTGGACCCCCCTCCTGCAGTCCCCCAACCCCCACCATTGTCCCTTGTCCCTGCCCCATCCACAGGCCTCAGCATGTGGGCTCTGGGTCAGGCTCTCAGCTCCAGCCACAGTCTGCTTGGTGACTTTAGCAAAGTAACTTAGGTCTCTTGGTATTCTCCTCCGTCAAATGGGGCTTTCACCCCTGTCTACAGTGGAGCTATTTAGAGGATTAAATGAGATTAGTGCAAGGCACTTAGCTAGTGCCTAGAACACAGAGGGCTGACAATAATTTTTTTTCTTTTAAGATAGGGTCTCTCTCTGTTGCCCAGGCTGGAGTGCAGTGGCGCAGTCACAGCTCACTGCAGCCCTGACCCCCCAGGCTCAAGTGATCCTCCCATCTAAGTCTCCCAAATAGCTGGAACTACAGGTACACACCACCCTACCTGGCTAATATATATATATTTTTTTTTTTAAGAGACTGGGTGTCAGTCCGGGTGTGGTGGCTCATGCCTGTAATCCCAGCACTTTGGGAGGCCGAGGTGGGTGGATCACCTGAGGTCAGGAGTTCAAGACCAGCCTGACCAACAATGGCGAAACCCAGTCTCTGCTAAAAATAGAAAATTAGCTGGGTTTGGTGGCACATGCCTGTAATCCCAGCTACTTGGGAGGCTGAGGCAGGAGAATCGCTTGAACCTGGGAGGTGGAAGTTGCGGTGAGCCAAGATTGTGCCATTGCACTCCAGCCTGGGTGACAGAGCAAGACTCTGTCAAAAAAAAAAAAAAAAAAAGAGACTGGGTGTCTCACAATGTTGCTCAGGCTGGTCTCAAACTCCTGGGCCCAGGAGGCAGTCCTCCCAAAGTGTTGGGATTATAGGCATTGAACCATTGCACCTGGCCCTACAGGGGCATCAATAGTTGTCACCTGTGTTTAGACTATGACTGGTATTGGTGGCAGTGTCGTCATTTTCAGCTCTTGCAGTCTGGTGCCTCTCTGCTGGGTCTTCCACCAACTCTTTCCCAGCTTAACCCCCATCTTCCTAGAAAGCCTCCTTTCCCATCTCACCCCTTCCCTTTCCAGGTCTTTTTCCGATCCTGAAGAGACTAGCTGAGAGTCTAGCACCTCTCAAAGGTCTGAATAGAAAACACTTACCATCTATTGCCTCTAAGGGTGAATCACCTAGGACACCTAATCTACATAATAGGAACCTTGGTCCCCACAAGCCTTTATCTTTTTTTTTTTTTTTTTTTTTTTTTGAGACAGTCTCACTCTGTTGCCCAGGCTAGAGTACAGTGGTACAACCTCGGCTCACTGCAAGCTCTGCCTCCCAGGTTCATGCCATTCTTCTGCCTCAGCCGCCCGAGTAGCTGGGACTACAGGTGTCTGCCACCACGCTAATTTTTTGTATTTTTACTAGAGATGGTTTTTCACCGTGTTAGCCTGGATGGTCTCAATCTCCTGACCTCGTGATCTGCCTGCCTCGGCCTCCCAAAGTGCTGGGATTACAGGCGTGAGCCACCGTGCACAGCCCACAAGCCTTTATCTTAACCCAGACACCCCTTTCTTTTTTCTTTGTGTGTGTGTGTGTGTGTGCGCGCCAAAGATTTATTTCTTCATTTCTTGCATTTGAAGGACTCTTCGATGACATCCTTGGCCTGAGACTCCTTGCCATAGTCCTTAACTACTACACAACTGCAACCAACCACTTTCCAGGGTTTCCCCTCTCTGTCTATTTTACAGAGGCCTGCCCATTCCCCTAGTTTCTTGTTGTCATCAACCTTACTTAGGTTGATTTGCCAGACACCTCTTTCTATTGACTCCAGGCCTTTAGATAAACTCTTTCAACTAGTTGCCAATCAGAAAATCTTTGAATCCACTTGTGACCTGTAAGGCCACCACCCCCAAACTTCAGCTTTGAGTTGTCCCTCCTTTCCAGACTGAACCAGTGCATACCTCACATATATCGCTTGATGTCTTGTGTCTCCCTAAAATGTATGAAATCAAAGGGAAGGGAATCCTCTATAGAATGTAAATTTCCCCCACAAGAGGCAGCTTTGCAGGGCCATTTCAAAATATGCTAAAGAAATATATTTGGGGGTAAAATACTTTGTTTCGGGGCTGCTGTCTGTCATGCGATGCCATACTGGAGTCAGGTTGGCACTCGGTGTCTTGTTGCTACAGAGTCCGCTGGGTCAGTCTTAGGATCTCTGCTTTAATGATAATGTGGGACTGTTGTGCCTGAATTCCACAGGGAGGAGGGTGTAATGAGGCAGGTCCAATGCCCCTACCCATCATGGCCTGAACCTGTTTTTCAGGTTTCTGTGGGATCCCCTTGGCCTAGAGGGGGGGTCCATTCAGTTTCCTGGGGGGCTGATGGTTTTATTTTTGGTTCATACCGCTGAGGTACCAGATGCTGTCTGGCAGAGCCACACCCCCTGAGCTGGCCACACGCTCCCAGTCAGAACTTCTCTGCGGTTTGGATGTGTCAGGGTCCTGTTTCCAGAAGATCCGTTAAAGTCAAAGCAAACTCCTACCTACCCCGGCCTCGTGGAGCCTTCCTGCGGTCCTGCCATTTGCCCCATCCTGTAGACAGGGCTGCAGGAAGCAGCCCAGCCAGCAACCAGTGTGGAGGGAGAGGGAGTCCAAGGCCCAGGCCGGCCCCTCCCCATCTGGGGCTGCCCTGCAACCCTCAGTGGTAACTTAGGACAGCTCCTATTTCCCCTTTGGCTAAAAGGGTCTACACCAGTGTGTCACCACTCCCAAACAGTCCCCTTCCTGGGCCTTTGCCACTTTGTTGAATGAAGACCTCACCTGCAGTTAAGCAAAATATTAACACGTGAGATGCCTTTCAAGATGCAAAAGGATATTTTCCTTCTAAAATCACATGGGCAGGAAGGCTCTGAAGATGTTAGAGCCCCAGTGGACTGGAGAAAGCCAGGAAGAAAGCAGTGTGGGTCCTGCAGTAGCCCCTGCCGCTTCTCCTGCCTCCTGCTCTCCCAGGACGCCCGGGGCCGACCCGGGCCGACCCTTGTCATGCTCCTTCCGTTCGCCTGGGCCTCCATGCTTTCAGCTACCTTCTGCATCTTCAGGTGGAGCCCAGTGACAGATACTCGCAGGAAGGAGAAAGCATTCAAATGGCTTAGGTTGATGGAAAGTGACACTGATTACAGCCACCATGGTAGACGCTTCACGTGTACCTTACCAAGGAAGGGCACCCAGCCACGATCATGGGCGACTCTACAAACCCAGCCCCTTACTGAACTCCAATAGGCCAGGCTGGCTTCTTCCAGAGTCAGGCTGGCCCTTGGCACAGTGCCCGTGCTATGTATCCAGAGGCCTGGGCCCACATCCTGACCCTGTTTCTCCCTTATTGGAGGCCCTGGCATTTCTGAACCCACTCACCTCTAAGAATTGGATTCTGTACAGTTAAAGGAACAGTGTCCCTTCCCCGAGAGGTGGAGAAAAGGTGGCCAGGAGGGAGAGGGTCCTGGGAGGAGCATTTATGCGCGATGCTGAGAGATGGGATTCTACGGAGGGAGGCAGCATTGGCTCTCAGCTCAGCAGGGGCTGTGCCCCAGCCCAGGACGGGTGTCCTGCTCCTGCTGTCTGGCAGGCGTCTGCCCGCACCCCCACACTTTGCTTTTGTCTTCAGTACACCCTGCCTGCCCCAGCAGGAAGAGCCGAGGAAGACGACTGGGGTTGGTCAGATGGGGCCTGAGCAGTCCCTTTGCCATGCTCTAGTACCATGGCCTTGGATAAGTCCAGTCTGCTCTCCAAGCCTCAGTTTCTTTCTGTGTAATGTGAGCAGCTCCTATCTGAAAGGTTTATTGGGCGGATTTTTGCAGGTCATGGGTGTGAAGCCCCTAGCACAGTGCTGGACTGTGGTCAGAACTCAGTATCACTGGCCCGCATCTTCACTGTGAGCCCAGGACAGGCCACACGTCACACGTCACCTCCCACAAAGCCCGGCAGAGGGTGCCCAGGGAACTCTTGTTATGCCCAGAGCTCAGTGACCCAGGGGAGCACTTCTTGCTGTCCCCTTCCCTTGAGTTCTCCAAAGCAGGCCATGGCCATGATCACAGGCTGAGGAGCCAGGCCGCCAGGGGCCATCCTGGCTCTGCCTCTTCCATGGGAGCACTTTTTCCTCTGCAAAGCGGGGAGCAGTCGGACACCTGCCGGCGATATGAAGTCTGAGCGAGTCAGGACAGGGGGAGGCCCAGATCCCAGGCGAAGATCAGTGCTCTGTCCCGCCTTGGTTGCTGGGAGCCCTCCTGTCCCCTCTTCCTCAGGGACTGGACCCAAACCAGGCCAGGCCGGAAGACTAGTTGTGTGTTTCAGATGTCACTTGGAGTTGTGAAGCTTTTATCAAAGCTGAGACAATCCCTGTTAACTAAAATCCCTAGGACAATGAACTGTTGTCCTTTATTCACTTCCTAATTATAGAAGTGTCCTGCCATGTAGTAAGTACTCAGTAAATGTTAGCATGGTAGCAGATAAAGTAGAAAATCTCTTTTCCCCCATGACCCTCCTTGTGAAGAGGTTTCTAAAAGCCAGTGGTCCCTTCTCCCTGAGTAAAGAGGGTGTGGTAACTTCCAGAAACGTTTCTTGCCCTTTGAGGATATGTGGCACTGAGTAGTCACCACACAAGCTCATCCCCCGGTGCGGAGATATGGCTACTTCAGGAATTGGGAGGACCCCGCGCTGCGCCCGGAATGTGCTCTGGCAATGGTTTGCCTTTCTTTTCTGTCATTTCCTTTATTTTTGTGTGTTTCCATTCATCTCTTGTTCCTCAAAGCTGCACACAGCCCGCCCTTCTGCTGGCCAAGGTCTGGTTAGCAAAGGGCCTGTCTCCGGCGGATCTGGCTTTCCTCGCTGTCAGCCTTCAGGTGCCCTGAAAGCTGGCGAAGGTTTCTGAGTCAATGCTGGGGTTGAGTGGGAGTTTAGAACATCACTGCGGTGCCGCAGTCACTCTTGGACGTCCACGTCCTCTTGGAGGTTTGAGGCAGGCTCAGCTCAGCCGTTCGCTTTGGTATCCTCATAATCAGGTAGAAAGTCTGGGCCGGGGCCAGGGGCAGTGGTGCACACCTGTAATCCCAGCACTTTTGGGAGGTCGAGGCAGGAAGATTACTTGAGCTTAGGGGTTCAAGACCAGCTTGGGCAACATAGTGAGACCCCATCTCTACAAAAAAAAAAAATAGCCAGGCATGGTGGTACATGCCTATGGTACCAGCTACTTAGGAGGCTGAGGCAGGAGGATCACTCGAGCCCAGGTCAAGGTTGCAGTGAGCCATCATCACACCACTGCACTCCACTTTTAAAAAAAAAGTCTGGGAAGGCGGCTGCCTCTCTCTGCCTTTCTGCAACAGCAGACGTTAGATTTGGTCCCAGAGCCACTGTAGGAACTCTGTGGTGACTCTCAGATTTGGGGGTGACTTGGCTGGCCTCAGACCTGGAGTGGTGCCCAGGCCTCGCTTGTGCCCAGCAAGGGGTGTGTTCTGCAGGTGGAGCAGAGTAGTGGGCTTCCAGCCTGGCTTTGGGGCTCTCTTCACCTGGGCTCTCTGAAGCTTAAGTCTGGCAGTGTCCTCTGTGGGACAACGTTTATGTCACCATGCACAGGCTCTGGGGAGACTCCCGTGGCCAGCAGTCACCACACGGGGCGGGGGCCAAGCAAGTCATGGTCTGCATGAGCTGGCCCAAGTCACTTAGCTTTTCCAAGTGTAAAGTAATGCCCACCACAACAGAGTAAAAGTCCAGAAAGAGGCCCAGAAATACACAGGAATTTCAGACACCATAGAGGCCATTCCAGATTGGGGGGAAAAGATAGCTCATCAAGAAATGGACAGCTTGCTGCCAGGGCAAAAATAAGGTTGGATCTTGACTCTTACACCTTACAGCAAAATAATTTCCAGATGGATTAAAGATTTAGCTATAAAAAAGGAAACAAATTACAGGAAAAAATATAGAAGAATGTAAAACACAATCTTGGAAAGGCAAGATCTTTTTAAGCCTGACATAACTGAGAAGCTCTGCAAGAAAAGTTGGGTACACTTAGCTACAAAAAATAGATTTCTACATGAACAAAGCCAGCATAAAAGCCAAAAGATAAATAGCAAACTGGAAAACAAATATCTAACTCATTTCATAGATAAAAGGTTAATTTTCTTTTTTTTTTTTTTTTTTGAGATGGAGTCTCGTTCTGTCACCCAGGCTGGAGTGCAGTGGCGCGATCTCAGCTCACTGCAACCTCCGCCTCCTGGGTTCAAGCGATTCTCCTGCCTCAGCCTCCCGAGTAGCTGGGATTACAGGCGTCCGCCACCACACCTGGATAATTTTTGTATATTTAGTAGAGACGGGGTTTCACCGTGTTGGTCAGGCTGGTCTCGAACTCCTGACCTCATGATCTGCCCACTTCGATCTCCCAAAGTGCTGGGATTACAGGCCGAGCCACCGCGCCTGGCCAAAAGGTTAATTTGCTTTATTTTTTGTTGTATGTACACACACATACACACACACTTGTGCACACACATATATTGTTGTTTTTGTTTGGAAACAGGCTGGACTGCAGTGGTGCAATCATGGCTCTCTGTAGCCTTAATCTCCCAGGCTCAAGTGTTCCTCCCACCCAGCTTTCCAAGTAGCTGAGACCACAGCTGCGCACCACCATTCCTGGCTAATTTTTTTATTTTTGTAAAAACAGAGTCTCACTGCGTTGCCCAAGCTGGCCTCAAACTCCTGGGCTCAAGTGATCCTCCCACCTCACCTTGGCCTCCAAAAGTGTTGGGATTACAAGCGTAAGCCATTGCACCTGGCCAATTTTCTTATTATGTAAAGAACTCCTACATAGCTACGCAGAAAAGACCGACAACTTCATAGAAAAACTCTGAGGCTGTCCGGGCGCAGTGGCTCACGCCTGTAATCCCAGCACTTTGGGAGGCCGAGATGGGCGGATCACGAGGTCAGGAGATCGAGACCATCCTGGCTAACACGATGAAACCCAGTCTTTACTAAAAATACAAAAAATTAGCCAGGTGTGGTGGCGTCCCAGCTACTTGGGAGGCTGAGGCAGGAGAATGGCGTCAACCCAGGAGGCAGAGCTTGCAGTGAGCTGAGATCGTGCCACTGCACTCCAGCCTGAGCGACAGAGCGAGACTCTGTCTCAAAAAAAGAAAAACTCTGAGGCTATAAGCCAGTTAACTCAAGGAGCTCTGGGTGTCCCCAAGTGTGCGGCACCAGGGCCATGTGGACAGCAGCATTGGGGCTGAATCTGGCTCCAAATGCACTTACCATGTGACCTTGGCAAGTCACCAGGGCTTTATGGGCCTCAGCTTCCTCAGTTGTAGGGTGGGAATAACAACAGTCCCAATTTTGTTTTGTTTGGTTTTGTTTTGTTTTTGAGGTGGAATCTTACCCTGTCGCCCAGGCTAGAGTGCAGTGGCGTGATCTCGGCTCACTGTAACCTCTGCCTCCCAGGTTCAAAATGATTCTCCTGCCTCAGCCTCCCGAGTAGCTGGGATTACAGGCGCCTGCCACCACGCCCGGCTAATTTTTTGTATTTTTAGTAGAGACAGGTTTCACAATGCTGGCCAGGCTGATCTTGAACTCCTGACTTCAGGTGATCCACCTGCCTCAGCCTCCCAAAGTGCTGGGATTACAGGGGTGAGCCACCGCGCCTGGCCACAATAGTCCCTATTACTAAATGGCTTGGGCAGGTCCAGCGTGGAGTAGGGAGGGAGTGCTTTGGAAATGCTAGATAGATAAAACGTGGAAAGATGCTCATCCTCACCTCTGGATGAGATGATCCTACTCCGATAAGAAATGTGCAAATTGAAACTGCAGGGAGACTCTTTCCCTGCTGTGTTGCTGATGGTGTGGGGGATCTAGCACTGGCGTCACTAAGAAGAGCAGAAAGAGCTGTCAGTGTTAAGGCACGCACCCTTGATTCAAGTAAGCAGAAACCCTTCCTCATAACAGGCCTAGACACGACACTCACGGGGAGGGTGTTCATGCAGCACTGTGTGCAGTAGCTGAAGTTGGAGCAAATGTCCTTCAACAGGGAACTGGCTGAATAAATTATAGCATATTCCTAACCTAGATGATGCTGCAGCTTGTCCAAAGGAGGTGGGCCCACATGCACTGCTGCGGAACAATCTCCTGTGTATATTCCGTGATAAGAACAAGGCACCGAGCGTGTGCGAGAATGGCATTTGTGTGAAAATGCAGTGTGCAGGCACAGGCCTGTCTGTGCCCAGCGGGGCTCTGGGGACGTCCAGGAAGTGGCAGCAGCTGCAACTGCGAGGGCCTCCATGGCTGAGGGATGGGCAGGACCTGTGAATTTTGCATCATAGGCCACACTGTGTATTTTAAAATTAAATCTGCTCACACTATCTTGTGACTTCTGTAATTAGAGACGTCCTCGCAGGGGCCAGGAGCGTGAAGGAGAGAGTCAGGCTGCCCAGGGTCCCCTCTTAGCTCCACCACTAGATGTGTGATGTCAAGAAATTTCTGACCTCTGTGTGCCTCAGTTTCCTCATCTGTTAGATTAACGGGATTAACAGAGACCCTAACATGCAGGTTGTGAGCATGAAGTGGGATGCGCCAGGTGAAAGCTCTCGGCCCTGTCATATAGTAAGAAAGGAGCAGGAGCACCAGCCTCCGCCCCCACATCCTTGCATCGTGCTTAGCGCTGCAGGTGGGCGCTCCGTGTGCCTCTCCACCCTCAGCTGCTCCGTTGAGGCCAGTGGAGGTCTCAGAAAACAGCACGGACTGGGCTCAGCTCTGACCCACCCTTCTCCCTGGGACAAGGACGCCCTTTTCTGACAGTCTCCCCCTTGGAGGCTTCTCTCCTTGGGGTGAGGCTGGGTCCTCGGGTACCCAAGTCTGTCACCAGCCACCCGCCTGAGGTGGTTGTTACAACCTTAGAATTATAAAATCCTGTCTAAGAGGAACCTTAGGATGAGTCCACTAGTTCTTTATCTTGGATGCATGGAACCTGCTCCCCAGAAAAATGCACACACACTCAGGGGGCCGGGACTTGTGGCTGGGCCTGGGCAGGCGGCACCCCCACCCTTGTGTGCCCTGGCCGGCCTCAGCACCCTGTGCATATTCTGGAGCCCCAGCTCTGCCTAGCTCCCCTGGGAGCCGCCCGGATGGACGTGGGCAGTCTGGGCAGACTTGTCCCCATGCCCTCTTGGTGCCTGCAGTGAAGGAGAATTTGGTGCAGGGCCCTGAAAGGCCCACCTGACCCCCTCAGGGCCACCAGCCATCCATCCAGGAGGGGCCCTGACATCCACCTTTCTGCTCTCAGGGGTCTAATGTGATGGAAGAGCAGGACCTGCGGGACATCGGCATCAGCGACCCACAGCACCGGCGGAAGCTGCTCCAGGCGGCACGCTCCCTACCCAAGGTGACCATCGCCGGCCCTGTAGCCTCAGCCCGTGCGGAGCCAGGGCCACCTCCCTAGCACCACCTGCACCAAGAACAGGGGAGGAGCAGGGCTCCAGCACACGCACATCATAGCAGGACCTCTACCCCTCACCCTAGGAGCTCCGGAAGGGCCGCACACAACCCTGTTTGCTTCCTCACTATGCCCTAAGGCCCTTGGAGAGTCAGCAGAGCCCTAGGGCAGGGAGCAGGCTCCTCTGGGGTCATGAGGAGGTTCTGGGGGTCTGCCTGGCCCAGGAGCCTGGTACCCGCTGGCTTGGCCTTTCACCCAGAGCCCCCTTCATGGTCTCTCTGGCTCACTGGAGCCCTGGCCAGCCTGCACTGAGCCCTGGCACCGGGCCCCTCCCCGAGTGGGCTTGAGGGAAGTACCGTCTTCCCTGGGGAGCCAGGAGCTGGTGGGCCTGAGCCTCTCCCCTGCACTTGTGCTGAATGCAGTGGCCCCGTCCCTTCTACCTGTCCAGAGCTTGGGAAGCGCCCGCTCTGAGGGCACACACTATTCTCTTGTCCCTCCAGGCCCGTGACCTCAGCGGAGCTCAGGGCGGAGGCGTTCTGCAGACCCCCCCTCCCTACCTAGGCTTGTCTGCTAGGGCCATCTTCCAGCCCTGTCGGTGCTCCAGCGGCTCCTGCCTTCCCCATGGGGAAGCCGAGACCAGCAAGTGATAGGAAAGGCTGTGCGAAGTGGGGGGCTGGAAGGTGCTGAGGACCCCAAACACAGAGGGCCCCCTGGCCACAGTCTGTGTGAGCTGGCTGGGTCCATGGTCCTCGGGTCCCTCTCCTGTGAGTGCTGAGATGTCAGTTTCACCTCCCTCCTTGCCCTGTAGGTGAAGGCTCTGGGTTATGACGGGAACAGCCCCCCTAGCGTGCCCTCCTGGCTGGACTCCCTGGGGCTGCAGGACTACGTCCATTCCTTCTTGTCAAGTGGTTACAGCTCCATTGACACCGTGAAGAACCTCTGGGAGCTAGAGCTCGTCAATGTGAGTAGTCCCTGCGTGGCCCGGCCTGGACTCTCCAGAAGTCTGAGCTTCCCTTAGGGGCAGCCTGGCCCAGCGGAAGATGCTGGGGGCTGGAGCGGACTGTGAGTGAGTTGGCCACCTGACCTGTCACCTCGCTGCTCCTCATCACCCAGGTCCTGAAGGTCCAGCTGCTCGGCCATCGCAAGCGCATCATCGCCTCCCTCGCAGACAGACCGTACGAGGAGCCGCCCCAGAAGCCCCCCAGATTCTCCCAGCTGAGGGTGAGTCGGGGAGGGACAGAAAGGAATGTATGTTTGTTCCCTGTATTTGCAGGAATTACATAGAATTCTTTAGGATTCTTCAGAGACCACTGTAGTGTAGGAGAAAGCAGCTCCAACAAGAAGAGAGGAGTACAGGAGAGGAGGTTTAGAGAAGTTCCCCGCCACCTGTTTCTACTTGGGGATGGCCGATCAAACACATAAAACTTGGGGGATAGTAGGAAAACACCAGGCCATGGCTGGGTATTGAACTCAGCTCTGTGCCTGGGGACAGGGAGGGGCCGAGTCAGGTAACACCTGAGACAAATCCAAAAGGCCAGGACTCACAGCCACCTGGGCACCCCCCAAATCTGAGTTCGAATTCCCAGGCTGGGGTGGCTAAGACAGCTTGCATTTTAAAAACCTCACCCATGATCTGTTGCTCCTGCCGGTAATTCCTGACAACAGAAACGGGTTAGACTCAGAGCCTGCAGCTGAGGAAGAGCTCTCCCCCAGCCCCAGGCCAGAACATGCAGGAATGGCGGTAACTAGAGCAGCCGCTCCCCGAGCCCTCGGGTGCACTGGGCCTGCCCCGCAGGTCTCACCCCATTGAACCCTCAGGGGCTTCGTGAAGTGGGTCCTGTTCATCCTCCTTTTACAGATGAGAAAGTGGAGGCCCAGCCTTGCTCTGGGAACCAAACACACAACTGACATTCAGATATAGACACTGAGAAGCCAGGATTGTATTCTGTTGGGGACGGTGGCTTTAGGGCCCTGACTGACAGGGCTCCATTTTTTCTCAAGGGGGTGCTTTGTTTGGTCATGTGCAGAGGCCTGCAATGGATCAGGACAGAAGATTTAATCTTTTATAAATGCAAAAGTGGCTTCCCCGCCCTCTCGGGGGACACTAGTGGACGGTGGCTGCGTGGTGCCACCTGTCTGACACCCCTGTGGTGTTGGCCCCTTCGCTCCCTGCTGCTTCTCCCGGTGCCGCTGCCTGTGCCGTCCTAACCAGTGGGGCTGGCTGATACCTGTAGTCGGGCACTGGGCCGAGGGTTGCAAGTTCCACCTGGATTTTTCCCTCCACAGTGCCAAGATTTGCTCTCCCAGACGTCATCCCCACTGAGTCAGAATGATTCCTGCACTGGGCGGTCGGCAGATCTGCTGCTGCCTCCAGGGGACACAGGCAGGAGGCGCCATGACAGTCTCCATGACCCTGCGGCACCCTCCCGAGCGGAGCGCTTCAGGATCCAGGTGGGGCAGGGGGAGTGGAGGTGCAGCCAGGCTCTACCTCATTCCTCTGGGTGGGACAGGGCCTCCCAGAACCACCTGCTGCCCCATACTTGAGCACAGTTGGGCTGGCACCAGAGTCAGGAGGCACTAGCCTGCTCTGCTCGCCCACACCCAGCCGCCTTGCGTAAGGCCCACCCAGCACCCATGGTGCCGAGCTCGGGCCGCACAACTCACTTTAGCTGTCAGCTGCTGGGGCCACTCCTGTGTCCTGTACTTCCCTCCCTCAGGGGTTCAGATCCCCTGTCCGCTCTTTCTCTGTGGCCTCTTGCGTCCTGCACTGCCTCCCCTGCTGGCCCCAGAGCCCTCTGTGCTCTCCTGGCCTCTGAGCTCCTTCTTGGCCCCTTCCTTCTCTGCTTACCCACGTTGTTCCCCAGAACTGCTTTCCCTGCAGCTTCACCTCGGCAGCATTCTCTTCCTCCTGCTCAGCAAAACCACAGCCAGACCAGATTCTGTTCTTCCTGTTCTCTGCCTGCAGCCCCGTGGGGGGCACCGCTGGAGACGCCTCCTCCGCTCCCGGTGCCCGCTCCAGCCCTGGCGGAGGTGGGCCCGTCTCACACTCCTGGCTCACCTTCTCAGGGCATCATTTCCAGGGGTCCTGGATTTACTCAGGACCTGCCTGTCCTGCCTCCCTCCTTGTACGGACCTTGGCTTTGTCCTTTGTCCTCTTCTTGGCCTGTCAGACACAGGATTAGCAGGTGTCCCTCAGGCCCCTCCGGGTGAACTTCAGCTTCACCCCTGCTTGTTTCTCTGACTCTCACTTCTCACTTCTGGCTCTGGGGACTTCCTTTCCCTTTCTACAAGCACAGCCATGAGTTTTAAAGGATTTTTAAACACATTGTCCAGCAATTCCGGTTGCTGTTGAGAGGCTCTGCGCACTGCTGGGAAGGGAGGGCCTCCGTGTTTCCTGAATCTTTTCCTTCCTCTCCATTCCTTCCACCAGTGCCCTGGACAGGGACCCATGATCTCTCACCTGGACCGCAGTGGCCTCCCCCACCCCCTAGCTGCTGCCAGAAGGATCCATTTGGAATGCATTCCTAGGCACGGGCGGGTGCTTCACTGGCTTCCCCGCTGTGAAGATCCCTCCCAGGCCCTGGGCTGGGTCCCAAGGCGTCCCAGGGTCTCGTGGGCGCTGTTCTCTCCTTTGGTCTTTGTGCAGAACAGCCTGGCAGCCTGTGCCCCCCACACAGACTCTGCCATCTCCTCTCTGGTCATTTCCCATCTCCTTTGAGACTCATCTCGGACACCACAGAGACTGTCCTTCCCAAGCCCTGCTCTCAGGCGGTTTGGGTCCCTGCTGTGCCTCTGCTGTGGCTAGCACCTCCCCTCTCCCGCAGTGTGTTTGAATTGCTGGTCTGCCCCCTGCCATCTCCACTCGACCCTTGAACTTGCTAAGGTCACTGGCATCTTCACCCTTGAGTGTGCTGGAGCCAGGCAGCAAGCCCATGTGCTCCTCTGGAGCAAGGAGCAGGTGTCCAATTGCGTGTGTTTCGCAGGAGGAGCACCGTGAGGCCAAGCTGACCCTGCGGCCCCCGAGCCTGGCAGCCCCCTACGCCCCAGTGCAGAGTTGGCAACACCAGCCAGAGAAACTCATCTTCGAGTCCTGTGGTTATGAAGCCAATGTGAGTTGCTCCCACCCTCCCAGCAGGGCCGGCCTCCCTGCTCCTTCTCGGCCAGGCACCTGCGGCCAAGTCCCAGCAGGGACTCCACAAAGCCAGGCCCAGGGCTTTTGAGCTGTTCTCCACTCTCAGCCACTCTTGACAGCTAAGGCGAAGGGGTGGAGGCCTCTGGATCCTTTAGCTAGGGAGTTGAATGGAGGGTCTCTCCAGCTGGGGCAGGAGAGGGGGTGTTGTT
Organism: Homo sapiens; assembly: GCF_000001405.40. Taxonomy (NCBI): domain Eukaryota; kingdom Metazoa; phylum Chordata; class Mammalia; order Primates; family Hominidae; genus Homo; species Homo sapiens. The sequence continues at coordinate 35,083,049 of NC_000006.12, forward strand.
ATTGAGAGGGGTAACTACTTGATTGTGGGACAGTCCCAAATTGGTTGGGTCACCCCTGCATGGAAACGCAGGATTTCCTAAGCCTGGCCACTGCTCGCCCCCACAGTATCTGGGCTCCATGCTGATCAAAGATCTGCGAGGGACAGAATCCACGCAAGACGCCTGTGCCAAGATGCGGGTAGGGTGCCTGTGTGGGCTGGAGGGCGCTGTGGGACTGGCCAGCAGAAGGCAGCAATGGGGGCAGTAGCTGCAGTTGCCTGGGCCCTGCTGCACTATGTAAGGATGGGAAGGAAGCTGGGACCTGTGGAAGCCCAGGAGGCTTAGCCCTGAGAAGGGGCACTGACAGGGCCACCCCTTGTTTCCTGTAGAAATCTACGGAGCACATGAAGAAGATCCCCACCATCATCCTGTCCATCACATACAAAGGTGTCAAGTTCATCGATGCCTCCAACAAGGTGTGCTGCTTACAGGGACTCTTGGTGGGAGTGGGACCCACATCCCCGTCAGACCCACAGGGCTCCAGGGCAAGCAACCCGGCTGCCCTGTCTCATCTCTTATCTCCCTAGAGGGTCCCCAGTCCTCTTATTACTTCCCACTTTGCTAAGAGGCGTGTCTCTCATCTGCTGGCCTGGGTGCCTGCTGTCAGCCCCGTCCCCGCCCTAGTGATCACTGCTGTTAGCCTCGCCACCTGGGCTCCACTGGCCGCACACCTGCTCACAGGTGTGATTCCCTCCGTGAGCAAAGGACTTTCTCTGTGTGCCACCGTGTGGGATCCCACCTTCCTGACACCCTTCCCACTTTGCCCCCACCCTGGAAGGTGGGAGGGGCTGGGGAGAGCTTGTGGTTGGGTGTGAACATTTTACTGCCTTAGTTGTTGTGGTAAGGGGTGGAGACCCCAAACCAAAATCGGGGACCCCCACCCCCACCAATAAACAAAATGAGAAGATGAAGGGGGGTTTGCTTGATGCTCTAGGCTGGGACAGAGAACAGTGACAATGGTAACAGGCTGGGGCAGGGGGTGCCAGAGGCATGCCTGAGCCTGAGAATTCCAGAACACGGCTTTCCCCAGCAGAACGTCATTGCAGAGCACGAGATCCGGAACATTTCCTGTGCGGCCCAGGACCCGGAGGACCTCTGTACCTTTGCCTACATCACCAAGGACCTGCAGACCAGCCACCACTATTGCCATGTGTTCAGCACCGTGGATGTGGTGGGTGGGGTCCTGGGGCCGGGTGGGGCAGGCTTGGGTTGCAGCCCTGAGGCGTCCAGCCCCATTGCAGGGCACAGATGCGGCGCTGTCCTGGCCCCTGGCCAGTGCCTGGCAAATGTTTGGTTCATGAATGGAGCCCAGCAGCACTCAGGCCGGTCCCCTTTCACAGTGATGAGACTGACGCGCAGAGGGAACAGGGACTGGCCCAGGGCACTAGGGACAGGAGGTTCCAGCTTTTTTTTTTTTTTTTTAAGAGATGGAGTCTCACTATGTTGCCCAGGCTTGCCTTGCACTCCTGGGTTCAGGCAAGTTACCCACCTCAGCCTCCCACGTAACTGGATAATAGGCGTGAGCCACCGCCCCTGACTTTCCAGCTTTTTGGCGAGTGTTTTCTTAGGTCAGGCAAGGCCTTTGTTTCCCCCGGCTCCCTGCCCTAGGTCTCCAACCTCTGGCTGGGCCGCCTCCCAGAAATGCCCTCTACTTCCCTCTTAGGGGCAGTGGTGCCCTCTTTGGCAGATTTTCTTCCCTCAAATTCCTGCTGAGGCTCGGCTCTGGATGCCACTGGGCCGAGGAGAGTTCATTCTCACACAGCTGCCCACAGGGAGCAGACCAGAACTGACAGCCCACAGGCGGGGGTTCCCTCTAACCTGCAACAAAGCATGAGAGTGGCCCCAGGCTGCTTCCTCACCCCGGGAGGAAGTCAGAGGGGTCCAGGTCTCTGCCGCCCTCAGGGATAGCAGCTGCTTCCAGAATCTCTGTGGCTCCTGGAATACAGGCAGCTCTGGGCATCCCCACACTCCTGGGACCTCATCCACCCCAGTCCTCTGTTTGCTCTGGGCCAGTGAAGGTTAGGAGGAACCAGGCTTTGCTGCTTGCTGGCTGTGTGAGCTTGGAAACATCGCATCTGCCTGCTTCCTCATCTGTCTGGAGGGGATATAATGTGGCCCACCTCAGGGGCCACTGTGAGATGGATGAGGTGGTCCACACAGCACAGTCAGTGGCATTTACCTGTTGCTGACTTTTCCCACATACACTCAGTTCTGCTGTAACGCCACACATACGCTCCTAACAATCACTGTGCTGTGTAAAATCACACAAGGAAAACCACAGGGTTTATGGGGAAATGGAGTTAGGGGCACAGCACTCACAGACTTTGTCGGTGACACATTAAAAATAAAAGCACTAGCACCACTTACATTAAATGGTAAGAAATACCCAAGTACTGCTGCAGGCACGGCACCCTGCCTTGGAAAAGACCTGCCGTAGGCTTACAGCAGTGTGCACCTGCCCTCCCCGCAGCCCAGCTCCCGGCCACATCCTGTGTAGAGCGGGAAGAACAACAGAGACCTAGGAAGAGTAAAGGAGGGAAAGGAGGGAAGAGTGGAAGGAGGTAGGAGCGCTCCCGGGTAGACTTAGAGGGGGACACATGGTCCCTGCGAGGAAGGGCATATCCAGTGTGAAGCGGCTCCTGAACCAGGTGCTTAAGTGGTGATCTGCTTCCTCCCAGAACCTGACCTACGAGATCATCCTGACGCTGGGGCAGGCCTTCGAAGTGGCCTATCAGTTGGCCCTGCAGGCCCAGAAGTCCAGGGCGACGGGCGCCTCTGCAGCTGAGATGATTGAAACAAAATCTTCCAAACCGGTGCCTAAGCCTCGGGTCGGCGTGAGGAAATCCGCAGTACGTGGGCCCCACTGGCCAAGATCCCCCTCTCCCTGGCCCCAGGGATTCAAGGGCTCAGGGTGGTCAGCGTGAGGAGGGTCTTCTGGCACTTCCAGAAAGCTGGCCCTCCAGGGAAATGACCCTCTTAATTGTCCCCCAACCCTGCCAGGTCTCGCCCCTGGAAAGGCAGCAGCTCCTCTGGCCTGGGCGGGCCTCTCATGCTCCTGTTTCCCTCCCTCGCTGGGCTCCCCCAAGGGCAAGGCCGTCAAGGGGCTGCAGAGAGCGGCCTGCAGGCAGCCCCCAGTAACTGCGCCATCCCTGTGTCTGTGTCTGCTTTGCTCTGCACCCCAGGTGCCGCTGCCCCCCGATAGTCGCTGTTGTTACTGTCACACCTGCACCACCCACCGTCCTTCCTACCTACCGCTGCCATCTGTTAGTCCTGGAGTCAAGGTCTTTACGCCTCCTGCTGTCTTGTGTGTCAGTCTCCCCGAAGTGACCGTGAGCGCTCTTAGCCTCTGGCGGCCTCTCCCTCTGCCTGTGTGACATTCTTTCCCCTCTTCCTGAGATGCCCTCTGCCTGTTCTGTGTGTGCTTCAGCCCTCTCTGTTTTTCTGTTGTGTGTCCTCTCTCCAGAGGTCTGGGGTGACTGCTGTGGTCTTGCCTTGGGGTGAGCTCTCTGGGCCTACCAGAGAGACCCGAGGCTGGACATTTGCAAGCCCCATATCCCCTTCCTGCCCAGTGTGAGTGGGTCTGGGGCTTAGAGCAGGAGGCCCGCCTAGGACAGGGGTCCTTTAACTGAGCAATCCCAAGAAATCCCGGAGAGAAGCTGTGCCTGGAGGTGGCCCTCCCCAAGATGCTCCAGGAGGGTGTCCCTCCTCCGCCTGCCCCCAGGGGCCTGCTCTTTGGCCGAGGAGAATAAGGGCTGCCCCTCCCAGCACAGGGGCCACAGCCTGGCCTGGGGGTGGGAGGGGCCTGCTGCCTCCAGCCCTGGCACAGAGCTCCCTCTGACTCTTGACTGCTTCCTTGTTTGGCAGCTGGAACCACCTGATATGGACCAAGATGCCCAATCCCATGCCAGTGTCTCCTGGGTTGTGGACCCCAAACCAGACTCTAAGCGGAGCCTCAGCACCAAGTATGAGACCACTATCTTCTAAAACAACCCACTCCCTGTCTCCACTAGTCTCACTGTGCCTTTGCCATCCGATCTTTCTGCTGTCCTCAACTCTCTCCTTCCAGCTGCTGATGCCAAGGCCCCACCTGCACTGGGACCTGCTCCTCTTGGGCGGGCGGCAGCGTAGACGCTGTACACTTGCAGCTCTCGCACCTACCACCACCGAACACTGTGAATTCTCCCCCTTGGGCTGAGGACAGCTTGAGGGGGTGAGTTGCCTTTGAGGTGGGCATCAAGAGGGCTCAGGGGTTCTGTTGCACCCTGGAAGCCTCCACGGGCAGGCACTGTGAACCCCGACGGGCAGGGCAGTCTCCAGCAGGATCCCAACGGCACTGATAGCTCCCCAGGGTTGGGCTGGGCTCTGTGTGGCTCCCTCCTCCTGTCTGCTGTACTGAGCCACAGCTGGGCACCGTTGCCAAGAGCTAGCTGACTGTTCTCACCTCTCCTGAACCAACCAACCACTGTGACCACCCAGTGCCAGAGTCCCCAGCACTCTGCTCACAGCCGGCCTGCAGCCCCACCCCACTGTCCTCCGCTACTCCGAGGTGCTGGCCTCACTCTCATGGCTAGGCCCTTGTGAGACCTTGAGCTCAGTGATGTGGCTGGACCAGGGACAGACTGCTTTCTGTGAGGGCCCAAGATATGCGCCAGGCCCTTGGGTCCGTGCTGACTGCCCCACTTGGGGCTCTGGGTATCTGAACACTCACAGGCTGGCTCACACAGCAGGTGTCTCAGTCCTGATGGGCCTTCCCCTCCAAGGAGGTGGGTGGCATGTGTGTGGACAGCCCCTCTATCTTCGCCATGGAGTCTCAAGGCCTGGCAGCCTTGGGCCTGGCTCTGGAGTCTAGCTCACTGAGGAGGAAGGCCTTCCGTAGAACCAACGAGGAGGCGGCCTGTGCCCTGCACACACGGCGCACCTTCTTCCCTCACAGAACAGAGCTGCTGGAGGACAGGGACCTGGACCAAGTGGCCTCCATTGTCCTCTGGGAGCTTTCTGACACTCTCCACGGTGGGGGATCACAGATAGACAGCGCCGTCCAGCATGCCCCTGACCACCTCCCTCAGCCTCCTGACTCCTCCGAAAGGAGAGGCCGTCCCATCGCAGCAGCTCAGAAGCTGGGATGGTGGAGCTGAGTCTTTGAAGAGGCACCCCATTCTCCAGTGTGGGCAAATCAGTTTGGATGGCAGGAGACAGGAAGGAAGCGGCGCCCATAGGCAGCCGTGCACACATAGCAGAGTCCACTAGGAAAGCCAGTCGGCCAGGGCAGTCAAAACCCAAGTCGATAAACTGGGTGGGTCCTGCGTACCCACCCATCCTTGTGCCTTCCTGAGCAGAGTCACTGAGCCAGAGGCAGTGGGGGCTGCAGGCTGTGGGTGCTCAAAGCAGGCATGGAGGGTGCCCCGGGGAGGCTGTGAGGGATCGTCTGTCCTGCTCTGTGTTTCCTTTCCATTTCCTCCACCGTCCGCAGGCCCCATTGGTTAACCCTTTCCTCCCCCCATTGTTTGCTTCTGCCAAGCTGAGCCACTGAGGAACCACACTGTGCTGCGGAAACATAGACGTGGGGGCATAGGCTCCCACTGCCACCACCGCCATCGCCTCACCTGCAGCTCTGAAGACCCAGGCCTCACCTCCGCCTGCAGGACCTCCTCTTGGCCACTTGGCCTGGGCCTGCCACCACCACGTCCTGCAGAACGAGCCCTGCCTTGGCTGTGGAGAAGCACTCCAGGCCGCTAGCAGATGGGACTGGCATTCCAGAGGGTCAAGAAGTGACTTGTTCAGAACACATTGTTTTTAACAGAAAAAAAATCTTTTTATAAAATGAACTTTTAACACTTGGCTCAAACCTCTAGGTCATACTGCCAATCTTTAGACAAATGGCCATGGGGCAGAGGACAGGGGAGCTGAGGTTGGTTCAGAGGCCAGCCTGCATAGCCTCTGTCCTCAGGACGGAACTTGGGTGCAGCTCAGTGGGTCGGAAGAGAAGGCGGTGGCCTGTGGGTGAGGGGAACGGAGCAGGCTCAGGCAGAATTGAGTACGGTGCGTCTGCTTTTCAAACCCAACCATATCAGCTGCTGCTCTTTATGAACTGCCCAACTTCCTGTCCCTTTCAGGGGCTAGACACAGGCTTCTCGTAAGAACACAGCCTTAGAGGCACCTGAGCAACTCAAAGGTTTCCGGTCCATTTCTGGGGTTCCCGATGGGAAGGTTCAGTGGCCAAATGAAGATAAGTGTGCAGTTTCTAGTGCTGGGAAGTCTTAGCCAGCACCAGAGCGCCAGGCCTCTCCCTGGCCTCTTACCTGTCAGTGATCGGAGCACTGCCCTGGGCTGGCCGGCGCCGTACTGCCTGCGTTGTGTCAGAGAATAGGAAAAGCAGCTTTGTTTGGGGCATTAATGCTTGGAGTGGGGTCAGCTAAGGTTGCTACTTGCCAATTTGTGATTTGTCTAATCAGCCTGTGTGATTGGGGCTCATTTTGATTCTCTGAATTATCGGTTTGACGGTTACACTTGGCTGCTGGGCCCATCCCTGGCCCCCGGTGTGGAAAAGGCTAAATAAGGTGACAGTGCATCGATGCTCCCCCGCGTGGCCTTTGGGGCAGGCTGGCATCCCGGTGCGCCTCTGCTTCTTAAGCTTTCCTGCTGCTCGCTTTGTTTTTAAAAGTAACTTGGGTTGCATTCTTCCCTCTGGACTAGAGTAGAAATGCAGGGGAAACTGCTGTGGATTTGAGAGGCAAAGTTGGCTCAGCTGTGTGCCCAGTTCCTCCTGTGGGCACTTTAGCAGGCTCCGAGCTTTCCTGGCATAGGTCAATCAGGTCCCAGGATGAATAATCCAGGCTTCAGCAACACTCCTCTTTCCCAGCCAGCAAAGGCTGTGAATTTGAATTCTTTGTTGGTATGTATGTGCAGGGAGTACTGTTAGGCACATTCTTAACCCATGTGGTTGGCCAGAAATCAGAAGTGGGGCTGTGTCTCTGACTGGCTAGAGGCCAGGCCTTGTGGGTTTCTATCTGCTAAGCACCCAGCAGGTTGGGGCCTGGGACTCAGCTCTCTCTGCGGTAGAGGCAGGCCCTCCTCCACTTCTTGGTACTAAACGAAGATCTCGACACCTTGCAGTTTTACTTCATTTCCTGCCCCTTTCAGGGCCTGTGAGGATGCCCATGAGCTACCGCTGTACAGTTCTCGGCCCCGGCTTTCTTCCAAGAGTTGACCAGGAACCCTAAAGCATCCAGAGTAGACTGCGCTGCCACTGCGCACATGCTGGTGCCCGTCTTCCTCCTAAGGGGCCAGGCCACATCCAAGTGGGCCTCTGTCGGGGGCGGGGCGGTAGGTCCGAAAGAAACCGCAGACACTACGATGCACTCCTCAAGCTGTCTTTTGTGCTTAGATCATCCATAGGTGTTTCTTCTGCTTGAAGCTGCTATATCATCTTTATTTATTCAGGGTATTTTCATATTGGAAGCCTTGGCTAGTCTGCTCTAGCTCTGGGTTCTGTTTAGAGATTGGTTTATTTCTGAATATTCAAGAAAGGAAAATGACTGGGCCTTTCTTTCTTTTCTTCTCCTCTGGGATGGGTAGTCTCCCTTTCCTAGAAAGGTTATTATAACTTTAAGGACAGGCTTCAAGTGGGAAGGCCCCTACTTTTGCACTTCTCCAAGTGCAGGTCACACCAGGGGCAGACCCTGTCGCTGCGTTTCTGAACTGTGAAGGAGCCCATTCGGGTGGGAGACTTCAGATGGGCTCAGTACCTGTCCCAGCCACAGGCTTCTTGTCCACCTCTTCTCCCCTGCCCACCAGCTGCTCAGCGCATAAGACCTTCCCGACAGGCTCTGCGTGTGCAGCTCTCTGCGTCCCTCCTGGGCCCTCCAGCGTCAGACACTAATGGGAGTTCCCGAGATGCTCGGGTTTGAGCAGGGAGCAGGCAGAGCTGCAGTCAGAGACATTAGAAAACCAGTCTGAATTGGGTCTGTCTTTGAGATGCCCAGGCCAGCAGAAAGCAGCTCAGAAGTATTGTTGCTCATGGTGTGGCAATGGACTGAACTGTAATGAAAATGTTATTTAATCTTTGTCTCTGTATTTTGATACTTGAATGACTTTCCCTTTTGTTTTACTGTATATAAAATTGTTAATCTGTCTGATTTTGTCTGAATTATAAACACTTTGAGGTACCAAACATAACCAATCTGTGCAACAACATAGACTGACCTCAGTACCCAAGAGAGTGTAAATATTTCTGGGCTTCCAGCTTTGGTTTTGTTATTTTCATAACTGTACACAACTTAGAACAGACTGAATTAATAAATGAGAAGCGACATGAACGCAGCCTTAATTCTTCTGAGTCTTTGAATTGGAAAGCGTCTTGATGGTTTTCTGGCAGAGGCGTGGGCACAGGCGAGACGCAGGCTCAGGATCAGTGATTCGCATCCTACACCGTTTGGCTGAGATGACGACAGCTTGGCTGTTTGGCTTTCTGTCTCGCACTCTCTAACAAACAGTTAGTTACAGCTGTGCTGTGAGGCGCAAGGGCCCCAGGATTCACCTTCCCCTCCTTAGGAACATCGTTCTGTGAACACCAAGCCAGGGCCACATTCTAGTTACTGCTGCAGTGGCATCTCTTCTGCCTCTTGGTCTGGGCTTGTCCACCCATAGACATGAACCGAACATCTGCCTCCCAGGCAGCCTGGGGGATCTAGAGCTGTGAAAGAAAGTGCTCTCCTTTCAGGAACTTGCTTGGATTGCAGAGGTTAAGTTTTAGACATAAACAACTAGCTACCAGCCCGAAGCCGTGCTATGGTAGGGATGCAGAGGGCAAAGTGTTCCCAGAGGGCTGGTGGCAGGGAGAGGAAGGGGCAGGGTGCTGAGCTGTATTTAAAGGGGAGAATTTGGGAAAGCACAAGCAAGCGGTCATAGCGGCCCCTTCACTGATTGACGGAGCACCTTGGCCCCTTCACTGATGGAGCACCTGTGTTCCAGCTCTGCTAGCTTTCCAGGCAACCATCTCATTAGCCCCACTCCTTTCCGGACAGGTGTTGTCACCTCTATTCATAAAGCAGGGCCCAGGGCCTCTATTCATAAAGCGGGAGGGACCTTGAGCCCCATCTGGTCCAGTGGCTCCAGCTGCCAGAGCCCCTGTTCCTAGGCCTGTTTCAACCCCAGCTGCCTAGCACTGAACGCTTTTATTCCTGAGTTTCTGTGGACGCTTCCGTTTCTTAAAAGGGCCTTAAAAAAGAAAATTCACTTATCTAGTTCAGTACCCATATTGAACATAAACAATAGTTGTTTATGTCTAAAACTTAACCTCTTTTATTGGTAGAGAAAACAAGGTCCAGACTTGGAAAATGATTCTCTCCTAGCCAGCCTGCCAGCGAATGGCAGAGAGCCAAATCCCAGGTTGTAACTCCCAACTAGGGCTTTGTAGGCCACACTGCGTTGAGTTGGGAAAGTCCACTGAGGCCCAGTGGGGGAGGCCTCACATTCCAGAGGGGTTCTTCATCCCCACATCCCTTGGCTCCCTGGCTATGGCGCTCTTTCCTAAGCAGAAGAAACCTGACAGCCAGAAGAGAAAGGTCAGGTCATAACTAGTGTCATCAGGGCACCAGGACACATAGCTGCTATCATCATCCCTTCTGGGACCACCTTACACATTCTGCCTCTGTGTGAGGCACAATCCCTGGCCTCTTCCACTCATTCCTTTCTCCCCCTTCAGGGGCTCATTTCTGTCATACTCCTCCACATCCTCATGAGCCTCCCCTTCACAGATGCTCAGGCTCCTAGACAGCTGGGTTGTTACTACTGAAAATTGGGATAGATCAATCCTCAGCAATGACCAGGCCACGGAGGAGGAACTTTCAAGCTGGAGCACTTTCCAAGGCAGCTCAAAACACCCTCTAGTCAGCCATGGCCACCCCTGACTTCCTGAACCCAGAGGGTATCCAAGTCCCATAAATAGGGACAGGCCGACTATCTAGTGTGTCATGCAGTTCAGCCTGGGGCTCACACTGCACCCACTGTCATCAACTAACAACAAGGAAAGCTAAAGTCTGAACCATCCCTTCCTCCGTGCAGCCTCTACGACTTTGAGACCGCTTTTTTCAGGATTCGGCTGTTAGGAACACTATTATAAACAACTATTTACCAAATAGAATTTTCCTAACACCATAAAATATTTATTACTCAGTAAATGGAGCTGGGACAATTGGGCAGCCAAGGAGGAGGGAGTGCAGGGAGATTCCTGTTCCAACTTATGCCAAAATAAATTCCAGATGGCTCACATATTTAAATGTAAAAACAAAAAAACAAACAAAACTCAAAGCTAGAAGAAAATGGGAGGCTTTTTTTTAATAAGCGTGGTTTGAGAAAGGCCTTTCCAAACGTTATAAAACCCTGAATCCATTTTTTAAAAAGGATTAATATATTTGAGTCTATAAAAACTAAACATTTCTGCATAGCAAAATGCACCTTTGAGAAAAAGAAACAATGGAAAACTAACATGTGCACCACATGTAACAAGGACACCTTGACAACAGCTATCAAAAGTAAACTAACGCCTATGTCTCGGAAGATCAGTAGATGCTCTTTTCCCTGCTCTTCCCACTAAGTACGATTAAAACCCCCAGTGGAAACACCAGTGGGCACAGACAAAAACCTGTTCTTCCCAGCCAGAGGACCAGGAAAGGGGCAGCTTAGCAAGACAGAAAATTTAGACAATAAATAACTGCTCTACTCCAGCCAAGCACCACAGGAAAAATGGGGCCCCACCCAGATCAGCAAAGGCCAAGACCTCTGCCCTCACAAAGCTATAATGAGGTGCCCAACAACCTCACGCATGTTGTCAGAGGGGGCCTGGTGAAGAGACAGAACGCTCACCAGCGCCCAGTGATTGTGATGCTGCTCCCGCCTTGGGAGTCAGTGGAAACTACAGGGGCAGCCGGGAGTGCCACGGCACCCCAGCAGTAACAAGCAGCCTCCCACCTCAGGTGTCAGTGGAGGCCAGGTGGGGAAGCTGGGCTTTGACCCCCAACCTGGCAGTAGTATGCTATTTCCTTTTCCCTTGCTAGAGTGGTGTCAAAGTCAGCTAAAAGAGAAGGTTTAAATAAGAATGAGAAACAGAAATGTCCAAGTTTCAATAGAAAATCACTTATCATACCAATATCCAGAAAACTCTCAATCTGAATTTAAAAGGCAGTAATCAATAGATATCAACACTTAGCCAGACATGGTGGCACAAACCTGTAGTCCCAGCTACTCGGAAGCCTGAGGCAGGAGAATGGCTTGAGCCTGGGGAGGCAGAGGTTGCAATGAGCCGAGATTGCGTCACTGCACTCTAGCCTGGGCAAAAGAGTGAGACTTCGTCTGGAAAAAAAAAAAAAAAAGATATCAGCACCAAGATGGACAGATATTAGAATTATCTGACAAATATTTTAAAGCAGCCATAAGAAAGTTTCAACAAATAATTATAAACACACTTGTAGCAAAAGAAAAAGTCAAATGTCTGAGCAAAGAAATAAAAGATATAAAGAACCTATTGGAAATTCTAGAACTAAAAAAATACAATAACCAAAATCAGTGGATGGGCTTAAGAGTGGAGTGGATGGGAAAGGAAAGAATGCACCATAAACTGGGAAACAAAACAACAGAAATTACCCAATCTGAACAACAGAGAGAAAACAGATTGAAAAAAATGAACAGCATCTCAGGGACCTGTGTGACCATAACAAAAGATCTAACATTGTGTCAACGAAGAAGAGGGAAAAAGAGGCTAAGAAAATACTCGAGGCCGGGTATTGTGGCTCATGTCTGTAATCCTAACTCTTTGGAAGGCGAAGTGGGAGAATTGCTTGAGTCCAGGAGCTCAAGACCAGCCTGGGCAACATAGTGGGACCCTGTCTCTACAGAAAAACTTTAAAATTAGCTGGGCGTGATGGTGTGTGCCTGTAGTCCCAACTACTCTGGAGGCTGAGGTGGCAGAATTGCTTGAGCCCAGGAGGTCGAGGCTGCAGTGACCTGTGATCACACCACTGCACTCCAGCCTGGGCAACAGAGTGAGACCCCCATCTCAAAAAAAAAAAAAAAAAAAGCACTGAAAAAAATAATGCCTGAGAACTTCCAAAATTTGGCAACAAACATAAGCCTTCAGATTCAAGAAGCCAAGCAAATCCCAAACCAGATAAACTCTGCGAAAGTGGTTAGAATTAAAAGTCATTTCTGGCCGGGCATGGTGACTCATGCCTATAATCCCAGCACTTTGGGAGGCTGAGACAGGTGGATCACGTGAGGCCAAGAGTTCGAGACCAGCCTGGCCAACATGATAAAAGCCCAAAAAATGAGCCAGACATGGCGGTGCATGCCTATAATCCCAGCTACTCAGGAGGCTGAGGCAGGATAATTGCTTGAACCCAGGAGGTGGAGGTTGCAGTGAGCCAAGATTGCGCCACTGCACTCCAGCCTGGGCAACAGAGGGAGACTGTGTCACAAAAAAAAAAAAAAAAAAAGGAAAGACGAAAGAAAGAGAGAAAGAAAGAGAGAAACAACAAAAAACAACAAAAAAAACAGTCACTTTTGTGTTAAAAAAAAAAAAAAAGCTGGAGAGACAGTTCTCATGCATAAATGCCTGGTAACAAAAACTATTATTACAAAAGACCACAACCTTTTGAAAACTAGAACCTAGCACAAAGACCATCACAACCTTATACCAAAAAAATACTTCTGCAAGGACATCTGCTCAGCAACTGACTGTCCAACCCCAAACTGGCCCCACCGTTGTTATTGATCCTTGTAGCCAAGGATAATTATCTCAAAACAATTATGTAATCCTCATTTTTCCTTTGAAAACCTCTGTCTTCCTTCAGGTCCCTGAATATGCACATGGTTTACTATCACACATGTATTCCCATTGCAATACCTTATTACCAAATAAATATCATTTTCTTTTATTAGAGGGCCTCACTCCATTTGTTATTGAGATTGACATAAATGTTGTCAGAAGTGGGATGAGGCAGGCTCACTTCAGAAGAATCAGAGGCCCCTGAAACTGAGTGTATTCTGACTGAGCCCTTTGTGCTCTCCATCTTCATGAGTTGCCTTTTCCAGCCAGGTGAATCTCCTGTAGGATTCTCAGACTCCCTCTCTTTGGTGAGTTGTTTTTCACTTTATAGAGGATTTGTTTCAGTTACAAGTCTGTCTTTAATAAAGGACACTACATCCCTCCCTCCTGGGATGATAAAAGACTTTTTGTCCTTTCTGGAAAGTCCTTTCTGGGATGAGGACAAGGGCCCTTCTGGTTTGAGTGCTCTGGTTTCTACAGAATTTATATCCTATCTGTGAGGCAAGTCTTTTCTGGAGAATTTACTTTTGGTTCTTCCTGCATGCCTAATTTAATAGTGTGTTTAATCTGCACACCTGGGTTAAAAGTATTGTGAACACTAATTTTGGTCTCATTTTGGTTTGGTTATGCGTGTCTGTAAATGATTTGGCCCTTTTCCTTTGCTGATTTCTGGAAATTCTCCAAGAGCAAAAATAAACATTCCAAATGGCAGACACTAGTGGATGACTAATTAAAAGCCATGAGGGCAGTTGCCATGATCTAAAATACCAGTCCAGACGCCTGACATTCTCTGGTGGATTTACAGGATTATCTTTGCTCTTGAGAGATTAATAAGAAATGGAATGGGATTCACAAACGCTAAGGCATGCCAGGTTTTCTGAGGCTCCAGCCAGCTATATAATATGGCCCATTCTTATGCATATTTTTTAACTGATGGGCAAATTACGTGAAGGAAAATTCAGAGCTCAATGGTCATTAGTCAAACCCTCTAAAAAAGAAAAAAAAAACACACACAAACCCTCCAACTACAATGTTAACATATGGATCCTTCTAAGATCTCTACTTTGAATCTGCTAACTTTTCTGCTGGTGTTGAGATAACACTCTCTTCTAATGGCATTCCAGCCAATTTTTTTTTTTTTATCTTAAAGGTCTTTCAAATTAATGGCTTTACAAATTACAACAGCTTCATGGCAGCCAACAACCTAGACACCTTTTGTAAATGTAAATTTAGGTTTGTCTAACAACCACTTAAGGTGATAGAACAGTTAATTGAAGGATTAATAGTCTACAAGAAAAAGAACTAGGTAAATGCTTATAAAAGTTAGGTTCTCAGGGCCAGGTTTAATCCCAGCACTTTGGGAGGCCGAGGCAGACAGCTCACTTGAGGTCTGGAGTTTGAGACCAACCTGGCCAACATGGTGAAACCCTATCTCTACTAAAAATACAGAAATTAACCGGGCATGGTGGCAGGTGCCTGTAATCCCAGCTACTTGGGAGGCTGAGGCGGGAGAATCGCTTGAACCCAGGAGGCAGAGATTACAGTGATCTGAGATCATGCCACTGCACTCCAGCCTGGGTGACACAGCCAGACTCCGTCTCAAAAAAAAAAAAATTGGGCTTCTAGACCAAACAGGTGACAATCATTAGCTCAGAGTAATAATATAAGGTTTCTCTGTCCAGCATAAAAACTGCTTAAGTCTGACACAAGGCACCAGAAAAAGCCAAAAGAAAAAAAAAAAAAAAAAAAAACACATACACACACACACACAGCCAAAATGCTTGCCCATCCACGTTGATTATTCAAGTAAACCAGACCAGCAAACAAAAGATAAATTTGCTGCTAATTCAAGGCCACTTGGAGACTGTTCTTCTTATACAGTTCAGTTGGTCTTAGTTAAAATGCAAACACTGAAGAGTTACCCCCAAACTCTTTGAAACAGAAAAAAGGAAAAGGATGAAGAGATTTTAAAAAGCTAAACTGTTTACGAAAATTTTGTTCCACAGCTTTCACTGGATTAGTTATTGGAGCAAAATTTAGCCATGTGAACAGGTCCCATTTTGTCAGAAGCGTAAGTTGGATGCAACCATCTTTTATAAACTGGTGAGTTTGTATTACTCTCTCATGACTAAAATTTTAAAATGAAAGCTATAAGATTTGTGTGCGTGTGTAAGCATCTGGTGTATTTATGCATATATACATGTATTATATATGTTGTGTCTACATGGTAAAATCTGACATAATCAGCCAGAAATCCCTGAGGGAATTCTATTCAGATTAGCTTAGATAAATGAGCACTCATAGAAAATATATAGTAATTAACCCAAATGCCTTTTAGAAGTAAATCTTTAATAAATAAGCTAGTTTTTAAATTATTGGTAACATAAAAATAGAAATGTCTTCAAAATAGTCGGTATGCATTTTTGGCTGCATGCTGGTCTCTTAGATATTAAACTGTAAATTCAGCTTAAAAACAGAATAATCTTTGTGTAACCCTTTGGTAAATAAGGCTAATTTAATATTGTTGGTTTCATAAAATCAGCTGTATCTCCTGTGTTATCAACAAAATACCCATATATTTAAATTTCTTAGGTGAACACTTGATATTCAGAGGCTATAAAAATGGTTAACAGAGAAATAACTTGAAATGATGACAAGCTTTGTCTAATACCTCAGTTTTCATAAGTAATCTAGGTAAACTGTTAAACATAAATACATCATGTAAATATAAAGAGGAAAAACATTTATACATGAACTTTTCATGTAATTTAAAATCTTTTAAAGTGTATTTATTTTTATTTTTTATTTAATGTGGCATCTTACTATGTAGCCAGGCTGTTCACAAACTCCTGGGCTCAAGCAATCCTCCTGCCTCAGCCTCCCAAATAGCTGGGATTACAGGTGTGTGCCACCACACCTGGCTAATTGGAAATCTAAAATTATGCTTAATTCAATTAAATGATAGATGTTCATTAAATGTCTGGGTCATTTCCAAATAAGATAAAAAACTGAAACAAATGACTGAACATAAATATTTTTGTTCCTGCTTCTTAAATTTTATAGAAAGATTAAATATATTTTGGCCCGTTAGTACACATTAAAAATTATGGGGAAACATGTTTCTAAAAATTATAAAATGGTTTTTTCTCTTTGAGAAAAAAAGAATAATTTTGTCTAATTTGGAGATTATTTAAAGGTAATTTCAAAAAGTAAATTTAGAAAGGAACTAGAAACAAGGTAGAAAGGAATCGGTAACTAGGGGAGAGAGATATGAAGAAAGTTATAGGTATGAAGAGTATTTTTCGTAAGTAAGTTAAAAAGAATAATTTTGTATGAGAAAGAATCTTGGGCCAGGTGCAGTGGCTCTCGTCTGTAATCCCAGCACTTTGGGAGGCCAAGGTGAGTGGATCGCTTCAGCTTGGAAGTTTGAAACCAGCCTGGGTGACATGGCGAAACCCCATCTGTATAAAAAAATTACAAAAATTACCTGGGCATGGTGGTGCACACCTGTAGTCCCAGCCACTCAGGGAACTAAGGTGGGAGGATCACTTGAGCCCAGGAGGCAGAGGTTGCAGTGAGCCAAAATTGTGCCATTGTACTCCAGCTTAGGTGACAGAGTGAGACCCTGTCTCAAAAAAAAAAATAAAAATAAATAAAATCTAAAGATTTTATGTTTTACCAAGATAAATTCCTATACTGTCTTTAATAGGTTTTTTTTATTACTTAAGAAAACTGAGCTTTGAAAGGATTGTTTTTACATCCATATAATTTTCTCTATTTCTTCTGAAGTCTTGATTACCACTGTGGTTAAACGCATGACTATTATTTCACTGTGCCATATGATCCTGTTTTGATCAAGTGCTTTATATCTTTTGGCATCTTTGATGGGCTTCCCCAATATCAAAATTCTAACTTAAGTCTTTTTAAGCTAGATTTAACTTTGGGATTTTCCAATTGGGCCCCAGAGAAGGTAAAAGAATGTTAGAGCTACTAAAATTAGGATTATTTAGAAAATGGTTTGGGAAACCTTGTCAAATAGTAAGTGAGGCAAGATCTTCTTTTAGTTACATGAATGGATAAGTTATTGATAAGAATCTTCCAAAATTGTATAAAACTCTTAGAAATCTAATTTATCAGTCATAAATCTGGTTATTATGTCATAAGCCAGAACATAGCCAAATTTCCTTGTCAATTGCTGATTATAACCAATTTCCATCCAATTTTTAATCATGATTATTCTAAGTCTCTGTCATCAACAGTTTTGATTTTTTCTAAAGATATCTGCAATCAGATTCACAGAAAAGACTGTAACAAAACTCTTCAGTCTAGGTTACTAATAACTATAAGATCAAGACTAAATAAAATTTTTTCAGAACTCTAATGAAGAGACTTGAATTCATGAAACTGCTAATCAAGATCAAGCAGAAAAAAATTAATTACATAAGATTAAGTAACACTGATGATGGTAATGTTTTGGTTACATTTTTTATTTTTTTTCCCCCAAGAGTCCCGCTCTGTCGATCAGGCTGGAGTGCAGTGGCGTGATCTGAGCTCACTGCAACCTCCACCTCCCAGGTCAAGTGATTCTCCTGCTCAGCCTCCCAAGTAGCTGGGATTACAGGCACGTGCCACCACGCCTGGCTAATTTTTGTATTTTTATTAGAGACGGGGTTTCACCATGTTGGTCAGGCTGGTCTCAAACTCCTGACCTTGGGTGATCCACCTGCCTCAACCTCCCAAAGTGCTGGGATTACAGGTATGAGCCACTGCACCTGGACTTTCTTGTTACTTTTATGTAAAATATTATTGGTTCTTTCCTTAAATGTTTCATTTTCAAGTTTAAGGAAATTTTTTCTCTTTAGAGTTTGGTAAAATATACTTTTGTGAAGAAACATGGAAGAATTTTCTTTTCTTCCCTACTTGATTCCTCCAAAATTTAGAAACTACTTGGGAGTATTCTTATTTTTTTATGGCAACATGGTTATGCACATAAGTTCAATAAAAATTTGCTCTTTTTTTTATAGAGTGCGATTGAAAATATTGGTTATATTACCAAGGCTCTGACTGGAACGTCGTATTTGAGAACATAGAATGCCCTTCAAGGGTTCCCAGCCTGATAGTTTCGTTTTGTTTTTGAGACGGAGTTTCACTCTTGTTGTCCAGGCTGGAGTGCAATGGTGCGGTGTCGGCTCACTACAACCTCCGTCTCCTGGGTTCAAGCGATTCTCCTGCCTCAGCCTCCTGAGTAGCTGGCATTACAGGCATGTGCCACCACGCCTGGCTAGTTTTTGTATTTTTAGTGGAGATGGGGTTTCACCATGTTGGTCAGGCTGGTCTCGAACTCCTGACCTCAGGTGATCCACCCACCTCGGCTCCCAAAGTGCTGGGATTACAGGCATGAGCCACTGTGCCCAGCCTCCAGCCTGATAGTTAATGAGTAAAAATTGTCACTTTCTAGCAGGCCCAAGAACTTTAAGGCTATAGGTAAAATGTAAAATCTTCCTTGATTTGGCTTAGCCTCAAAAGGTTTCTAAATCTGAAATTCCTATGTGATCAATGTAGAAAGAAAAAGTTACGTTTCTAAAGAAATGCTACAGCCAGGCACTGTGGCTCATGCTTGTAATTCAGCACTTTGGGAGGCTGAGGCAGATGGATTGCTTGAGCCCAGGAGTTCAAGACCAGTCTGGGCAACATGGCAAAACCTCATCTCTACAAAAATACAAAAAATTAGCTGGGTGTGGTGGTGCGTGCCTGTAGTCCCAGCTATTCAGGAGGCAGAGGTGGGAGGATCACTGAGCCCAGGTGGCTGAGGCTGCAGTGAGCTATGATCGCACCACTGCACTCCAGCCTGGGTGACGAAGTAAGATCCTGTCTCAAAAAAGAAAAGGCCACGGGTGGTGGCTCACGCCTGTAATCCCAGCACTTTGGGAGGCAAAGGCGGACAGATCACGAGGTCAGGAGATCTAGACCATCCTGGCTAACACGGTGAAACCCTGTCTCTACTAAAAAATACAAAAAATTGGCCAGGCGAGGTGGCTCACACCTTAATCCCAGCACTTTGGGAGGCCAAGGTGGGAGGATCACGAGGTCAGGAGTTCGAGACCAGCCTGGCCAACATGGTGAAACTTCATCTCTACTAAAAATACAAAAATTACCCTGGTGTGGTGGCTGGTGCCTGTAATCCCAGCTACTCGGGGTGCTGAGGCAGGAGAGTCACTTGAAACCAGAAGGCAGAGGTTGCAGTGAGCAGAGATCGCACCACTGCACTTCAGCCTGGGAAAAAGAGCAAAACTCCGTCTCAAAAAAAAAAAAAAAAATAGCTGGGCGTGGTGGCGATCACCTGTAGTCCCAGCTACTTGGGAGGCTGAGGCAGAAGAATTGCTTCTTCTGGAGGCGGAGGTTGCAGTGAGCCAAGATCACACCACTGCACTTCCGCCTGGGCAACAGAGCAAGACTCCATCTCAAGAGAAAAAAAAGAAAAAAAAATGCTGCAACATACCTGTTGTTAGATTCTAGCTCTATGCATTGTTTTCAAGTTCTTATTTTCTACCTATAATCTAGACTAGATCCTAAACCTAAATTCTTCCTGATTCTTCCAATCTAACTTTCTTCCATGGAATTAAAAAAAAATTAATTATTAAAAATTCTTCCAGCTACTCTACCATTCTATTCTTAAAGCCCTATGAGCTGAAACTAGATTAATTTTAAGAAACAAATGTCATGCCAGATTTATAGGCCACAAAAAAAGTTCAGCAAACCACCTGATGCCATAACCAAAGACATTCAAACTACAAGCTGAGATGAGAAGTTGACGTTCTCACACTATAGACAGCTTTTCCATAAGATTCAGTATCATGAGACGCTTACCCTCTTACTGCCTGCCATTTTCACTTGACAGGATAATGGTCATTTGATTTACACAACTGGTTGCCTTTTTAAGCCTGGTTTAATGGCTCAAAACCATTATGCAAACTGAGATTGTCATTACTATGAATTTTACTTTGTATTTTCCCTTTTTAAACTGTGTATCTGTTATGTTACTTGTCAAATTTTTGCAGAAGTACAACTCCTAACATAATATGCTTCTAACCAGAAATGCTGGTCCAGCACTTTGAGATGATAGCAAGACTACAGGAACAGACAAATTGAACTTAATAATGGACTCCAGGTAGACTTAATCTGACAACCACTCCCTCAAACCTCCCTTGTTGCTCAAATGTGGCTAAAAAGGTTTTGACACTTACTCCTACTTGCCAAAACTCCTTCTAATGCAGAACCAAACCAGTAACCTGGGACAGGTTCATCCTGGCACTGAGGGACATCAAAATCTAACTACAGAATGATTGATCACTGATGCTTTTAGAGAAAGAATTTGATCAAAAGGGAGAAATGTGAAAGTTATCAGAATTAAAATGGAGTTACTTATGTTTAAAAAAAAAAAAAAACTCTGAAAAATAGAGCCAAGGTAGGCCATGAAGAGAAGGGTCATACATAAATACCTGATAACAAAAACTATTACAAAAGACTGCAAAAACC
Source organism: Homo sapiens (assembly GCF_000001405.40). Taxonomy (NCBI): domain Eukaryota; kingdom Metazoa; phylum Chordata; class Mammalia; order Primates; family Hominidae; genus Homo; species Homo sapiens. Next base: position 35,103,444 of record NC_000006.12, read on the forward strand.
ACGTTACACAAAAGCCATCACAACCACACAAAAAATACTTCTGTGAGGACATCTGCTCAACAACTGACTGTCCAACCTTGAACTGGCACACCCTTGTTATTGACCCTTGTAGCCAAGGATAATTTTTTTTTTATTTTTTATTTCTTTTCCTTTTGAGACAGGGTCTCTCCCTGTCTCCAGTCTGGAGTGCAATGCTGTGATCATATCTCACTGCAACCTCAAACTCCTGGGCTCAAGCAATCCTCCCACCTTAGCCTCCCAAGTAGCTAGGAGTACAGGTACATGCCACCATGCCCCACTAATTTATTTTTATTTTTGTAGAGATGGGTTCTCACCACATTGTCCAGGGTGGTCTAGAACTCCTGGGCTCAAGTGATCCTTTTGCCTCAGCCTCCCAAAGTGCAGGGATTACAAGCATGAGCCACCACACTTGGCTAGGATAATTATCTTAAAAGGATTTTATAATCCTCATTTTTTTCTTTAGAAACCTTTTTCTTCCTTTAATATGCACATAGTTTACTATCGCATGCATATTCTCATTGTAATGCCCTATTCCTGAATGAATATCATTTCCTTTTAGAGCACCTCTATTATTTAGGTTGACAACCCAAAGAAATTCACACCAAGATACCTCAAAATTAAATTTCTGAAAATGAAAGACAAAAAAAAAAAAAATTCATGGAAGCAGCTAGAGAAAAATGACACCTTACCTATATGGGAAAAGCAATTTGAATGACCGGATTTCTCCTCAGAAACCGTGGAGGCCAGAAGAAATTAGCACAATATTTTTCAGGTGCTGAAAGAAAAAGCCTATAGCCTGCAAAAATATTCTTTAGGAAGGAAGGGGAATCAAGACATTCGCAGATGAAGGAAAACTAAGGAACTTCGTCAGGAGCAGATCTACCCTAAAACATTGGTGAAAAAAATTTTGGGTTTTTTTTTTTTTTTTTTTTTGAGAGAGAGAGAGACAGTTTCACTCTGTTGCCCAGGCTGGAATGAAGTGGCATGATCTTCGGTCACTGCAACCTGTACCTCCTGGGTTCAAGTGATTCTTGTGCCTTAGCCTCCTGAGTAGCTGGAACTACTGGCACGCACCACCACGCCCAGCTAATTTTTGTATTATTAGTAGAGACAGGGTTTCACCATGTTGGCCAGGCTGGTCTCGAGCTCCTGACCTCAAGTGATCCACCCACCTCAGCCTCCCAAAGTGCTGGGATTACAGGCGTGAGCCACCATGCCCAGTGGTGAAAAAGAAGGAATGGAAATGATAAAAGAAGGAAACTTGGAACATCAGGAAGGATGAATGAACATTTAAGCAAAAATATGGGTAAATACACTAGACTCTCCTTCTCTAGAGTTTTCTAAATGATGCTTGATGGTTGAAGCAAAAATCATAACACTGTCTAATGTGGTTCTAAATGTATGTAAAGGAAATATTTAAGACAATTTTACTTTAAGCGGAGAGGGTAACGTGATATAAAGGGACATACAGGGAGGTACGGCTTCTATGCTTTCCTCAATTGGTAAATGGTGACACCAATAGACTTTGACAAGTTTTATGTGTGTATATAAATATCCAAGACAGCCACTAAAAAGTTATGCAAAGAGATATACTCAAACACTGTCTAGGTAAATCAAAATTGGTTTTTAAAAATTGGTCAGGTAACTCACAAAGAAGCAGGCAAAAGAATAAAAAACAGGATAACTAGAAAATAATATAAAATGGCACACTTAAGCCCCAATATATCATAATTATATTAAATGTAAATGGTATAAAACACCAATTAAAAGAGATTGAGGCCGGGTGCAGAGGCTCATGCCTGTAATGTTAGCACTTTGGGAGGCTGAGGTGGGCAGATCGCTTGAGGTCAGGAGTTCAAGGCCAGCCTGGCCAACATGTTGAAACCCTATCTCTACTAAGTATACAAAAGTTAGCTGGGTGTGGTGGTGCGTGCCTGTAATCCCAACTACTGAGGAGGCTGAGGCATGAGAATTGCTTGAACCTGGGAGGTGGAGGTTCCAGTGAGCTGAGGTTGCACCACTGCACTCCAGCCCAGGCAACAGAGTGAGACCGTGTCTCAAAAATAAATAAAGAGATTGACAGAGTAGATTAAAAAGCATGAACCAACTATATGATGTCTATAAGAAACTCACCTCAAATAACAATATAGGCAAGTTGAAAGTAAAAAGATAGATATATTATGCAAACATTAATCAAAGGAAAGCAAGAGGAACTTTATTATTTTTGGGGAGACAAGGTCTCATTCTGTCACCCAGGCTAGAGTGCAGTGGCACAATCACAGCTCACTGCAGCGGCACAATCACAGCTCACTGCAGCCTCAAATTCCTGGGCTCAAGCAATCCTCCAGCCTTGGCCTCCCCAAATGTTGGGATTACAGGTGTGAGACACCATGCCCAGCCAGGAGTGACTATATTAACAGCTCATAAAGTACACTTCACAGCAGAGAAAACTACAAGAGACAACGAGCATTATATAATGATAAAAGGGTCAATGAATCAAGAAGACATAGCAATCCTAAATGTGTATGCACTAAACAAAAGAGCTGCAAAACATGTGAAGGAAAAACTGACTGAACTGAGAAATGTAAACAAGTCTACAAATGTCATGGACTGAACTGTATCCCTCCCAAATTCATATGTTGAAGCCCTAACCTCCAATATGACTATACTTGGAGATGAGGTTTTTAGGAAGTAATTAAGTGTGGGGGGATCGGTCAGAGTGGTGGGAAAAACTATAGGGAAAGGACGCAAACCTTCTGAAAGGTCAGAAGGTTTTGCAGAGCCCCAGGGGAGACTAGCTGAAGACAGCTGTTCTATATGAGCATTTTCATAAGCCAATTGCAACAATATCAGTGGCCTGGGCATGACTAATTTGTCTCTTAATTGCCTGGGTTAACCGACTGATAAATTCAACAAATGGCTCCTGAGGCCCTTGTCGAACATTTACAAAAGATCCCTGTTGAACTCTGCCTTCGGGAATTCGGTCCCAAGCCCTGCAGGTGCATAAGGACACTTGTACATATGCTTGGGGGACAATGTAATTGTTATTGTACATTGACATAGGGACCCCTCCCCTGGAGCATAGCAGCCTCGTTATGTTTTGCCCAGCCAATTGATTCTGGTTGGCTTGTTCTTCACACAACTCATCATATTCTGCCCTCCAGTGGAGGTATTGACTGGCCTCTAAAGTTGTTTTAGCTAGCACTGATAAGTCCCATGGGGTCATATGGAAGTTACCTGCTATGGCCTCAATTAATCCTTTCATACGTGGGCTAGCACTCCGTTTTCTCTAATGCTTTTTCTTGTTTCCTTGTAAGTGTTGAAAGTAATGGGTTCATGTACCTGATTGCCTTGTTGATCTTGCATCACCAGGCAGGCCAAGAGCTCCCCTTCTAATGCCACTTGCCTAAGACAGGGTGCCATAACTGTAGTGTATCTCTTGTCTTTTTTCCAATTTATTGGGGGAGGGGGCTCAGGGAAAATCTCTGTGGCACCTTTACCCGGTAATGGCGGGGCTGAGGGACGAGGAGGAGGTGGTAAGGTAGATGATGGTTCTTCCTCCCTTTCCTTTTTAGGTTCTTCTGTGTAGAGCGGAGCCAAAGCAGCCCTAAGGCCCATAACGTTAAAGATGTTACTGGTACCCATTGCCCTTGCACATGATGTCGTTTAAGATTTCTTCCCACTTGTTCCCAGAGCTCTAGGTCTAGTGTGCCTTCTTCTGGGAAAACAAGTTTGTATTAGGTCCCTTAACTGGGCCTCCGAGACCAAGGCTCTACTTTAAGCAGCTGTTTCAATACTTTTATATACTGTTGCTGTTGAGCTTATAACTGTTGTCCCATGATGAAACCCTAGCTTGAAAATCCCCTCAAACTTGGAAATCCCCAGCAGGCACCAATTACTTACTGCGCAGTCACTTCACTTTTGTTTTCAAGGGTTCTGTCGCGATCCATTGCAGCGTTCCTCACGTGGGGCACCACCTGCCAGGTCTGTCCCGCAGACCCTGGCCGATGGATGAAATGAGTCCTCAGACACAGGTATGCAGTGTAAAAGCAGCTAGGTGACTGCTTGGCTCTAGTGGCTACAGAGCAGCCCCAAGAAGCTGGAGCTGCTCTTTTTTTTGTTTGTTTGTTTTTTGAGACAGAGTCTCGCACTGTCTCCTGAGCTGGAATGCAATGACATGATCTCGGCTCACTGCAACCTCCGCCTCCCGGGTTCAAGTGACTCTTCCACCTCAGCCTCCCGAGTAGCTGGGATTACAGGCATGTGCCATCACACCCAGCCAATTTTTTTGTATTTTTGGTAGAGACGGGGTTTCACCGTGTTAGCCAGGATGACCTCAATCTCCTGACCTCATGATCTGCCTGCCTTGGCCTCCCAAAGTGCTGGGACTACAGGCGTGAGCCACCACACCCAGCCCTGGAGCTGTTTGCTTTTATTCAGTGCAGGCACAATGCCAAAAACCTGGAGCCAACACAACCTGCAGATAATTAACATTTATTGTTCCCCTTTCAGGGAACACTCACAGATGATAAAAGGTCAGTTCCTGGTCAACAAGCCTATTTAAGATAAACTCCCCCCACTCCCTTGTACCTACTCCTTGCCCTCTGCCTCAGGGTTATCTATAACAGCTGCCTTCAGCTATTCTCCCCCAGGGCTCTGCAGAACCTTCCGACCTTTCAGAAGGTCTGCGTCCTTTCCCTATAGTTTTTGCCACCACTCTGACAGATCCCCTATACTTAAGGTTAAATGAAGTCATAAGGATAGGGTCCTTACCCGATAGGATTGGTGGCCTTATAGAAGAGAAAGAGTTTTCTCTCTCTTTCCCCTCACACACGTGCATATGCATTACAGAAAGGCCATGTGTTGACATAGAAGAAAGCAACCATCTGCAAGCCATGAAGAGGACCCTCACCAGCAACTGACCCTGCCAAACCTTCATCAGGGAGTTAGTTAGCAGCCTCCAGAATTGTGAGAAATACATTTCTGTTGTCAAAACCACCCAGTTCATGGTATTTTGTTACAGCAGCCTGAGCAGACTAATACAACAAACATAGTTGAAGATGTCAACACACCTCTCTCAGCAATCAATAGAACAACTAGACAGAAAATAAGTAAGGAGATAGAAAAATTCAACACCACCACCAACCAACAGGATCTCATTGACATTTATAGAACAATCTAGCCAACAACAGCAGAACACATGGTCATTTTAAGTGCCCATGGAACATACACTAAGGTCATTTCCTGGGCCATAAAACTAACCTCGACAAATTTAGAAGAATTAAAATCATACACTAGCCAGGTGTGGTGGCTCACACCTGTAATCCCAGAACTTTGGGAGGCCAAGATGGGTGGATCATTTGAGGTCAGGAGTTCGAGAGCAGCTTGGCCAACATGGTGAAACCCTATTTCTACTAAAAATACAAAAAAAAAAAAAAAATAGTTGGGTGTGCCCAGCTACTCAGGAGGCTGAGGCAGGAGAATCGCTTGAACCTGGGAGGCAGAGTTGCAGTGAGCCGAGATTGTGCCACTGTACTCCAGCCTGGGCAACAGAGCAAGACTCCATCTCAAAAAAAAAAAAAAAAGAATTAAAATAATATACAGTGTGTTCTTCGACCACAGTAGGGTCAAAGTAGAAATCAATAGCAATTAAGATAGGAAATTCTCTAAACACTTGGAAATAACACACTTCTAAATAATCCGTGGGTCAAAGAGCCAATCTCACGGGAAATAAAAATATACATTAAAATGAATGAAAATAAAATATTTCAAAATTTGTAGGACAAGGCAAAGCAGCACTGAGAGGGACATTTATAGCACTAAATGCAAACATTAGAAAAGAGAAAAAGCCTCAAATCAATAATCTAAGCTCCTCTCCCAAGAATCTTGAAAAAGAAGTGCAAATAAAAATAAATTCAAAATAAGCAGAAGGAAGGAAAAATAAAGATAAAATCATAAATCAGTGAAATGGAAAACAGAAAACAATAGAAAAAAATCAATGAGCCGGGCGTGGTGGCTGCCACCTGCAATCCCAGCACTTTGGGAGGCTGAGGTGGGCGGATCACTTGAGGTCAGGAGTTTGAGACCAGCCTGGCCAACATGGTGAAACCCCATCTCTACTAAAAATACAAAAATTAGCTGGGCATAGTGGTGCACACCTGTAATCCCAGCTACTCAGGAGGCTGAGGCAACAGAATTGCTTGAACCCAGGAGGCGGAGGTTGCAGTGAGCCGAGATCGTGCCACTGCACTCCAGCCTGGGGTGACAGAGCAAGACTCCATCTCAAAAAAAAAAAAAAAAGACAACAATGAAACAAAGAGCTGTTTTTTTGTTGTCTTTTATTTTATTTTTTATTTTTTGAGACAGAGTCTTACTCTGTCACCCAGGCTGAGTGCAGTGGTGCAATCTCGGCTCACTGCAACCTCTGCCTCCCAGGCTGAAGCGATTCTTCTGCCTCAGCCTCCTGAGTAGCTGGGATTACAGGCGCGTGCCACCACGCCCGACTAATTATTATTATTTTTTGTACTTTTAGTAGAGACGGGCTTTCACCACATTGGTCAGGCTAGTCTTGAACTCCTGACCTCGTGATCCACCTGCCTCTGCCTCCCAAAGTGCTGGGATTACAGGCATGAGCCACCACGCCCAGCCAAGAGCTGGTTTTGTATATATAAATATCAATAAAATTTAGAAACCTATAGCCAAACTGACCCAAAAAACGAGAGAAAACATAGATGACCAATATCAAAATCAAATGGGCTATCACTATTGACCCTGCAAACATCAAAAGAATAATCAGAGAATACTATGCAGAGTTTGTCATATATAAATGGGACAACTTAGACCAAATAGATCAACTCCTCGAAAAACACACTGTCACAACTCAACCAGTGTGAAACAGATCATTCAAGCCTTATAAGTGTTGAATCTATAATTCTATTTTTTATCTTATTTTATATTCTGAGACAGGTTCTCTGTCGCCCAGGCACTGCAGCCTCGACCTCCCAGGCTCAAGCTACCCTCCTATCTCAGCCTCCTGGATAGCTAGGACCACAGGCATGCACCACCATACCCGGCCAATTTTTAAATTTTTTGTAAAAACAGGTCTCAATATGTTGCACAGGCTGGTCTCAAACTCCTGGGCTCAAATGATCCTCCTGCCTTGGCCTCCCAAAGTGCTGAGATTACAGGCATGAGCTGCCATGCTGGCCTGAATCCATAATTAAAAAAAAAACAAATCTCTAAGTTGAGGTAATTTCACCAGAGAATTCTATCAAATGTTTAAAGAATTAAAACCAATTCCATGCAATCTGTTTTGGAAAACAGAAGGGAATGCTTCCTGATTCATTTATTCTATGAGGTTGACATAACCCTGATACCAAAACCAGACAAAGGAAATAGAAAAAAGAAAATTACAAACCAACACCCCTCAAGTATATAGGCACCAAAAAAATCCTTAACAAAATATTGGCAAATAGAATTTGTGTATGTGCATGTGTGTGTATGTGTGTAGGATTATACATCATGACCAAGTAGAGTTTGTTCCAGGGCTGTGAGGCTGGTCACTATTTGAAGCTCAATCAATGTAATCCAACATATAGTCTAATAAACTAAAGAAGAATAAAAATATATCAATTGAGGCAGAAAAAAGTTTGACAAAATTCAACACCTGTTTGATAAAAACTCTCAGAAAAATGGAAATAGAGGATGAACAATAGCTCCCCAAATGTATCCACATCCTAATGAACGGAACCTGTGAATATGTTACCTTATATGAAATGGTACTTTGCAGATGTGATTAAATCAAAGATCTTGAGATGGAGGGTTTGCCCTGTCTGGAAGAGCCTGATGTAGTCACAAAGGCTACTAAAAGAGAGAAGTGATGATGACAGCAAAGGTTGTAGTGATGTGCTTTGAACATGGAGGAAAGGGCTACAAGCCAAGGAATAAGGTGTGCCCTAAATCCAATTGCAAGTATTCTTATAAGAGGCAGAGGGAGATTTGGTATACACAGAAAAGAACCATATGATTTCCATGTAACCATGGAGGCAAAGATTGGCATAATGGGGCCACATGTCAAGGAATGTCAGCAGCTACCAGAAGCTGGAAGAGGCAAGAAACAGATTCTTCCCTAGAGCATCCAGTGGACATATGGTCCTGCCAACACCTTGATTTTAGCCTGATGAAGCTGATTTATGGACTCTAGAACTGTGAAATAATATATTACTGTTGTTTTAAGCTACCTAACTTGTGATGATTTGTTACACAAGCCAAAGGAAACAATTATGTCCATCCCTAGAGCCCCAAGAAGGAATTCAGCTCTGTATATTAATTTTAGCCCATGAAACACATTTCAGACTTCTCACATCCAGAACTATAAAAGAATAAATTTGCATTATCTTAAAGCACTAAATTTGTGGTATATTGTTATAATAGCAATACAATACTAATTCAGACAGGAACTTCCTCAACTTGATAAAGAGCATCTACAGAAAACCTGCAGCTAACATTATATTTAATGGTGAAAGACTCAATGTTTTTCCTCCTAAGACTGGGAACAGGGAAAGGATGTCTACTCTCACCAGTCTTATTAAACAAAGTGCTGGAAGTTCTAGCCAGTGCAATAAGGCAGGAAAAAGAAATAAAAGATATTCATATCAGAAAGAAGGAAAATGGTCTCTATTTGCAGCTTATATGACCATCTACGCAGAAAATTCCAAAAAAAAACTACAGAAAAACTAGAATAAATTAGTTAAGCAAGGTCATAGGATACATGATAAACATATAAAAAGCAATTGTATTTCTATACTAGCAATGAATATGTGGAAATATGATTTAAAATAAAAAACCATTAAGGATAAATATGACATGATTACACTTATATGAGGTATCTAAAATAATCAAACTCATAAAAGCAGAGAGTAAGGTGGTGGTTGCCAGGGGCTGAGGGGAGAAGAAAATGGGGAATTATCCAATAGATGTAAAGTTTCAGTTATGCAAAATCAGTAAGTTCTAGAGATCCGCTGTATAACAAAGTACCTACAGTTAATAATATGGTATTGTGCACTTTATGTTAAGAGGCTAAAACTTAAATGTTCTTAGCAAAAAGCAAAACAAAACAAAAAAACACATGGAAGTTTTTGGAAATGATGGATATGTTTGGTACTTTGTGGTGAAAGTATCATGGGTCTATGCATATGTCCAAACTCATCAAGATGTATCCATTAAATATGGGCATTATTTGTGTATCCATTTTACTTCATCAAAGCTTAATATTAAAAAATAAACACCATTTGCAATCACTCAAAAAATGAAATCCATATGTGTAAATCTAACAACATACATACTAAACTTGTGTGTTAAAAACTATGCAATGCTGATAAAAGATCTACATTGATCACATAGGAATTTCAGATTTAGAAACTTTTTGAGGCTAAGAAGCCAAATCAAGGCAGATTTTAGATTTTACCTATAGTCTTAAGGTTCTTGGGCCTGCTAGAAAGTGATAGTTTTTACTCATTAACTGTCAGGCTGGAGGCTGGGCACAGTGGCTTATGCCTGTAATCGCAGTACTTTGGGAGCTGAGGTGGGTGGATCATCTGAGGTCAGGAGTTCGAGACCAACCTGACCAACATGGTGCAACCTTGTCTCCACTAAAAATACAAAAATTAGCCAGGCGTGGTGGCATGCGCCTGTAGTCCCAGCTACTCGGGAGGCTGAGAACCTGGGAGGTGGAGGTTGCAGTGAGCCAACATTGTGCCATTGCACTCCAGCCTGGGCAACAAGAGTGAAACTCCATCTAAAAAACAAAAAACAAAAACAAAAAAACAAAAAACAAAATAAAACAAAACAACAGCTGGGTGTGGTGGCTCATGCCTGTAATCTCAGGCCAAGGCAGGCAGATCACTTGCAGCCAGGACTTCAAGACCAGCCTGGCCAACATAGTGAAACCCCATCTCTACTAAAAATACAAAAACTAGTTGGGGGTGGTGGCAGGCACCTGTAATCCCAGCTACTCGGGAAGCTGAGGCACGAGAATCGCTTGAACCCAGGAGGTGAGGCGGAGATTGCAGTGAGCCGAGATCATGCCACTGCACTTCAGCCTGGGTGACAGAATGAGACTCCGTCTCAAAAAAAAAGAAAAAAAGAGAACATATACATAATTAAAATCAGAAATAAGAGTGGGGAAATTACTACCAACTTTACAAAAACAAAAAGGATTATAAGAGTATACTATGAACAATCCATATGTAAAAAATTAGATAACCTAGATAAAATAGACAAAATCCTAGGCATATCAATTACCAAAATGGATTCAGCACGAAAAAGAGAATCTAAATACAAGTAAAGAGTTTGGTAATCAAAACTTCCCAACAAAGAAAAGTCCAGTACTACATGGCTTCACTGGTGAATTCTACCACTCATTTAAAGAATTAACACCAATCCTTCTCGAACTCTTCCTCCCCCAAAAAACAGAAGAGGCCAGCATTACTTTGATTCCAAAGCCAGACAAAGACACCACAAGAAAACTACAGACCAATATCTCTTATGAATACAGATGCAAAAATCCTCCACAAAGCACTAGCAAACTGAATCCAACAGCATATTAAAAGGATTATGCACCATGATCAAATGGGACTTATCCCACAAATGCAGTATTGATTCAATATAAGAAAAATCAAGGCCGGGTGCGGTGGCTCACGCCTGTAATCCCAGCACTTTGGGAGGCCGAGGCAGGTAGATCACGAGGTCAAGAGATCGAGATCATCCTGGCTAACACGGTGAAACCCCGTCTCTACTAAAAATACAAAAAGAAATTAGCCGGGCATGGTGGCGGGTGCCTGTAGTCCCAGCTACTCGGGAGGCTGAGGCAGGAGAATGGCATGAACCTGGGAGGCGGAGTTTGCAGTGAGCCGAGATCGTGCCACTACACTCCAGCCTGGGCGATAGAGTGAAACCCCATCTCAAAAAAAAAAAAAAAAAAAGAAAATCAAACAACATATCATTAATAGACTGAAGGAAGAAAAGCATATGATTATCTCAATTGATGCAGAAAAAGCATTTGACAAAATCCAAGGCAAAGTGTGGTGGCTCATGCATGTAATCTCAACATTTTAGGAGGCCAAGATGGGAGGATCTTTTGGGCCCAGGAATTTGAGACCAGTGTGGGCCACACAGTGAGACCTCATCTCTACAAAAAATACAAAAATTAGCCAGGCATGATGGCACACGCCTATAGTCCCAGCTACTCAAAAGGCTGTGGCAGGAGGATCACTTGAGGCCAGGAGGTCAAGGCTACAGTAAGCCGTGATCGCCCCACTGCACTCCAGCCTGGGTGACAGAGCGAGACCCTATCTACAAAAAAAGAAAAAAAAAAAAATCAAACAAAAAACTCAATACCGTTTCATGATTAAAAAAAAAAATTGTGAGCAAACTAAATAGAAGACAACTTCCTCAACACGATAAAAGGTATTTATGAAAAATCCATAGCTAACTGTATACTCAATGGTGAATGACTGAAAGCTTTCCCCCTAAGATCAGGATGCAAGACAAGTGCTTTTATCACTGCTATTAGACATTGTACTGGAAGTTCTAGCCAGAGAAATTAGGCAAGAAAAATAAATAAAAGGGATCAGAATTAGGAAAAAAAAATGCAAAACTATTCCTATTCTCAGATAACATGATCTCATATGTAGAAAATACTAAAGAATTCACAGAGTATTTGATATAATAAACTCAGTGAAGTTGCAGGGTACAAGATCAACAAACAAATTGGTTTTACTTTTATACACTGCCAATGCACAATACGAAACAGAAATTAAGAGAACAATTCTATTAACAATTACATCCAAATGAATAAAATACTTAGGAATAAATTTAACCAAGGAAGTGCAAGGCTTGTACACTGAAAACTATAAAAGGTTGCTGAAAGAAATTAAAGACCTAACAAAAGGAAAAGACATTCTGTGTTCATGGATGGGAAGACAAGATAGCAATACTCCCCAAATTTATATATATATATCTCCTTATCAAAAATTCCAACTTCCTGTTTTACAGAAATGGATCCTAAAATTCATATGGAAATGGAAGGGATAGCCACATAATCTTGAAAAACAACCAAGCTGGAGAACTTATACTTCCTAATTTCAAAACTTACAAAGCTTACAGTAATCAAAACAATATCTTACTGGCATAAGGATAAACATATAGATAAATGGCATAAAATAGAGTCCAGAAATAAACCCTTGCATATATGGTCAATCGATTTTTGACAACAGTCAAAGACCAAGACCATTCATCAATGGGAATAGGACAGTCTCTTCAACAAATAATGCTAGGAAAACTGGATGTCCACATACAAAAGAATAAAGCTGGATCTGTTCCTTACACCATATACAAATACTAACTCAAAATGGTAGTTTCTCAATAAATTAAGCAGGGATTACCATAGAACTCAGCAATTCTATTCCTGGATATATGGGTAGACACTCAAAAACATAGAAGACAGGTGTTCAAACAAAAACTTATGTATGAGTTTTGTAAATAACGCCAAGTGTTCACTGTGGCATTGTTTACAAAAGCCAAAATGCTCAGCTCTATATGTTGAAAGGTACACATAGCCAGAGAAGAGAAAACTAAGGGCTTGCTGGCTTCTCAGCTAGTTGAGGGCTGAAGTCATACCCATGGACTAATGAGTGGATAAGCAAAATGTGGTATATTCATGTGACAGAATATTACTTAGCTATAAAAAGAATGAACTACCAATACATGCTAGAACACAAATGAATGTTGAAAAATGAGTGAAAGAAGCCAGTCACAAAAAGCTACATATTATATGATTCCATTTATAGGAAATATTCAGAGTCAGAAAGCCCATTGAGACAGAAAGATTAGTGGTTGCCAGGGGAAGGGAATGGGGGAAAATGGGCAGTGACTGGTTACTGGAATGGGATTTCCTTTGGTGGTGATGAAAATGTTCTAGAACTAGTTAGTCGTGATGGCTGTACAACATTCTGAATGTACTCAATGTCACTAATAGCTTTCATATTACATGTATTTTCTCCACAATTTAAAATACAAATATACATTTTTTTAAAATTCCCTCAAACCAGTGGGCAGGATTGAATGGAGCTATCTTTCCTTGTTTAGGGACAAGATCCCTGTCTCCTCCATGAGAAAGCATAAGAAAATAAATTCAAATTTTCTAAGGTACTGATGAGTCCCTATTTTAATTGTGAAGTACAAAGCAAGGTTCTATTATCAGTCCAGGGTCTGCACCTGCCAACTGGACAATCTTCTTCCCAGGAATCCCTTCAGAGTACTTTTACCTCTAAAATAATGAGGTTTCCAAAACGTGGATTTTTTAAAAATTCAAATTAATAGTTACAAATCAGAGAATCCAACTGGGCAAGCCTCACTGTTTATTAAACATACCACTTTATCTGGGCTTCCCCATCCTGAAGCTGTCTAGTTATAAGACGAAAAATGCAAATGATCCAGGCCCTCCAGCTTTTCTAGTCATAGTAAAAGTCACATTGTGTTGATCTAGCTCTGTCACCTACCTAGGATCTACCCTCTAAAAAAGGAAATCAATTAGAAGGAAACACTGGGCCTAATGGAACTCAAATCCCCCTTCTGTTGTTCTTCCTAGATTAGGTGTGTTAACACTCAGCAACTTCCATCACCTAAAATGATGAGAACATTGTTTTTCTTCACCTTGCCTTGAGAACACATAATTGAATTTCCATTTTCTAAATCTGAACTGAACATTTTCTTCATTTCAGCCATACTAGGTTGGAGCTGGTCTGCTGCAGTCAGCCTGAAAATGAGTTGGTCTCTACAATCTCAGGAGACAAGCCCAAATCCTTCCTAGAACCTCTCTTATTTGTGATGCCAACAACAGCTTACAACCACAACTGCCCAGAATGGAGAAGCCAGAAGGATGGAGGCTGCTCCACCTCTGAATGCCCACATCACCTCTGCCTGGAAAAACCGGGTGTTCTAAGCTTAGAGATGAGGGAAAGGAGACTTACTGGGCTAGAGAACAGGACCAGAATAAACTTGATACAAGTGAGTCACAGACCTAACTGTCCAAGTCTGAACTCTGGATAACTTGAGAGAGAGGTCCCATGAACTCTGAACTTGTCCTCAACAGAATGCTTGCTTGTAGCCAATATCCATTTTCATCCAGCCCCGGGTATGCATATTGCTTCAGACCATGCAACAGAAGAGGAAACTAAGGCTCTTAATATCCCTTGACTTCTTGTTGCATTCTCTGAAACCTTTAGGGAAATTTGGTCCTAGAAATGAACTAACTTCCCTAAACCATGTCCTCTCCTGAGGTGAACTGGACAAAACAAAGGCTTCCAAAAGAAACCCTTATATTCACAATTTGGATAATTCCAGAGGTCTAAGAGCTCCCCAGGAGTAATGCTTTACCCTTAAAGAAAATAAGGCTAGCACCTGGGTATCTTGGCTGTTCAGCTCTATATGTTGAAAGGTACACATAGCCAGAGAGGGGAAAACTGAGGGCTTGCTGGCTTCTCAGCTAGTTGAGGGCTGAAGTCATTAGGGCTTGGCCTCAGCTGCAGCACAGGAAAAATGGAGGATTTCTTGCACTTAAGAAGTTTATTAATGAATGGGTATGGACCAGTTGGTGTTTACATGCTTGATCCCTACAGCCTTGGTGTACTGGCTGCAGGGCCTGGGATAGAAGCTCACTGTCTGCTGGTCACTGGTGATGTTACTCCAGGAAGATGATGGGCCTCCTCTTGGGTCCAAGGTACCAGGGCTCTGAGCCGACGCTATCAAACAGACTCCACTTTTGTTTCCAGTGCCTGGGCTGGGGAAATGAGGGTTTTTAGGATCTCAGTGTAGTAGGGACCAAACACCTGCTGATTGTGATGTGTCAAGTTGACAAACTTTTGGCCCAGTTCTGCCAGTTCTGCTTCAATGAGAGTAAGGCCTCCAGGAAGGTCTAATAGAGACCGCTGCACACCAAGAACCAAACAGCATTTGAGAAACAAATGGATCCGCTGATCTGTGAGCAGGAAAAGACACTGATAAGGGAAAAGGCAAACAGATTTCAGGGAGAAAATTCCCCCTGCACTCTACTCACCCATGTTCTA
Source organism: Homo sapiens (assembly GCF_000001405.40). Classification (NCBI taxonomy): domain Eukaryota; kingdom Metazoa; phylum Chordata; class Mammalia; order Primates; family Hominidae; genus Homo; species Homo sapiens. The sequence continues at coordinate 35,118,590 of NC_000006.12, forward strand.
AGTTAACAGATATGTACCAACCTGCCCCCCTACCTAGAGATAATGAAATTTGTTTTGTTTGGAAAGGGGGCTGCTATCTTGCTCTCAAGGACAAATATAAAAAACTAGTGTGTTAGTAAATTTCAGATTATTCAAAAGATTGTTTAAGTAGCCATCAGTTAGATCCTAGTGAGTGTTTGACATAACAGGAGGAACTTAGACTGATCCTTCAGATGGCTAAGGTTAGGAGCAGGCTGGCCAAGTTCATGGCCTCCACTCCAGCATGAGGGTAGGGGATTCCCCACTATAGGAACATGTCTTCCAGCTAAATTCAGCATTAGTTTCTTGTTGGGAGATGGGGGAATGTCAGATTTCTTGGGTGCCATCAGAGAATGACCTGTAGGCCCAAGTGACTTAACCAGGTCGGCTGGACATATCCCACACCTAGAAGTCATGAATTTCTGGGTGCAAATCATCCTGAGAACCACAGTTAGTCTTTAAACTGAGACGGATATGATTTCAACCCAGCATTTTGAAAAAAATCAAGGCTAAACAATGACGTACCTAATGACCATGCTTCATGTTGTTAAAGGTTGGGGTTCCACGGTTGGGATCTATCTCTTCCCTCACCATTCTTACTACCCCACAAGCATACTCACCAATAACACTGCAGACACAGTTCTCCTTCTTGGCAATGTTCTGGAGCTGTCCCATTAGAGATGCTGTATTATCACTGCTTAGAGCAACAAGGCCCATATTCTTGAGGCTTTGATGGATTTCCTGAGATACCTGTTCACTCACAGTCAGTATAGCTTCCTCAGGCCTAGACCATGAAAGAAAGTAAGCTGGCACCCACCAGGTAACCCTGGCATAGGCCCAGGGCCCAGCATGCTGTATACCAGATGCCAGGCCCACTTGAGGGAGAATGTCAGCCACCCTCTCCACCCCTAAACCCCAGCCCCTGGCAGGCTATAGGGCCCAGTGGGTAGGTACAATGTCCTCACTGTAACCCTCAAGACACCAGCTATTCTCTATATGTGGCACTGTGTTCTACTTCTTAGCAAACAAGGTAAATGATAAAATCAACTCTGGAAAAGTATTTAGTTGTGCTCTTGGATCCACTCAGCATTCTTTAGTCCCATGGACTTTATTTTTATATATATATGTTTAAGACTTTCTTAGGCATTTTCCAGAATCATCTGTCCCACCTCATCAGTTATAACTACAACCTGGCCTTCTGATTCCTCTTTTTCCTTTGGTGTGATGGCCTGCACACAGCGGGATGTTCAATAAATATTGCTGACCGACTGACCAAGTCCTGGATATATGTGATGATACCAGCCCACAGTCACCACTCAACTAGATAATGACCCTTTTGCAGCAAACTATCTTCCACACCCTTTTTGGAAGAAAGGTTTTTTTTTGTTACACCCTCATGACCACTTATGGAAAGAAACCAACAATCTTTGTAGATGGTTCCACAGGGCCTTTCTGTGGTTTGTGGTAGACAGTAAGCAATCGTTCATTACCTGCCTATGTTCTAAATACCACATATCACCTTCTACTCTAAAAAGTAACTATGCAGCTCACCTGGAGTGAAAGTCTTCCAACAAGGATTTGGTTATGCGTTTCAGTTTATCTACAAATTGGGGTGAGCCAAACAAAACACTGCCGGAGAAACTACTGGCCACCAGCAAGACTGAGGCCATGACGGTTAACTGGTGCAACTGGGACTTCAGCTCCTGCAGCCGGGTTCTGTCCATCAGCAGGGTCTGGGAACCAGGGAAGAACAGGCTGTCAGGGGAAGTCCCGATGGAAGCCCTGAACACAAAACAAGGCAATGCCCCCAGACATTCCTACCTCAGGGAACTCTTCATTTTCAAGGTCCCAGAGAAGGAGGTTCAAGAAGCCCTGACACAGCACCATTGTGGGGCTGAGGGGCTCTGGGTTGTTGGCTGCCTCATTGGGAGAGGGGCCAGCCACACTGGAGGAGTCAGAAGTGTCTGGGCAAGTCGGAGGTGACATGGTGAGGTCTCCTGCTGCTTGGGTCAGCCATTTGGTGGTGTGATTAAGGAGACCTATGACAGGTAAGGGAGTGTGTAAGCATCTTTAGCATCTTCATCTCTGAGGCTTCAAGACCAAGGTTCTTTTCAAGTATACTCCTGGTCAATAAATAAATGCTTTGAGGGTCTTTCTGTCTTAGATAAATGTTCCTTCTCCCTCCCTTCACCTAATAAGCAACTTTCTATTCCTAAAAAGAGATAGAGTACTCTCTAACATTATAAAAGTCAGACCCAAGGTAATACCTTTCCCACTCCTGCCCTCACATTATATACATACTAGGCTGCTTATTGAGGAGTTCCTGGAATTTAGCCCGTTCATACTGAATGGAATGTTCCTGCAGGTGGGGTTGAAGGCTCTGGATAGTGTAGTTCACCATGTCCATTTTCATCCGGCCCAGAACCTGGAAGATCCCTCTGACACAGGGGGAAAGAGAATATTTATACTACTAAGCTAGAAACCCACCCAAGGAGTCATTAAATCACTGTATTTTAGAGTTAGGAGGGGCTTAAGACTAACTTAGTCTTACCTCCTACATTTTCAGAAGATAACATGTGGCCCAGAACCCAATACCCAGGGTGAGTCAGTGGCAGAATTGGGAACAGCTAAGTCTCTGGACCTTGAAGCCTTCAGTCTAGATCTCCTTCACTATGGTCATTCTGTTGCCTCTTAAAAAGGGTAGTCAGTGGAAAGAAATACACCAGCATGCTAACAATTCTCTTCAGGAAGTAGGATTATAGGTGATGCTATTTCTGACTCACTGGACCAACTGCTTTTTTTTTTTTTTTTTTAAACTTTCTGGGTCTTGGTTCCTAGAGTTGTGAAATACGGATGACCACTCATCACTGTCTCCTCATAGTGTGTGAACCGAAAGAAGAGAAAACCTGGGAAAGGGCCCGAGGGCTGGGCAAGGTCGCTCATGCCTGTAATCCCAGCACTTTGGGAGGCCGAGGTGGGTGAATCACCTGAGGTCAGGAGTTTGAGACCAGCCTGGCCAACATGGTGAAACTTTGTCTCTATTAAAAATACAAAAGTTAGCCAGGTGTGGTGGTGTGCACCTGTAGTCCCAGCTACTCGGGAGGCTGAGGCAGGAGAATCGCTTGAACCCAGGAGGCACAGGTTGCAGTGAGCTGAGATCTCACTGCTGTACCTGGGCAACAAGAGTGAAACTCCATCTCAAAAAAAAAGAAAGAAAAAAAAAAACCTGGGAAAGGGATGTTTTAACTCCTTAAAAGAAAGAAGTATGTACTGTAGTGTCTTATGGTATTACAGAGGGGGGGCCCAATCAAGCTAAGGATAACCAAAAGGCCCTGTGGGGCCATCTTTGGAAAAGAAGAGTGAATTGACCAGAGGGGAGAAAAAGGGTGTTAGTCAGGTCTTTAGCAGGGAAGAGCTGGTCAAGACGATGGCTATAATCTAGGTCTGGCCCAGCTTTTCCGGGCTCAGGGGCTAAAGCAGGTTTTTGGGGGCAGTATCAAGTTTCATACCTCAGTAGCCAAACAGGATCCGTAATGTTTTCTAGTTTCTGCACTGCTTCATCTCGAACTGGTGCACACAGCAAAGCCATCATGTTGAGAACGTACTTAGAGAGATAGAGGACTTTCAGGGCCCCATGTTCTGCCTCCTGCTTGAGCAAGTCCATGTCCAGAGCTTCTTCAATCTCAATTCTCAGGCGGTTCTGGCGTGGTAATAGCAGTGATAGCAAGATCTGCCCAGGAAAGAAAGTCAAAGGAGTTGATCTGTTTAGATCCCCAAACTTTATCCAATGGGCAATCCCTTTAGCTAAAGACATACCAGCCTATGTTTTTTAAGGATCAAGAAGTTGGGTCCCTAAATTTCCCATGGAATATTATTTATCTTTGTTTAGAGGCCGGTGACAATTCAAGGATCAAGGGGATCAATTACAGGAATAGTATATCATTTTCTAGGCAGAATGAGATATAGAGATGAATAAAATCAAGGAGTGTGGTAAAAAGACATACGGGGTACAACAAATATAAAATACCCACCATCACATGGTGATGACGTCTCTTAACTTTAAAAGGGAGGCATTTTTTAGATTATTTTACTTCAAAGGGCAAGGATGAAATAGGCATAGGAGCTGTTGCAAGTCACTGAAATAGCCTATTAACCCCCAAAATAAGTTCATGGTAAACAGGGACTCTTATTCATCCCCTGCCTCTGTAACACACAGGACATGGTGGGGGCCTAGGGTATAGGATTCAATGAATATTTAATTGAATAGAATATGGTGTTGTCATAGCAAGATCTCAACTGTTTACCTTCATGTTAAACAAATAAAATCAAAGTTGCTCCATACTATCTACTTTAATTGCCAAACTCTGCCAGTTACCAATTTGGAGCCTCTCAGCTCCAAATCTACCCTTCAGTGCCTACTCTGCAAAAACGGAGCTGGGCCCTTGAATTATTTTTCCTTTGCTAGCTGACACAATGTTAGATTTTTGTCAAAAGAGGGTGGTAAAAAGAAACTGCAAGAGAAAAGGGCCTTCCTTCTTGGCTCTGGTATGCTCCTCTCAGCAAGCTCCTGCATTGTGGAAGCTTCTTTGTTCAAATTACTGCATGGTTTCTGCCTCTTGATTGGCTCTGACTGGTAAAAAGTTGAGTGAGGTTTGATGACCAGCAAGTTTCAAGTACTTTAGATGCCTTAAACACATGCAAACTTGAGGATAGCAGATGATCTCCACAAAAATTCAGGGGCCTGTCACCTCAGTAAAGTTTCTAGAGTTTCAGTGGTCAGGAGCTTTTCAAGTGATATCCTCCAAGGTGAAGGACAAATTGCTGTACCTGAACCACCCACCATTAAAAAAAAGGCATAACACTTAGTAGGCCTTTTATAATATTTTTTTTCTTTTGAGACAGAGTTTCAATCTGTTGCTCAGGCTGAAGTGCAGTGGCATGATCATGGCCTCCAACTCCTGAGCCCAAGTGATCCTCCCACCTCAGCCTCCTGAGTAGCTAGGACTACAGGCACATGTCACCATGTCCAGCTTAGTTTTCTTTCTTTTTTTTTTTTTTTTTGGAGAGATGGGGTCTCGCTGTGTTGCCAGGCTGGCCTCAAATTCCTGGTCTCAATCTATCCTCCTGCCTTGGCCTCCCAAAGTGCTGGGATTATAATCATAAGCCACTACACCTGGTCCTCCTTTTTGGATTCTTTTGAGACAGAGTCTCACTCTGTTGCCCAGGCTGGAGTGTAGTAGCATGATCACAGCTCACTGCAGCCTCAACCTCCTGGGCTCAAGTGATCCTCCCACCTCAACCTCCTAAGTAGCTGGAACTACAGGTATGACCACCATGCCCAGCTAATTAAAAAGATTTTTTTTTTTCTAGAGATGGAGGTCTTGCTGTGTTGTCCCTGCTGGTCTTGAACTCCTGGGCTCAAGAAACTTACCCTCCTTGGCCTCTCAAAGTGCTAGAATTACAGGCCTGAGCCACCACAGCCAGCCCCTTTTCGGATTTTTGAGGCAACATGCACCACATTTGTGTTTGCTACTTTGACATTCATTTGAGTGATTTTGATTTATTTAGAATCACTCGAGGTTACCCATATGTCGTGGGGGATGGGGGAGTGCTAACTAACTAGAGCAAGAGTAGGCTCTGCAGCAAGTTTAGACTGTAGTACAAGCCACTCTACCATTTGGGCCTTATGATCCTGCAGATCCAATGACACTTTAAGTGTCCATAGCAAATAAGGGTGCTGTACAGAATGTCTTGCAAGCACCAATAAGGGAACCACACATGGACCTTTAGGAATTGGGAGCAAATCTATTCCTTCTTTAATGATAATTATTCACCTTTTGAGAAACAACTTCTTGGGCCTTGGTAGAAAGTAAACACCTTACTATAGAACACTGGGTAACCATGTGGCCTAAGCTTCCCATCAGGAATTAGGTATTGTCTAACTTACGTAGCTACAAGACTGGACATGCACAGCAGCAATCTATTATCAAATGAAAATGGCTTATAAGAGACCAAGCATATACTGGTAATAAGAACAGATACACAGACCAAAAGAATAGAGAGCTGATAAATAAAACCTGGATATATAAGGTCAAATGATTTTCAACAACAATGCCAAGAACCAATGGGGAAAGGACAGTCTTTTCAACAAATGGTGCTGGGAAAACAGGATATTCACATGCAAAAGAACAAAGTTGGACCTTTACCTTACCCCCATATAAAAATATTAATTCAGTTGTGCACATGTACCCTAAAACTTAAAGTATAATAAAAAATATATATATATATTAATTCAAAATGGTAGTGGCTCACGTCTGTAATCCCAGCACTTTGGGAGGTCGAGGCAGGCGGATCACCTGAGGTCAGGAGTTTGAGACCAGCCTGAGCAAAATGGTGAAACCCCATCTCTACTAAAAATACAAAAAATTAGCCGGGCGTGATAGTGCACACTTGTAATCCAGCTACTACTTGGGAGGCTGAGGTGGGAGAATAGCTTGAACCAGGGAGGCAGAGATTGCAGTGGCCAAGATCGCACCACTGCACTACAGCCTGGGTGACAGAGCAAGACTCTGTCTCAAAAAAAAAAAAAAAAGAAAGAAAAAAGAAAAAAAGGACCTAAACATAAGAGCTAAAACTACAAAACTCTTTGGAGAAAACATAGGTGTAAATATTCATGATCTAGGATTTGGCAGGATTTGACACCAAAAGCATAAAATTCAATAAAAGACAATCCAATTTAAAAATGGACAAAGTACCTGAGTAAACATTTCTTTGAAGAAGATGTACAAATAGCCAACAAACACACGAACAGATGCTCAATATCACTAGCCATTAAGAGAAATGCAAGTCAATGAGATACCACTTCACACCCATTAGAATGGCCATTACCAAAAATGGAAAACAGCAAATGCTGGCTAGGATGTGGAGAAATTGGAACCCTGGTACATTGCTGGTAGGAATATAAAATGGTGTGGCTACAACAGAAAACAGTTTGGCAGTTCCTCAAAAAGTTAAACATAGAATTACCATAGGATCCAACAATTCCAACTTTAGGTATATACCCAGAAAAATTAAAAGCAGGGACTCAAATATATACTTGTACACAAGGTTTACAGCAGCATTATTTACAATAGCCAAAAGGCATAAAGAACCTAAACGTCCATCAACAGATGTATGAACAAAATGTATTCTATCCATATAATAAGAATATTATTCAGCCATAAAAAGGAATTACATTCTGATATATGCTACAATATGGATGGACCTTTAAAACATTACACTAAGTTAAACAAGTCCAAAACTAAAAGGACAAATATTGTATTCCATTTATAAGTACCTAGAGTAGTCAAATTCATAGAGACAGAAAGTACAGGTGCTAGTGGGAGAGGGGAAAGGGAAATTATTGTTTAATGAGTACAAAATTTCTGTTAGGGAAGATTCAAAGGTTCTGGAAATGGATAGTGGTGATGGTTATATTGTAAATATACTTAATGCCAGTGAACTGTAACACTAAAAAATAGTAAATTTTGTTATGAATATTTTGCCACAACAAAAACAAATCCTAAAAAAAATTAAATAAATTTTTTAAAGCCCCCAATATGGCCCATTCCCCAGGGAGGATCAGTCAGCCATCTTATGGCAGATGATTTCACTGGACCTCTAACAGTTTAGAGAGGGCGAGATTCATCCTTACTGGGATAGACACATATTCTGGATATGGAGTTGTCTTCCCTGTTTGCCATGCTTCTGTCAGTACCAGCATCCAGATAATCACAGAATGCCTTATCAGCTGTCCTGGGTCTTTGCCTACTCCATTGCATTGCATCTGCTCAAGGAACTCATTTCACAGCAAAGGAAATGCAGTGAATTCATACCTACTAAATTAACTGGTCTGACCAAAAAGCTTTCACTGAGAATCAGCTGGCCCTAACTAAAAAGTAGAATGGCTTATTTTAGACTCAATTACAGCATTAGGTGAGCAACAATACCTGAAAGGAAGGGAATTGGTCTTACAGGATGCAATATATGCTTTGAATCAAAGACTTTTTTTTTTTTTTTTTTTTTTTTTTGAGACAGGGTTTTGCTCTGTTGCCCAGGTTGGGGCACAGTGACACAATCATGGCTCACTGCAACCTGTGCCTCTCAGGCTCCAGCAATCCTTCCGTGTCAGTCTCCTGAGTAGCTGGGAATAGAGGCATGTACCACCACACCCAGTTAATTTTTCTATTTTTTGTAGAGATGGGTTTCACCACATTACCCAAGCTGGCCTCAAATTCCTAGACTCAAGCATTCTGCCCACCTGAGCCTCCCAGAGTGTTGAGATTACAGGTGTGAGCCACTGTGCCTGGCTTCAAAGACCATTCTATGGTGCTGTCCCCTAATGCCAGAATACATGGGTCCAGGAATCAAGCAGTAGAAGTAGGACTGCTTCCTCTTACTAGCACACCTGATAACCCACTTGCAGGATTTTTGTTTCCCATCCTGCCAACTTTGAGGTCTGCTGATTTGTGTGAAATACTTGCATTGGTTCCAATGAAACAGAAGATGAAACTGACCATTGGGGGCTCCTTATACCACTGAACCAAAAGGGTAAAAAAAGGAGTTACTGTACTGGATGCCGTACTTGCTCCTGAGTACCAATGAGAAATTGGATTGTGGCCACACAATGGGGGTAAGAAAGACCATGCCTGAAACTCAGGAGATTCTCTGAGTTGCCTCTTAGTACTTCCAAGCTCAATATTAAAGGTTAATGGAAAACCACAACAAACAAAGCAAAATGTCTCAGACTCTTTGGCAATGAAGGTTTGGGTCACTGCACCAGATAAAGAACCCCAACTAGCTGAAGTTCTGGCCAAGGACAAGGGAAATATGGAATGAATGAATCGTGGAAGAAGGAAGCCATAGATAACAACTATAGCCTTGTGACCAGTTATGGAAACAAGGACTATAAATTTTATCTTTGCTTATTATATGTATGTTTATTTATATATGCCAACATTTTGTTCTTCCTCTTTCTTTCCATTGTTATTTTATATACAAGTTGTTAGAAGTTAAATTTTATGATTTAGCCTTTAGGTAACACAATAGTCAGTGAAACTGGCTGAATTTGAGGAGCGGCCAGTGATGGATACAATAACTATTTGGGCCATGTCTCCTCATTTTGGGGGAGGATAAATAATAAATAGCTATCTGTCTTGTAAGAGTTCTTTTCAGGAATTCAAATGTGTATAGAAGAGCGCATGTGGAAACTGAGTAGCCGAAGGGGTGGACTGTGCCATTTATCAATATATTGCCTCACAGATCCAAATCCATTGTTCTTTGCTCTGTGAAAATGGAACTAAGTCCTTTCCATATCTTTCCTTTGCCAGATAGCACATTTTAAGCTTCACCGGCAGAAAGTGTTATTTAGTTTTCTGTGCTGTGTAACATACTGCCATAATCCTAGCAGCTTATAAGAACACACATTTATGATCTCAGTTACTGTGGGTCAGAAGTACAGACGCAGTTTAGCTGGGTCCTCTGTTCAGGGTCTCACAAGTCTGCAAGCAAAGTGTTAGCTGGGCTGCATTCTCATTTGGAAACATGACTGGGAAAGATTCCGTTTCCAAGCTCATTCAGATTGTTGGCAGAATTCATTTCCTCACAACTGTATACTTGAGGGCCCCAGCTTCTTACTGGCTATTGTCTGGATGCTAACCCCGGGTCCTAGAAGCCACCTGCAGCTCCTTGCTATGTGGCCCTCTCGATAGGCAGTTCACAACACAGCTGTTTGCTTCTTCAGGGCCAGCAGGAGAATCTCTCCCTCCAGTCTCCTAAGACAGAGTATTACATGATGAAATGTAATCATGGGAGTTATATCCCATCACTTTTGCCGTACTGCTTAGAAGTTGCAAATCTCATCCACTCAAGGGGAGAAGATTATACAAGGGTGCAGAACATTGTGGGTCACCTTACGGTATGTCTGCCACATACTAGAAAGACATTGCAAAGGCAAGAGCTTTTATTCCCGGTTCTGGTATGTTCACTCAGCAGGCTCCTGCAGTACTTGGCTCCTGCAGCATGAATAGCTTCTCCAGTGCTTGGTTCCTGCAGTGCACTGTGGTCAGCAGCATACACAGGCCAGTAACGTCTCATGGCATAGCTATGCCCTCTCAAATGAGGTCCTTGGTTGGCCTCTCTCAGCCCTAAGGGTATGATAGATGCCCTTTTATCTGATATTCAAGGATTCTTTAGTTTTCCTTACTCTTACTAGCCAAGCCCTCATTTCTCCTACTCTCTGTTATAATAATTTTTATATTAAACCCTCCCTGCTAAAATTACTGTATGATTTCTGTCTATTGCTTAGTCTCTGACTGATTCATGGACCATGTTCAGTTAAGATTTGCTAGCCACTGACACTCCAATGAGCTGGAGATGTCTAGAAACTTTACATTTACAAATGGAAGGTCACTCACCTCTTTAATTTCTTTCAGAAGTTCAAGAGCACAGCTGAAGTCAGGGGGAGTTGCTGATAGTTGCTCTTTAAGATGGTCCCAAAAGGCATTGTGCACTGTCTCCTTGACCTTGCCTTCCAGACTATAAGAGGGTTAAATGAGCAGATTACTCTCTCAACCCAAAAACAGTTACAGTGTCATAACCTCCTAAACCCCAAACTGAATTTGATATGGTAAAAGGCCATTATAATAACAGGGAAAGGCCAGGAACTATGTTGGAACTGCAGCAGAGTTGAACAAGCTAGGGTTAGATTTGTATTTCAAGGGCAATGGCAAAACCTCTCAGAAGGGCTCCTTGTGGTTCCAGAGCAGCCCTCTCTCTGCAGTAGAAAGAACCCTGAATGGAGAGAAGTCAGGCTGACTTTTAGCACTGACTGTGCATCTAGCCTAGATAACTTGATTTCCATTTGTGTATACACATAGCATTGAGCTAAATGATCTTTCATTTTCTTATACTCCTGAAATCTAGGAAAGGATATTGCTTCTTTGAAAATACCAAAGGTCCACAGATATTTCCAAATCAGCGTATCTAAAACTAAATTCATTATCTTCCTCCTCCAAACCTGCTCCTCTTGTATTCCCAATTTCAGTGGCACTACCATCTATATAGTAATGGAAGCCAGAAAGAAGTCTTTTTTTTCACCTTGAAAAAAATACAAGGAGCAAAGGAAATTTGTTTTATTTTATTTTTTGAGACAGGGTCTCACTCTGTTGCTCAGGTTGGAATGCGATGGCACAATCAAGGCTCACTGAAGCCTCAACCTCCCACGCGCAAGCAAATCTCTTGCCCCTGCCTCCTGAGTAGCTGGGACCACAGGCATGAGCCACCGTGCCAGCTAATTTTTTTATTTTTTTATTTTTAGTAGAGATGGGGGTCCCGCTATGTTGCTCGGGCTGGTCTTGAACTCCAGGGCTCAAGAAATCCACTTGCCTCTGCCTTCCAAAGTGCTGAGATTACAGACGTGAGCCACTGCACCCAGCCAAGGCAATTCAATTTAGAAATGAGGGTCTTTCAACAAATAATGTTGGAACAACTAGATATCTAAATACAAAAAAATAAAGAATCTAAACACAAGCCTTAAACTCTTCACAAAAGTTAACTCAAAATGGATCACAGACCTACTTGTAAAATACAAAACTGTAAAACTTGTAGAAGATAACATAGGAGGAAATATAGGTAACCTTGAGTTTGGTGATGACCTTTTAGATACAATGCCAAAAACATAATCCACAAAAGAAAAAATTGCTAAGTTGGACTTCATTAAAATTAAAAACTTCTGCTCTGTGAAAGACACTGTTAAGAGAACAAAAAAACAAGACACACACTAGGAAACAATCTTTGAAAAATATATATCTGATAAGGATATATATCCAAAACATACAAAGAACTCTTAAAACGCAACAATAGGAAAATGAACAACCATTAAAAAATAGGCCAAAGACCTTAACAGACATCTCACCAAAGAGGATGTTCAGATGGCAAATAAGTATATGAGAAGACGCTCAACATCATTTGTCATTTGGGAGTTGCAAATTAAAACAACAAAAAGAAAAAAAAAAGACACCGCTATATGACACCTATTAGAATGGCCAAAATCAGAAAACTGACAACACTAATGGCTGACCAGGATATAGAGAAATAGGAACTCACATTCACTGCTGGTCAGATGTAAATGGTACAACCAGTTTGGAAGGCAGCTGGGCAGTTTCTTACAAAAGTAAATATACTCTTACATATGATCTGGCTATCACGCTCCTGGGTATATACCAAAATGAGTTGAAAGCTTATGTTCACACGAAAACCTGCACACAAATGTTTATAGCAGCTTTATTCATAAGTGCCAAAACTTAGAAGCAACAAAAATGTCCTTCAACTGATAAATAAACTGCCCATAAAATGGAATATTATTCAATGATAAAAAAATGATTTGGGAGGCTGAGGCAGGTGGATTACTTGAGGTCAGGGGTTCAAGACCAGCCTGACCAACATGGTGAAAACCTATCTCTACTAAAAATACAAAAATTAGCTGGGTGTAGTGGTGTACGTCTGTAATCCCAGCTACACAGGAGGCTGAGGCAGGAGAATCGCTTGAACCCAGGAGGCAGAGGTTGCAGTGAGCCAAGATTGTGCCACTACACTCCAGCCTGGGCAACAGAGCGAGACTCCATCTCAAAACAAAAAGAAGGCCGGGCGCGGTGGCTCATGCCTATAATCCCAGCACTTTGGGGGGCCGAGGCGGGCGGATCACCTGAGGCCAGGAGTTCGAGACCGGCCTGGCCAATATGGCAAAACCCTGTCTCTGCTAAAAATACAAATATTAGCAGGGTGTGGTGGCACACACCTATAATCCCAGCTACTTGGGAGGCTGAGGCAGGAGAATCACTTGAAACTGAGAGGCGGAGGTTGCAGTGAGCCGAGATTGTGCCACCGCACTCCAGCCTGGGTGACACAGCAAAACTCCATCTCAAAAACAAACAAACAAACAAAAAAACACAATGAAAAAGAAAAGAAAAATAAGCCATCAAGCCACAAAAAAACATAAAGGAAACTTAAATGAAATTACTAAGTGAAACAACTAATCGGAACAGGGTCCATACTGTATGATTCCAACAATATGACTTCCTGGAAAAGTCCTCCTGAGCAGCGGGGTTTACAGCTGCCTCATTTTTAAAAAATGTTTAGTACAGACAGAGTTTTGCCATGTTGGCCAGGCTGGTCTCCAACTCCTAGTTGCAAGTGATCCACTCGCCTCGGCCTCCCAAAATGCTGGGATTACAGGGATGAACCACCGTGCCTGGCCCCCTCCTACCATCATCTCTTACAATTAACTAGTCTCCCTGCCTCTAGTCTTGTTCCTTTATAATCTGTTTTCCACACTGCCACCAATTCACTCTAAAAACAATGCTGTTTCTCAGATGCCATATTCAACATGATGTAATGCTTATTTAAAGTCCTTCGGGGGCTCCCCCATCACCAGCAAGATAAATGGCTTATGTTACCTTATATCATACTGCTCTGGCCTCTCTTTCCAATGTATTTTCTTCTACCTTGTAACACCTTGGGCTCAGCCATTGCAAGTCGCTTGTAAAGAACATACCATGTTCTACCACCATTCTCTGCCTCTGACATGTTGTCACCACTACCTGGTGCAACCTTTCACACCAAGACCACCTGGAAAGCACTTATTCAACATCCAAGACTCAAGTCTTCATAGGCCTAACCTTCCTCTGTAGGCAAATCTTCCCTGATCTTCCACAGGTAGCTGAACACTCTCATTAAACTCTATATATGCATAGCTACAAGTGAACTTATCAGTCTAATCAGTCATTTTCTATTATTCAACTGTCTCCCCTACAAAAGTTTCTTGACAGCAAAAACTGCCTTATCTATATCTCTATCCTTAGCACCCAGCATTTTGCCTGTGACATAATAAGGACTCAATAAATGCCTGGTAAATGAATATCTGAGAATGAAATTTCCCTTAGGAGCCTACAACTGTAATTAACATCATCCTATGAACCTAAGGTAAAGCCAACTGCCAATAATGAGTAACCTCAAACAATTTCAGCCTTTTTCCCGACATAATTTTTTATATCACCATACCTGGAAACCCAGTTCTGAATACTACTATTTCTCCGGCTTCATTTCTCCCTCTCTCGTTTCTTCTACCTGCCATACCCCTCTATCCCTCCATACGCCTGCAACTCCCTCACCACCACCCTATCACAGACCTCATTCTCCCAGTTTCAGTTTTCTCTCCTCCCCTGTGAGCAACAAACATCTCTAAACAGTGAGAGAGAAGCTGAGAGACCTGAGTTTGGTGAAAACCTGTTCCCAGCATGGAAACTTGCTAACATCAGTCAAGAACAAATCAAAGAAGCATGAAGACCAGAGGAGCAACATGTGATGGAGAAAGGCCCTTTAGTAACAGATACCCCACAATGGCCCTCTGACAAAAGCATTTAAGGACGCAAATGAATCACGAGTTGTTATTATTTGTCTTTTGGTGGAAAATTAGAACAATTTTATTTTTCAATTGTTTTTTCTTTTCTCAGCCTCATCTGTGATACAATATTTACAATCTTTTTTTTTAGAGACAGAGTCTTGCTCTGTTGCCTGGGCTGGAGTGCAGTAGCACTATCACAGCTTACTGCAGCCTTGACCTCCCAGGCTCAAGTAATCCTTCCACCCCAGTCTCCTGCATAGCTAGGACTACAGGCGTGCACCACCACATTTTGCTAATTAAAAAAAAATTTTTTTTTGTAGAGACGAGGTCTCACTATGTTGCCCAGGTTAGTCTTGAACTCTTGACCTCAAGCGATCCTCCCACCTCAGCCTCCCAAAGTGCCGGGATTACAGGCATGAGCCACTGTGCCTGACCAAGAACTGTTTTAAAATATAAAATCTGGGCCAGGTGTGGTGGCTCACGCCTGTAATCCTGGCACTTTGGGAGGCCAAGGCGGGTGGATCACGAGGTCAAGAGATCGAGACCACCCTGGCCAACATGGTGAAACCCCACCTCTGCTAAAAATACAAAAATTAACTGGGCATGGTGGCGCACACCTGTAGTCCCAGCTACTCAGGAGGCTGAGGCAAGAGAATCGCTTGAACCCGGGAGGCTGAGGTTGCAGCAAGCTGAGATCGCGCCACTGCACACCCCAGCTTGGCGACAAAGCGAGATTTCATCTCAGAAAAAAAAAAAAATCTGACACTGAAATTTACCCACTTAATTGTCAATAAACCAGCAGAGCCAATTCAATTCATACTTACTGAATGGTTCTTCTTTACCACAATGTCAATATAACTAAGAATAATACAAATAAAGCCTGGTGTGGGTATGGAAGCATTCTTTATCAACAGTGTTCAGATTTTGATAAATAAGCTGAGTTATGAAGCTGGGGGAAAAAAAATCCCAAGAGTCAAAACACCACTAACAGAAAATCTTTATCTGTGCCTGTTTAGTATGAAGCCACTTAAAAGGGTAGCTGATAGGAGCTATATGGTAGGCAGCTGACAAGATAACCCCAAAGATCTCTGCTTCCTGATACAGTCATCCCTTGGTATCCAAGAGGGATTGGTTCCAGGATCCCCCTCGGAAATTCATGGATGCTCAAGTCCCTGATACAAAATGGCATAGTATCGCATATAACCTATGCACATCCACCCATAAGCTTTTTTTTTTTTTTTTTTTTTGGTTTTGTTTTGAGATGGAGTCTCAAAACAGGCTGGAGTGCAGTGGCGTGATCTTGGCTCACTGCAACCTCTGCCTCCTGGGTTCAAGCAATTCTCCTGCCTCAGCCTCCTGAGTAGCTGAGACTACAGGCTCGCACCACCATGCCTGGCTAATTTTTGTATTCTCAGTAGAGACAGGGTTTCACCATGTTGGCCAGGATGGTCTTGATCTCTTGACCTCGTGATCCACCCGCCTTTGCCTCCCAAAGTGCTAGGATTACAGGCGTGAGCCACTGCGCCTGGCCCCATAAACTTTAAATCATCCCTAGATTACTTAAATATCTAATTCAATGTAAACGCTATGTAAGTAGTTGTTATACCATATTGGTTTTTAATTTTGTATTATTTTGTATTTTTTATTATTGTGTTATTTTTTATTTTTCTAATATTTTCTATATGCACTTGGTTGAATTCACGGGATGCAGAGCCCACAGATATAAGGGCCAACTGTATTCACATCTTTGTGGAAACCTCTTCCCTTGAGGGTGGGCAGGATGTAATGACTCATTTATAGCAAACAGAATGTAGCAGAAGCGGGCCGGGTACGGTGGCTCACGCCTGTAATGCCAGCACTTTGGGAGGACAAGGCGGATCACCTGAGGTTGGGTGTTCGAGACCAGACTGACCAACATGGAGAAACCCCATCTCCACTAAAAATACAAAATTAGCTAGGCGTGGTGGTGCATGCCTGTAATCCCAGCTACTTGGGAGGCTGAGGCAGGATAATTGCTTGAACCTGGGAGGCAGAGGTTGCAGTGAGCCGAGATCGCGCCATTGCACTCCAGCCTGGGCAACAAGAGCAAAACTCCATCTCAAAAAAAAAAAAAAAAGAATGTAGCAGAAACAATGGGATGTCACTTCTGAGATCAGGTAACAAAAAGACTGGCTTCTGTCATGGGCACCATCTCTCACACACACTCTTGTTCTCTCCCTTGGAGGAAAGCCAGCTGCCATGTTTAGTATACATATATACACCATGTTTAGTATATAATATATAGTACATTATATATAGCTGCCCTATAGTAAATTCCATGTGGCAAATTGAGGGAGCCTCTGGCCAAGAGTCAGCAGACTGACTACAACTCATGAAAGACTATAAGCCCGAGGTATACAGTTAAACCATGCCCATATCTCTCATCCACAGAAACTGTGACATAATGAATATTATTTTGCTGGGCACAGTGGCTCATGCCTGTAATCCCAGCACTTTGGGAAGCTGAGGTGGGAGGACTGCTTGAGCCTAGGAGTTCAAGACAACCCTGGGCAACACAGTGAGACCCCATCTCTAAAAAAAAAAAAAAAAAAATCGAAAAATGAGGTAGGAGGATCACTTGAGCCCAGGAGGCCATGACCATACTACTGCATACCTGCCTAGGTAACAGAGTGAGACCCTGCCTCCAAAAAAATAAAAACAACCAAAACGGAAAAATGAAATGTTATTTTAAGCTGCTAAATTTTGGGGTAATTTGTTATGCAGCAGCAGATAGTACTACAGGCTGCTTCCTCCAAGTTTGTCAGAGATCTGAAATCCACCATATTTATTCCAACAAGTGTTGCTTTGGTTTATTTGTTGACTAAGTAACATTTGCTTCTTGGCCTTCTTTGGTACTAATAATTACAACTTAGTACTCTTCTGTTTAAGTTGTTGAGACCTCTCAAGTTTAAATACTCATTGTATCATTAAATAAAAATGCTTCAAGTCTGATCTGAAGCCATCAGTGCTAAGTACCTAAGCCAGGATGAGCAACATGAAGAAAGAAGAAGAGTCTATACCTGCTTGGAGGTAAAACCTTCTCTTCCATGTAGTAATCACAATTCATCCCAATCTTGTTGCTCAGCTTGGAAACTTCATTAACGGTTTCTGTCAGACCTGTGACAGAAAGAACTGATGGTGGACAACAATGAGCCCATGCAAGTCTGAATTTCTATTTTATTCAGAGATTCACTCAATCTAGTAGGCCCCAAATTTAGATTAATCAAACTGGTCTTACACAGACTCACCCAACTATTCTAGTGATTTATGTTTTCTGCACTCTATGCCCCACGACAGTGCTAGAAACTTTCAGAATAGTAGTCTAACACTGGGGGAAGGCAGGACAAATAGCTAGTTTATAAAAAAAAGCAGGAAGTGAAACAGATGAAAAACTTTTCTCTTAAAAAGTAAAATCGTATTTATAGCAGCAAAGAAACAATAATTTGAAATTTGCAAAAATAAACATTCATCTAAGTATTAAGGTTCCACGTTCCTTTTCCTGTCTCTGATGCTATACATGATGAAAGCTAAACTCTCCCTACAGATAATACTCAGATGTTACTGAATAGTGCCAAAGTCATTTGGTCTTCTAAAGCGGTAGTTCTCAGATTTTAGGAATTCACAGACTAATAAAATTTCTGAAAATATTTTAAGCAACTGAAAACAACTTGCCAACTTTTTGTTTTGCCTAGTATGGACAGTGAAACAAGCAAATAAAAATCATCTACCACCACCAAAATCATCATTTCATCAAAGAAAAGATAGCTTAACCTCTGAAAAAAACCAGAAAGGAAATATTGTCAAAATAAACAGCAGTCCCTTAAATGGAATTAACTTTAGGAAAACTCATTACAATATCTTTATGATTTCATTTCACTAAATAGTGCTAAGAATTTTGTCACAGACCAGCATGGGTATTTGGCAACCACTGTTCTAAGTTTTTAACAAATAGCTAGTTTATAAAAAAAAGCAGGAAGTGAAACAGATGAAAAACTTTTCTCTTAAAAAGTAAAATCGTATTTATAGCAGCAAAGAAACAATAATTTGAAATTTGCAAAAATAAACATTTATCTAAGTATTAAGGTTCCACGTTCCTTTTCCTGTCTCTGATGCTATACATGATGAAAGCTAAACTCTCCCTACAGATAATACTCAGATGTTACTGAATAGTGCCAAAGTCATTTGGTCTTCTAAAGCGGTAGTTCTCAGATTTTAGGAATTCACAGACTAATAAAATTTCTGAAAATATTTTAAGCAACTGAAAACAACTTGCCAACTTTTTGTTTTGCCTAGTATGGACAGTGAAACAAGCAAATAAAAATCATCTACCACCACCAAAATCATCATTTCATCAAAGAAAAGATAGCTTAACCTCTGAAAAAAACCAGAAAGGAAATATTGTCAAAATAAACAGCAGTCCCTTAAATGGAATTAACTTTAGGAAAACTCATTACAATATCTTTATGATTTCATTTCACTAAATAGTGCTAAGAATTTTGTCACAGACCAGCATGGGTATTTGGCAACCACTGTTCTAAGTTTTTAGTGCAGACCTATAGTACAGCTGATAGCATTCACACATAATAGGTATATATGGTAGTTACAATGATTACGTGGTGTATAAAATGCAGCCGTATACAATAAATCATATTTTATCACTCTCTTTTGATGCAGCATCATGATTTTTCACAGAAAATTATTTGGCTCCAAGATGTGGAGGAGATGTAGATGAACAAAGATTGGCCACGAGTTGATCATTGTTGAAGCTGGATGATGGATAAATGGGGGCTCATTGTATTAGTCATTCTATTTCATAAATGTATAATTTTTCTATAGTAAAAAGATTTGAAAATGTAAAAAGGAAAAATAAGGTTACTGTAGAAAAGTTACACAGGAGAATGCCCCTGTTCTTAGATACATGATGAAATATTTAGAGGTAAAGTCATGACTTTGTATCTCACCCCAGTTAAAATGGCTTTTATCCAAAACTCAGGCAATAACAAACGCTGGTGAGGATGTGGAGGAAAGGGAACCCTCATACACTGTTGGTGGGAATGTAAATTAGTACAGCCACTATGGAGAATAGTTTGGAGGTTCCTCAAAAACCTAAAAATAGAGCTACCACATGATCCAGCAATCCCACTGCTGGGTATATACCCAAAAGAAAGGAAATCAATCTATCGAAGAGATATCTGCACTCCCATGTTTATTTCAGCACTATTTATGATAGCCAAGATTTGGAAGCAACCTGTGTCCATCAACAGACAAATGGTAGATATACACAATGGAGTGCTATTCAGCCAAAAACAAAAAAACAACACAAGATCTTGTTATCCGCAACAACGCAGATGGAACAGGAGGTCATTATGTTAAGTGAATTAAGCCAGGCACAGAAAGAAAAACTTCACATGTTCTCACTTATTTGTGGGAGCTAAAAATTAAAACAATTGAACTCATGTAGATAGAGAATAGAATGACAGATAACCAGAGGCTGGGAAGGGTAGTTGGGTGGGGGGTTGGGGGGTTGCAGGGAAGCACAGATGGTTAATGGGTACAAAAAATAGAATGAATAAGATCTAGTATTTGAGAGAACAGAATGACTGTAGTCAACAATAATTTAGTTGCACATTTTAAAATAACTAAAAGAGTATAATTGGATTGTTTGTAACACAAAGGATAAATCCTTGAGATGATGTGTACCGCATTTACCCTGATGTGATTATTACACATTGTATGCCTGTATCAAAATATCCCATATACCTGATAAATATACACACCTACTATGTACCCACAAAAATTTAAAAATTAAAAGAAGTCAAGGCCAGGTGCTGTGGCTCTTGCCTATAATCCCAGCACTTTGGGAGGCTAAGGCAGGCAGATCACCTGAGGTCAGGAGTTCGAGACCAGCCTGGCCGACATGGTGAAACCCCGTCTCTCCTAAAAATACAAAAATTAGCTGGGCATGGTGGCACATGCTTATAATCCCAGCTACTCAGGAGGCTAAGGCAGGAGAATCGCTTGAACCCAGGAGGTGGAGGTTGCAGTGAGCCGAGATCGCACCATTGCACTCTAGCCTGGGTGACAGAGACTCCGTCTCAAAAAACAGCTAGTTTATAAAAAAAAAAAAACCCATCAACAACAACAAAAATTAAAAGAAGTCAAGACGTTGCAATTTTAAAAGGCAGGAGGGGGAAATACAGGGAGAGAGAAAAAGCAATACGGCAGAATATTAACACTGTGGGCATTCACTGTATTATTTTTTACTTTCCAGCAGACTTACGATATTTAAAAATAAAAAGTTAAGGAGATTGTAGACCTTTACCAAAAATCCACTGAGTCTCTGCTTAGGTAAACATGAAGGTGAACTGGACCTTAAGTGGACGCTTGAGGTTCCCTTTATTTCTGCAGCCTCTCTGAAGTCTTTAGTTTCAGCCAAAATGGCAAAACACAATCAAATATGTAAACAGACTCACTGCTAATTCACTAATGCTAAATGAGAGCTAAGAGAAAATCTTCAGAAGGGGATTGAACTACAGCAGCTTATTGAGGGACGGAGGGAAATATACACAGAAACACTTTCCAACTACAACAAATCAAAGTTCATAGCCTGCCTTGATAAGACTTCTGTTGCTCAAAAGTTACACAGCACTAAGCAATTCCAAAACAGCTCTAAAATTCAGGAATGAGGAGAGCTCAAAGAGAAATTAGAGATAAAATTTAACCGAAATAGATTTTAAAAATCCAGATCCCAAGGACAAAGACATTTTCAAGTAATATAACAACCAAGTCAACCTAATACACAAAATTTCAAATTTTTTTAAAAAGGAATTTGATTATTCATTTTACTGAGAGTTGTTTTATATATGGACTCATTTAAATAGACACCTCAAAAACTTAAATTGTGTGTACAAAAAAACGGATTTTTCATCCTACCTCAGGTTCATAGCTGTTGGAAATGACCCCAATATGCCTTTTGGTGCCATTCAGTTAACCAGCAGCGACCTCATGTGGCCACAAGAAAAACCAATCTAATTCAGCCGCAAAGCCTCAATCTAATTTTTCGCATTTCAATAGTCAAGAATTTTATCTTGAGTTGTTGCACACGGACAGCTCCTCAGTTTGATGACTAGTTACGTTCTCTGGAGATTAAGAGAAATACAGCATGAGTCCCAGTGAGACTGGACCTACCACGAAGCGCGGAGAAGACCTTGTGCCCCAACAAGAACACAAAAGAACACCCACTACAGAACCGAGCTAGAGACTGGGCCCAGGACACTACTATTTCTTGAGTTAGCAAAGCGCTGAGAAAACCCAATTCCCGTCTGGGATCATTTGGGTTCTTTAAAATCAATCCCAGATCTATCTGCCAATCCCCCCTACATATTCAAAATACAATACAAAGGAGGGCTTTGAACCGACTCAGTCTCAAATCTTGTCAGATTCAAGTAATCACGCTTGGGTCACTTCTTTCTCTAGAACCAAAAACTCTTTGAAGACCTCTGCCCTCGGGCCTGTAAGTAAAGGCGGGTGGGGGAGAAACGGAGAAAGACAAACGAGAGAGGGATAGTGAAGAGAGAAAACTTGGGGGATGGGGGGGCCTGCGGACCCCCCACACTAAGCACCCCCTAGGGGGCCACAGGGACTGCCGAGCTGGACCTACAGGGAGGGGGGTCCTCGGAGCCGCTCTTGTCTTCCTGGGGGGGTCCTGAGGTTTCGGGCTTACAGGACCTGCCCTCTGAGTCGCCAGGATATTTCGGGGGCACACTCTCCTTGACGTCTGGCATTTTGCTGATGGTATCTGGGTGAGGGAGAAAGGCGTGTTGTTGGCGTCGGGGAAGGGGCCTCCCCAATTGCCAAGGGGGTCCCTGGGGGCGGCGGGAAGGGGGGTAGCGGCCTCAGGGTCTTGGGGGTGCTGAGGGGCAGAAAGGGGCAAAGGAGCGTGGAGGAGCGGAAGTCGAGAGTGGGACAGAAGTGGAGCGCTGGGCGGCAACGAGGAAACTAAAGCCACAGAAGCCCGGCGCAGGGCGGGAAGCGTGGGAAGGCCCCTTCCTTCGCGGCGAGGTGCCCCCCTCGCCCGAAACGCCGGCCCAGGCCCGCCTCCGGCTCCCAGGCCGTCACCTCCTCCTCCCCCGCCGCGGGTCATCCACTGGCGTCCGCTCGGTGGGCCTCGCGGCCTGGCGGCCTGGAGCGTACCACCGCGGCGGAGCGGCGGGTTGGGGCGTCGCACGGTGAGAAAGGCCGGGGCCTGAGAACAAACCGCCGCGGTCGCCGGGGCAACGGGACGGGGCACGTGCCCCCCCCGCCAGAGCCGGAAGCGGCAGG
Source organism: Homo sapiens (assembly GCF_000001405.40). Classification (NCBI taxonomy): domain Eukaryota; kingdom Metazoa; phylum Chordata; class Mammalia; order Primates; family Hominidae; genus Homo; species Homo sapiens. The sequence goes on from NC_000006.12 coordinate 35,141,409, forward strand.
CTCGTGCGTCCCTCCTGAGCTCGAAGCCAACCAGGCCTCGAGCGGCTCGCTGCGGCCGGTTCATGCCGGTCAGCTCCCGCCCCTCGAGAAGGATGGCCTGGAACTGCTGAGACGAGGCCAGAGCATGCATGGGGCTTTTCTTCAGGCTGTTTGGACAGCCGAGAAGCCGAGCCACACCCAGGAGGGTTGTTTCACAGCGTGTGCCGCAGGGGCGCAGGGGCCGCGCTCTTTCCTCACATGTGGGAGAAGCGGAGGAGCCGCCAGGGCTGGGGCCAGGCTCTGCCCACTGGGGTTCCGCCCGTTGTCGCCCTCCGCCTCCTGGGCTCTAGCCCTTGCCTTTCTTGACTCTAAGTCTACTCTGTCGCCCTTGCAGTGATGTGAAGACCTGGAGTGCCCCTGCCTGAGAAAATAGAAAGGAAGCGTTTCCTCTTCACCTGCTCCCGTCTCTCTTTATTACTGTGTCATGACTTCTTACCATAAAAGTGTACAGTAACAAAACAAAACAAAAGATGAAAGTATTATGGTAAGAATCCGGGCGCGGTGGCTGACACCTGAGTCCAGCAGATCTCCTGTCAGGAGTTCGAGTCCAGCCTGGCCAACATGGTGAAACCCCGACTCTACTAAAAATACAAAAATTAGCCGGGCGTGGTGGCGGGCGCCTGCATTCCCAGCTATTCGGGAGGCTGAGGCAGAGAATTGCTTGAATCCGGGAGGCCGTGGTTGCAGTGAGCTGAGATTGCGCCACTGCACTCCAGCCTGGGCAACAGAGCGAGACTCTGTCTCAAAAAAACAAAACAAGGCCAGGCGCGGTGGCTCGAGCCTGTCATCCCAGGGCTTTGGGAAGCCGAGGCGGGTGGATCACCTGAGGTCAGGAGTTTGAGACCAGCCTGACCAACATGGAGAAACCCCGTCTCTACTAAAAATACAAAATTAGCTGGGCGTGGTGGCTCATGCCTGTAATCCCAGCTACTCAGGAGGCTGCAGCAGGAGAACCGCTTAAACCTGGGAGGCAGAGGTTGCGGTGAGCCGAGATCACGCCATTGCACTCCGGACTGGGCAACAAGAGCAAAACTCCGTCTCAAAAAAAAAAAAACAAAAACAACCTTTGCCTTGTTAGTGTGGAGTGTGGATGTTTCTTGCACAACTCTTGGGTTTGGAGGGGGAAATTATAAAGACACCCAAAAGCATTTGTGCTTAAAAAAAGTCCATTCCACCTTGAGGCCCAGGCATATACCAGGGGAGTGGCCTAGCCAAGTTACTGTTTATCCAGAGCATCTCAGACTCATCCATACCAAACCTACCCCTTCCTCCTCCTCGCCCTCTCCTGCTATTTCCCTCAGGGATGCCAACTGTGAAGCAGGCCAGCCTTCACCCTAAAACCACCAGAAGTGGGAGGAAGTTGCATGATGACTTCAGCAAAGAGTTCAATGAAATATGATGCTTCCTTATTACATAGGGAGATATTTAGGCTGGGTTATTGATTTCTCTTTAAAAATGCAAATCAGGAATTCCATTTGGCATTTTTACTTCTGGGAAAGTTTCCAGAATAACACCAGTTCGTTTCCCCCACAAAAATTGCATTGCTGTAAAACTCCCTACTGATGTCTGAAATTCCTCTAACAATTCTTTCATATATGTTAAATTGTCTGTTTAAATATTCTCTTAATATTCGAATTGTCTGGGAGGGTCAGTGGGAAGAAATAGCAGTCCAGGAGCACATGGTAGTGTGAGAGGGGGGTGGGGGAGGGTGGAGAGTGGGGAGGGGACCGAAGCCAGAACAGGAGGAAAAGGAGGTAGCAGAGAAAGACAAAATTAGTTTTCCCAGGGTCAGCCCAGGTACAGCATTTCATGATCTTTATCATTAATAGTCATCAGAACCAACCAAGCAAAAGTTAGAGGTTGAGGGGAGTAGAAAGATCAAGTAAGAGATATGCACTTCTTCCCTTTGGGGTCTTAGTTAATAACTGATTTCTCTGTAATGATTTACAGAATGCTTTTACATCGCAGATCTATATGCTCTGCACACAATCTCATTCAGTAGGCAAGGCAGGTGTTATACTGGACTGTCTGAAAGGTGAACAAGCTGGGGATCAAAGAGGTTTCAGAGAGTAACCAAAAGTCACACAGTAAGCAAGATCTTGACTCTTGATCAGATACTTTTTCTTAATTCACATGACCTCCTTGACTCTGGTATCTATTATGTACACAATAAAATATAACATATAATGGCATGGTAAGTACTGGGGCCGGGGCTATGAACAAGAAGTGCTACCTGAGGACTGAGAAAGGGTGAAAGATCTTGCTAGTGTTTGGGTCAGTTCAAGCCCAGCCTTTAGCCAGGGTCCTCAGTAAGATTCTCTAACTCGGCTGGGCTCGGTGGCTCACGCCTGTAATCCTAGCACTTTGGGAGGCCGAGGCAGGCAGATCACCTGAGGTCAGGAGTTCAAGACCAGCCTGGCCAGCATGGTGAAACCCCGTCTCTATTAAAATACAAGAATTAGCTGGGCATGGTGGTGGGCACCTGTAATCCAAGCTACTCAGGAGGCTGAGGCAGAAGAATCGCTTAAACCCAGGAGGCAGAGGTTTCAGTGAGCTGAGATCGTGCCACTGCACTCCAGCCTGGGCAGCTGAGCGAGACTCTGTCTAAAAAAACAAAACACTCTTGGAAGCGAAGGCGGGTGGGGATCACTTGACGCCAAGAGTTTGAGGCCAGGAGTTTGAGACCAGCCTCGGCAACACAGCAAGACCCTGTAAAAAAAAAAAAAAAAGAAAGAAAAAAAATTCTCTAACTCATTTGGTCTTTGGTTTATGTTAGGCCTGGCTCTCCCTCAACCTCAGGACCCTCTTTAAACTCTTCTAATGGGTAAAACTGAAGTTTCTACGTATGCCCATTATTTAGCAGGAATGCCCCTCCTGGATAACTTCACACCTTTGCCCTATTAAAGTGCACATACCTCAAATGACCCATAATGCAAGTATTTCCAAGCAACCCAAGAACAGAAGAGAAGCCCTGTTTCCTCTTACACTGAAATATGACCAAAGTTGTCCAGCCCAGGGTTCCCTTTTTCTACCAAGATGTTGTATGACTTTTCTATTCATAATACATCCATTTGTTTTAATACTAAAGTCTATTTCCCTTCCTCAATTTTTTTTTTTTTTTGAGATAGAGACTCACTTTGTCCCCCAGGCTGGAGTGCAGTGGTACAATATTGGCTCACTGCAGCCTCGACCTCCTGGGTTCAAGCAATCCTCCTGCCTCATTCCTCCAAGTAGCTGGGACTACAAGTGTGTGCCACCACACCCTGTTAATTTTTGTATTTTTTGTTGAGACGGGGTTTCATCATGTTGCCTAGGCTGGTCTCAAACTCCTGAGCTCAAGCAGTCTGCCCACCTTGGCTTCCCAAAGTGCTGGAATTACAGGCGTGAGCCACTGCGCCTGGCCCCTCCCTCAAATCTTTGAATAGAATTCTTGTTCCAGGAGGAAGGGCTTCCTGTACTTGTTGGTACACCTCTGTATATCCCCATGGGTGCCTACAACCCAGTTTGAGAAGCAGTTCATGGTAATTTCAGGCCTGCAACTAGAATTTTCCTATTCTTCAACCATGTTCTCACATATGAGAGCTTTAACTCAAGCCCAGTAGTGTGGTCTATTCTCATTATTAAATACTATTCTGTGTACACTACCCCACAAAAGCACATTATGTAGAAAGTCAGTCCTATCCACAAAGACATTCTGAAAGAGGGGTGTATAAAGACAAAGATACAAGCGACATACTTGGAGGTGGCTGTAAGAGGTAGAGAATCACAGAATTTAAGAGGAATCCTGGATACAAATCTGCTAACTAAAACAAAACAAAAATGAAAAACCCCTCACTTTACAAAGAAACATTTTAGGCTCAGTGAGGTTAAATGACTTGGCTAAGGTCACCACCAGTTTATGGAAAATTCAGGACTAGAACCCATATCACCGTCTGTTTACTCTGTAATGTATAGAGGTATGCAAGAGTAAAAGCTAATACTGTAAATAAACATTTACATTTCCTAAAGAAAAATGTAAATGATAGGGCATGGAATGGAGAAAGTAAGGGATGAAGTTAAATAAAGGCCAAGATGCAAGTACAGTCGAGTATACTGGAAGATAAACAGTCAACTAAAGTGGTAGGGACACATAAATACAGGGTGGGACATTTAAATGGAACCATTTGGAGTCATGTAAACTCGGACTGACTTCATTATAGCCTCCCTTATGATACAGAACCGCACGTCAAAACTATTTGCTTTAGTCTTTTGACAAATGTGTTTTCTCCACAGAACCCAAGAGTAGGAGAAGGGTTGAGGGAATCTGGGGGCAGTCTGGAGGTGGTCCTTTGAAGCTGAATGTGAAGTGTGATGGATGGGAAAACCATTACAAATCTCTAAGGGAGGAGGCTCAAAGCGGAAGACAAAGAAGATTCTGGGAGCAATGTTTACTGCCTCCTTTTCTAGCCACATCTCACTCCATTAGCAACACCTCACAGGCTCTGCTCTTCCGACCTCAGGGTCTTTGCATATGCTGTTCCTTCCACCTAGCATGTTTCTCCCTGCTCTAAAAGCCCCTTTCGCCTCCCTGACTCTCATCCTTCAGAACTAGCTTACAAGGCCTAACTTCCTCAGAGGACCTTCCATGGCCCTCCATTAGCTTCTCTCAACACCCTGCATGTTTTCTCCATAGCACTCATCACATTTTGTAATCATATGTTTGTTGGCATACTTAACCTTTATTGAAATGTGACTCTCCCATGAGACTAAGCTTTCTGGGAGCAGGGACTGTGTGCATTTTATTCACTGTTGTGCCTGGGACATAATAGGTGTCCAATCAATAATTATGGAATGAATGAACAGGGGAGACTGCATTGTAAGGGGAGTGACAGAGAATGGGCCACTGCTCCCCTCACACACCCAAGATGTCAAGCAAAGTATCTCTCTCTGGATCCAGTCTCGGTTACCAGGGTCTGTCTTTCTCTTTTTGTCTCATAAGCATATAGCCATGTTTTTTCTCTTTCTGTGTCTCCTCTGTCCTTAGCTTCCTGAGAGAGCCTTTTAAACCAGCAAAGACAATGTCTGAGAGAAAAGGACTTTTGAGGCCCTGTGACACTGGAGTGCCTCCCACCCCCAATCAGAAGGTGGCAGCAGGGGGCAGTGGCACCATGGGAGTAACTTAGAACCTGGCTCCTAGATGAAGGAGTTTCTCTCTCTCTCTCTGCAGAGCAACCCAGGGTCAGCAGCAGCCGAAAGCCACAAAAACTGACTTTAAAAGTCCTCCTAAGAGCTGCATCTTTTGAGTCCCCAAAACAATCACGCCTTGTGCCCCAGGACACGGCGCGAGTTGCACACTTAAAGCAGTTTCCACAGAACCGCATTCAGTTGGTTTTAAACTCTGGGGAAAGCTGGCAGCCTCTTTGTGGGTTTTTTAAAAAACTAGTTAGAGGGACAATTAAACCTTTATGGGCCCCAGAATGTACCTATGCAGACATAAATAAGGATCATTCTTCATCACTGGAGAATCCACTTTCTGGCAACAGATATATTTTTCTGCCATTGCAGGACAGAGTTGAGCTCACGTCTGAGAACCTTTATGATTAAATGGGCAGGTGATGGGGGTTAGCATGAGCAGCGTTAGAACTTTGACCCTAAATTTGGCACAGGCCTTTTCTCAAAATGGATGTATCACAGGCCTTGGGCTTAGATGGTCTTAAATAAATCACATAAACTCCCAAAGCCTTTCCAGAAAGCCGCCAGGATTTTAGGCCAAGAAAACTCATCTTGCTCTCTCTTTGTGTTACTTCAGGCCAAAATGCTCCATTTGTCAAAGAATCCTGACTCTTTTATTCCCACTCTTAACAACACAATACAATGTATTCATATATTTACAGTGCAGTGCCCTTCAATGGTCCAGATGATTTTTTTAATCCAATAACATCATTAAATGCACCGGGGGCTCTCTTCTTAAAGAACTTTTGAGTAAACTCTTTTGTTAAGGGAAGCGATCTTTCATAAGGCAAATCATCAGTCTCCAATTTGTTTTCCAAATCTGAGATTTTCTTAAACCAGGGTCTACTTTAGATGATGGCTTGTGCATTTTCTTTTATTTTTCTGACTTTGGTTAAGACAAGCTTTTCCTGACTAGACATTATTGGGTAGGGATGAAGGAACCTCAAACACTTGAGAAATAAATCAGTTTCAGTCATTTGTGTCATCCATAATTCTTTAGAACCACCAGCTTAAAGCAAAGCATAATGATCTCCTGACAAAGAACCCAGCCGCACAGATTCGAGGGCCAGCCTATTTGAAGTCCATCTCAAAAGAAACGTGGGGGGAGGGTGTTTAGGACATTATTGTAGTTTTTTTGTGTGTGTGGCCAAGTACATGGCATAATATTTATCATTTTAACCATTTGTAAGTGTGTACAATTCAGTGGCATTAAATAAAATAAATTCACAATGGTATGTAATCATCACCACTATCTATACCCAAAATTTTTTCATCACCCCCAACAAAAACTCTGTAATCATTAAACAATAATTCCCTGTCCCTTGCTCCCTCCAGACCCTGGTAACCTCTATTTTATTTTCTGTCTCCATAAAGAGAGAACAGTTTTATACTCCAGTTTTTCTCTGGGACTTTTTTTCTTTCCACAGCGGTGTGGCGGGGGAATGGGGAAAGTCGTGGCCATCCTTTTTCACCTTGTAAGTCCTTCCCAGTGCCGCCTCTCCACTCCCCTTTCCTTCACCGACAGCGTCTCTAAGATGAAGCCAGAGCTCATTTGAACGGTTTAAACTTGCAGAGGGGCTACAGTCCCCAGCGGGAACAAAAGGAGGTCACTGGGTCTGAGTCTCTGTTACAAGCTCAGGAATGGCAGGAATTTTGTGACTTCAATAGTCTGAGGAAGTGGAACGCGACGAGCTAGATGGCTGTTTTGGTGTCTGAAGCCTATGTGGCCCCCTGTGTAGCACCAATCAGTTGCAGAGTTACTCACCTGAGATCTGTCAGGGCTAACAGAGATGGGATTGCAGTAAGAGGCATAGAGAGCTCCCTTGGGCACCCTCAAATTCCATGCTGTGGAATTTCTCATTGAAAAACACTGGCTAAGCCACTCACAACCTCTGCAGAATTTACATCTCTTGTACCCATTTGTGGCCAACAGAGGCACACTCAGAATGACTCATATCCTTCAGTTTGGGTTTGACTTTGCTCATAATGCTTGGAAACTCTCAAAGGAGCTAACCTCCCCCGTCTCCCCCACCCTCACACAACTCAGGATAAACAAGAGATTCAGCTTATGAAAAATCTGATTTTTGGTTGTTTCAAGAACTACTTGGGCACCCCCAGTCGCCCCTCCCCAACTTCCAGGACTGTGAGCCTGCTGAGGGGGCCCTTAGGACAACCATGGCAGGGTGATTCAATGGCTCAGAGAAACTGCAAACCATGGGATGGTGGAAGGATAGTCACCTTGAAGGCAGGAGGCATGGATTTCTTCTGCTTCCCACTTGCTAGTGACCCTGGGCAAGTCACGTCACAGCTCTGGCCTCATTTCCCTTATGTTGAGTGGAAGTGCCCTGAAACTCTGAGAATTTGGGAGTGAGGGGGTGGGGGAGCAAGGCTTTCTAATGTCTGGAACTCTTAAAACAGGGAACAAAACCTTTTGTTTCCCATAGGTGCTGACCTTAATGGAAAGAATGGTTGTAAGGAGGAGGAGGAGATTTGGGGAATGAGGAGAGTGGATGGGTGTTTTTAAGGTGTATTTTAGGATAGATTGAGAATTAAGTTTTGGCTGGATCTTTATGAGGAATTGTTCAGCAGGCATCTGGAAATAAGCACCTGGAGTTAAGAAGAGGGATTGGGACTGACAACAGGAATAGAGTCAGGAGTCATGGTTGATAAATGAAATGGTAATAATACAAGAGACATCTATCAAGTGCTTACCATAATGCTAGGACCTTGGGGAGCCCTTCACGTAGACATGTTCCTACCATACACACAACAACCCTATGACAAATATGTTGTTTTTACGCCACTTTACAGATGAGGAAAACTTAAATATCCCCCCAAGGCCATAGAGTGAGTAAGTGGTAAGCCAGGGTCTTGAACCCAGGGAGTCTGACTTCAGAACCCTTAACCTGACTTTTCTATCACCTTCTGAAGCTACAGTGCTGGAGAAGCATGGGAGAAAAGAAATACTAGTGAACAGAATCTTGACAAATACCTGTAACAAAGTACTCCTATACTTGATCAACTGCGACCTAAAATCAGATTCTGAGAAGATGAAGGGGTGGGTCAGAAACAGAGAACTATCCACTTCTATCTAGTGATGTTGGCAGTTGGGATGACTCTGCACAAGTTAAATAATAATGATACCCAAAATATATTGAGCACTCATTATATGCTAGGCACTGTACTAAAAGGACTTCACGTATAGTATCTCATTTAGTTATCTTACAAATCCTACATAAAAGCTACTATAGTGCCCATTTAACAGGAGAGGAAACTGAAGCTTCCAGAACTTAAGGGACTTAACCAGCTGGGAAATCTCAGGGCTGGGAACTCAAAGCCAAGCTGTGTGCTTCCAGAGACAGCTCAAGATTTGCCTCCCGAAAGCAGCCTTTCCTGACCGCCTCTCATAACAGACATGGAGTGAAACCTCTTGACATTCCTGATTTGTTTCGTGTTAAGATACTCCCTGGTTTGCAGTTAACGCCAATATTTGAAGTCAGTACGTCTGGAAGCTGTTAAAGCGTTATCAGCTGTCTTGAACTACTGTTTAAGTTTATTACGTGCACCTTCGAGTTAATTTAAGACAACTAGAATAAGCAGTAACTAATTTTTGGTCCCCCCGAGGCACGCCCAGCTGATTCCCACCACACCCAGTTCCATGGAGAAGCTTGATTGGTCCACAGGTTCTGTCTCCCTTACAGTGATTGGTTCAAATAAAAGCACGTGACCAAGTCAGGCCAACGAGGCACAAGGAGAGGTCAGCTGTAGCGGCTTCCGGCAAAGTCCCTCCTCTTTGTACTTCATCAGGAGTTTTTTGGAAAGTGAGGGTCCTTCCTGCTCCAGACTTTGTCCTGCTGGAGTGGGAGGCCGCCTGACTACCAGCTTCACTAAGCGTGGAGAGGCAGGGAGCCCCTGAAGCCCACCCTCCTGCCCGAGATTCCCCAGCATCCAACCAGTACATTCTTGTTGAAGCTGGTTTGTTTTGGGATGCTTGCCGCTCCCCACCCGCGCTGAAATGTGGGCACCATGAGGGCACGCACCCTGTCCGTCTCCACTGCTGCACCCCTAGCCCTTATACATAGCTGGGCACGGAGAGATACCTTATCATGTAGCTGAATGATGAACGAGTGAAGTCATGAATGAACCTAATATAAGCTCAGAGCGTGGCGGGGCGGGGCGGTGGGGATAGCTGGAAAACACCTTAAAATAATCTAATCCACATCTCTCTTTTCTAGTGTATAGTAAGAAAAGAAACAGGAGCTGCGTGTTAGAAAGTAGTTATTCTAACTAGGGCAAACACTCTCTAGTGCCATAATGAGGATCTTTGGTTACTGTAAGTCAAGCATCCCAGAGGGGCTCTGATGCCACGCCCGGTTCAAGTCGGAGAACAGGACACCCAGAAGGATCCAGCTAAATAAAACTTCAGCGTCAGTTGATGATAGAAATGGAGAGTTGGTAAGAAAGATACAAGATTTTGTATTCAGCATTTATTTTTTATTTTTTATTTTTATTTTTGAGACGGAGTCTTGCTCTGTCGCCCAGGCTGGAGTGCAGTGGCGCAATCTCCGCTCACTACAAGCTCCGCCTCCCGGGTTCACGCCATTCTCCTGCTTCAGCCTCCCGAGTAGCTGGGACTACAGGCACCCGCCACCATGCCCGGCTAATTTTGTATTTTTAGTAGAGACAGGATTTCACCGTGTTAGCCAGAGTGGTCTCGATCTCCTGACCTCGTGATCCGCCCGCCTCTGCCTCCCAAAGTGCTGGGATTACAGGCATGAGCCACCGAGCCCGGCTTTTTTTTTTTTTTTTTTAAGAACATACAATTTTTGTACTAGTTGATTAATGTTTAATGTTGGCTGTTTTGATGAATAAACTTTAGGAAACACACGGTTATGATTCCAGGGGCCTTTAGCATATAGAGCTCCATCTGCATCCCACTTTGGACTTAGGGGCGAGACTATGCAAAGCCTTGTTTGCTGGGAATGCACCTCTCTAAACATTCAAAATTGCAGAATGAAAGTTATGAAGCACTGGCAGACTTCACAACTCCCTTACATTCCATTCCATAGTTTGTCTATGCTTTTTACCAAATATTTTGTTTCCTTTTCTGAATTTCAGACATCCACATTCCACAGAGAAATATTTTCTTTTAAAATCAACTTTATTGAGGTATAATTTTCATAAATGTGCCAATTTTAAGTGTACATTTTGATGAGTTTTACAAATACATATATCCATGCAGCCACCACCACAGTAAAACAGAATATTTCCATCATCCCCAAAGGTTTCCTTGTCCCCGTTTGCAGTCAGTATCTGTCTCCTTATCCCAGGGCCCAGGCAACCACTGATCTGCCTTACCTGTTCTAAAACTTCATATAAATAGAATTGTACAATATGTAGTTGTATTTGGCAGGTAGAGCTGCCAAAAAATACCACAGACTGGGTGGCTTAAGCAATGGAAATTTATTTTTTACAGTTTTAAAGACTGGAAGTCCAAGATGAAGATGTCGGCAGGTTTGGTTTCTTCTGAGGCCTCTCTCTTTGGCTTGCAGATGGCTGTCTTCTGGCTGTGTCCTCACATGGCCTTTTCTCAGGACACACACATCTTTGGTGTCTCTTCCTCTTTTTATAAGGACACTAGTCCTATTGGGTTAGAGCCCCAATTCAATAGGTTCCTATTGGATTTGACTTATTGGCCCTTTGACTTCATTTAACTTTAATTACCTCTTTAAAGGCCCCATCTCCAAATACAGTCACATTGTAGGAAAGGATTTCAACTTACGAATTTTGCGAGGGACACAATCAGTTCATAACAGTAGTCTTTTGTGTCTGACTTCTATGACTCAGCATGTCTATGTGATTTATCCATGCCATGGCATCTATCAGTAGCTTGTTCCTTTTAATTGCTGAGTAGAAGTCTATTGTATGAATATATCACCGTTTATCCTTTTATCTGTTGATGGACTTTGGGCTATTTCTAGTTTTTTACTATTATGAATAAAACTCCTGTAAACATCCTAGTATATCTTTTTGTGGACATATATCTTAGTTTATCTTGGGTAAATATCCAGGAGTAGGATTACTGGATGATATGGTGTTTAATTTTGTAAGAAACTGTCAAACATTTCTCCAAAGTGGGTGTACCATTTTATATTTCCACCAGCAGTGTATGAAAGTTTCAGTTGTTCTACATCTTTACCAACACTTGGAACTGTCAATTAAAAAAAAAAGTCATTCTAGTGAGTGTGTGATGGTTCCTTGTTGTGGTTTTAACTTGCATTTCCCTGATGACCAATTGTTGAGCATTTCTTCATGTACTTATTTATCATCCAGATGTCTCATTTGGTGGTGTCTGTGCAAGCCTTTTGCGCTTTTTTTTTTTTTTTAAAAGGACTTTAGGCCAGGTGTGGTGGCTCATGCCTGTAATCCCAGCACTTTGGGAGGCTCAGACAGGAGGACCACTTGAGCCCAGTAGTTTGAGACCAGCCTGGGCAACATTGCAAGACCTCATCTCTATGAAAAAAATATATTTTTTAAAAGGACTTTATTTTTTAAGAGCAGTTTTAGGTTTACAGCAAAACGGAAAGGAAGATACAGATTTCTCATCTACTCCCTGCCCCAACATGTGTAGACCTCCCCCATTATCAATATCCCCTACGAGTGTGGTGCAGTTGTTGCCATTGATGAACCAACAATGACACATCACAATCACCCAAAGTACATCATTTACATGAGGGTTCTCTCTTGGTGTTGTACATTCTGTGAGTTTGGACAAATGTATAATGATGTGTATCCATCATTATAGTGTCCTACAGAGTTTTCACTGCCCTAAAAATCCTCTGTGCTCTGCCTATTCATCACCCTTCCCCACTCCATCTTTAAATTGGCATTGGCAAAGTTTTTAAAAAAAATTTTTTTAATTTTCTATATATTTTTTTGAGATGGAGTCTTGCTGTGTCACCCAGGCTGGAGTGCAATGGTGCAATCTCGGCTCACTGCAGCCCCTGTCTCCCAGGTTCAAGTGATTCTCCTGCCTCAGCCTCCCGAGTAGCTGGGATTACAGGCGCCCACCACTATGCCTGGCTAATTTTTATATTTTTAGTAAAGACGGGGGGGTCTCACCATGTTGGCCAGGCTGGTCTCGAACTCCTGACTTCAAATCATCCACCCACCTCGGCCTCTCAAAGTGCTGAGATTACAGGCATGAGCCATCACATCCGGCCAGGCAAAGTTGTTTATAATAATCTCTTACAATATCCTCCTATTACTTGTAAAATCTGTCATTAAGTCACTTCTCTTATTTCTGATATTCTTAATTTGTGTTTTTTCTCTTTTTTCCTGATCCATGCCTAGAGGTTGATCAATATGATCTTTTCAAAGAACTAGCTTCTGGTGTCATTGAGTTTCTCCATTGTTTTTCAGTATTCTATTTCATTAATTTCTGTTTTGATCTTCATTATTTCCTTTCCTCTGCTTACTTGGGTTTCATTTTCTCTTCTTTTTCTCATTTCTTAAGGTAGAGGCTGAAGTTATTGACTTGAAACCTTTCAAGTGCTGATTTAGTGGCACCCACAAATTTGGATATGTTGGGTTTCCATTTTCATTCCATTCAAAATACATTCTGATCCCTCCTGCCTTTTTGACTGATAGGTTATTAAGAAGTGCCTTATCTAGTTTCCAAATATTTGGAGATTTTTCTAAGACTCTTTCTATTACTCACTATTTATAACTTAATTCCATTGTGGTAAGATAACTTTTTTATTATGACTTGAATCATTTCAAATGTTTGAGACTTGTTTTATGGCCCAGAATATGGCCTATTTTGTTAAATGTTCCTTGCGCATGTGAAAAGAATGTGCATTCTGCTGTTGTTGGATGGAGTGTTCTATAAGTGTCAACTAGGTCAAGTCGATTGATGGGGTTATTCAAATCCTCTATACACTTGCTTATTTTCTACCTAATTATCTATCAGTTATTAAGAGGGAGTAGTGAAATCTCTGATTATAATTATGATTTTTCTATTTGTCTTTGCAGCTCTATCCATTTTTGCTTCATGTATTTTGAAGCTCTGTTATTAGGCGCATAAACTTTTAGAATTTTGATGTATTGACTTATAATTATGAAATGATATTTATACTTGATAATATTCTTTGATCTAAAATCTTCATCTGATACTCATATAGCCATCCTATCTTTTGATTAACGTTAGCTTGGCATATCTTTTTCCATCCTCCTTTTACATTTTAACATATTGTGTCTCTATATTTTGTTTCTTATAAGCATTATATAATGTCTTGCTTTTTAATCCAATCTGACAATCTCTGCCTATTAATTAGAACATTTAGACCACTTACTTTTGTTTCTCACCTCAAAGAAATATGCGGGTTGTTTTGTTTTAATTGTGGTAAAATATATATAACATGAAATTTATCATCTTAACCATTTTAAGTATTCAGTACAGTAATGTTAAGTATATTCACATTGTTGTGCAACCAATCTCTAGAACTTTTTCATCTTGCAAAATTGAGACTCTTTGCCCATTAAATAACAACTCCCCATTTCCCTCCTCTCCAACTCCTGGCAACCACCATTCTACTTTCTGTTTCTATGAGTTTGGCTGCTCTAGATACCTTGTATAAGTGGAATCCTACAGTATAGACCATTTACTTATAATGTGATTATTGACAGGTTAAGTTTAAGCCTATCAGCTTCTTTTTGTTCTATATTTGTTCCATTTCTTTTTTGTTTCTTTCTTTTCTCTTTTTCTCCCTTCTTTTGGATTGATTTTTTTTTATAATTTCACTTTATTTTCTTTGTTGGGTTAATAGCTATAATTCTTTGTTTTGTTATTTTAGTGGTTGCTTCAGGGTTTATGGCTTGTATATCTTATCACAGTCTGCCTTCACCATTTTACATATAAGAATTTTAATATACTTCCATTTCTCCTCTCCTGACTTTTCTGCTTTCATTATCATACTTTTTACTTATTCATATGTTATAAACCATACATCTTTTTTTATTTAAGCAGTCAATTATCATTGAAAGAGATATAGTTTTTTATAAATCTTACATATTTGCCATGTATTTACCTTTATTCCTTTGGGTAGATCCATATTTCAATCTGGTATCATTTTCCTTCCGCTTTAAGGATTTTCTTTAACATTTCTTGTCTGTTTGTTTGAGACAGGGGCTTGCTCTGTCACCCAGGCTGGAGTGCAGTGATGTGATCACGGCTAACTGCAGCCTTCACCTCTTGGGCTCAGGCAATCTTCCTGCCTCAGCCTCCTGAGTAGCTGGGACTACAGGTATGTGCCACCACACCCAGCTAATTTTTAAATTTTTTGTAGTGACAGGGTCTAATCTTGTGGCCCAGTCTGGTGTTGAACTCCTGGGCTCAAAAGATCCTTCCATCTCAGCCTTCCAAGGTGTTGGGATTGCAGGTGTGAGCTACCGCGTCCAGCCTAACATTTTTTATAGTACAGTTTTGCCATTGATGATTTTTTTCAACTTTTGCACATCTAAAAAGGTCTCTATTATAGCTTCATTTTTGAAGATACTTCTGCTGATATAGGATTCAGATTGACAGATTTTTTTTTTCTTTCAGCATTTAAAATATCTTGCTGAACTGTTTTCTCACTTGCCCTGTTTCCAGTGGGAAATCTGCTGCTATCCTTATATTTGTGCCTTTATATGTAATATGTCTTTTTTTCTCTGGCTGCTTCTAAGATTTTCTCTTTATTATATATATTGAGCGATTTGATTATATGTGCATTGGTGTAATTTTCTTCAGATTTCTTTTGCTGGGGCTCATTGAGCTTCTTGGATTTGTGGGTTTATAGTTTTCATAAAATGTAGAAAATTTTTGAGCGTTACTTCTTCAAATATTTTTTCTGTACTCCCTGTTTTTCAGGGACTCCAATTACATGTATATGAGGCTGCTTGAAGTTGTCCTGTAGCTCACTGATGCTCTTTTTATTTTTTAAGCATCTTTTTTCTCTGTATGTTTAATTTGGAATAGCTTCTATTGTTATGTCTTTCTAATAACTAAAATTTTCCTCTGCTACATCTAGTCTGCTATCAACCTTAGCCAATGTAATTTTCGTCTTACTCATTGTAGTTTTCATGTTACTAATTGTAGTTTTCATCTCAAAAGTTCATTTTGCATCGTTTAAATATTATGCATGTTTTTGAACATATGGAATATAGCCATAATAACTGTTTTAACATACTCGTCTGTTAATTCTAACATCTTTGTCAGTTTTGGGTCAATTTTATTTTTTATTTTATTTTTATTTATTATTATTTTTTGAGACAGAGTCTCACTCTGTCCCCCAGGCTGGGGTACAGTGGCGCGATGTCGGCTCACTGCAACCTCCACCTCCTGAGTTCAAGCAATTCTCTTGCTTCAGCCTCCCTAGTAGCTGGGACTACAGGCATGTGCCACCACGCCCGGCTAATTTTTCGTAATTTTAGTAGAGACAGGGTTTTACCATGTTAGCCAGGATGGTCTCGATCTCCTGACCTCGTGATCTGCCCACTTCGGCCTCCCAAACTGCTGGGATTAGAGGCGTGAGCCACCGTGCCCAGCCAGTTCTGGGTCAATTTTAATTGATTGATCTTTCTTCTCATTATAGGTTATATTTTGCATGCCTGGTATTCTTTCATTAGATGCCTAATGTGAATTTTACCCGTTAAGTACAGGATATTTTGGTATTTCTATAATATTCTTGAGCTTTGTTATAGGATTGTTATAGGATTCGATTAGGTTACTTGGCAACAGTTTGATTCTTTTGGTCTTTCTTTTAAGAGTTACTAGGTGGGAGCTGGGTGCGGTGGCTCACACCTGTAATCTCAGCACTTTGGGAGGCCAAGGAGGGTGGATCACAAGGTCAGGAGATTGAGACCATCCTGTCTAACACAGTGAAACCCCATCTCTACTAAAAATACAAAAAAATTAGCTGGGCATGGTGGTGGGCGCCTGTAGTCCCAGCTACTCGGGAGGCTGAGGCAGGAGAATGGCATGAACCCGGGAGGTGGAGGTTGCAGTGAGCCGAGATCGTGCCATTGCACTCCATCTCAAAAAAAAAAAAATAGTTATTAGGTGGGAGCCAGGCGAGTTGGATCATGCCTATAATCCCATCACTTTGAACATTTTGGGAGGATGAGGCGGGAGGATCACTGGAGCCCAGGATTTCAAGACTAGCCTGGGTAACATAGTGAGACTCCATCTCTATTTAAAAATATAAAAATCAGCCAGGCAAGGTGGTGTGGGCCTATAGTCTTAGCTACTCAGGAGCCTGAGGTGGGATGATTGCTTGAGCACAGGAGGTTGAGGCTGCAGTGAGCCAAGCTTGTGCCACTACACCCCAGCCTGGGTGACAGAGTGAGACCCTGTTTACAAAAAAATTAAAAAGCGTTATTAGGTGGGACCAAAGCAGTGTTTTGTGTTGGGGTAATTATTCCTCAATACCAAGGCAGTACCCTTTTGAGTAATTTACCCATGCCTCATGAATTATGAAGTTTTCCAGTCTGGCTGGTGGAAACACTCTTCCCACCTCTGTGTGAACACATAACATTGCTCTCTCGTCCTCTTAGAAGGTTCTCTCCCTAGCCTTGGGTAGTTTTCTCACCCTATGGGTCAATAATGCCAGATACTTGTGGGAGACCCTCTACACATCTCCAGGCCTCTGTGTAGCTCTCTCCTGTCTGGTATTCTGTCCTGAAAACTCTAGCTACCTTGGTATCCTTTTAGCTCTGTCTCTTCAACTCAGAATTGGCTGAGACGTGCCTGGTTTTCTCTCCCTCTACCACAGCCTGGAAGCCTTCATAAAGCAGTAAGCTGTAGGGCAGTTGTGGGGCTTACCTTGTTTTTCCATCTCTCAGTAAATGTCCTTTCTTGCCTGAAACAGTCTTGAAAACCAACTTACCTTCTTTCCTTCCTTCCCCCTTTCTTCCCATTCCCTCCCTCTCTTATCTCTCTCATTCTTTCCTTATCTCCCTCCCTCACTTCCTCCTTTCTTCCATCCTTCTTTGTTTCATTTCAGGAAGGAGAGGAAATCCAGTCACTGTTGCTCCATCTTGGCTGGGAGCAAAATTCCTTTCTGTTCAAATTCTTTCTTATCCTTTGTTACAACTGTAATAGTGCTGGGCACATGGTTGGTTCATTGATTGAATGCTGCTTGAGTGCATTCATCTTTTAAGTAATAATATCCAAGTAAAAATTTGTTTAGCAATTCAATTGTAGGGCCAGGTCCTGTGGCTCACGCCTGTAATCCCAGCACTTTGGGCGGCTGAGGTGGGTGGATCATTTGAGGTCAGGAGTTCGAGACCAGCCTGGCCAACATGGTGAAACCCTATCTCTATTAAAAATACAAAAACTAGCCAGGCATGGTGGTGGATGCCTGTAGTCCTAGCTACTTGGGAGGAGAATTGCTTGAATGCGGAAGGCGGAGGTTGCAGTGAACCGAGATCATGCCACTGTATTCTAGCCTGGGTGACAGAGCGAGACTCCATCTCAAAAAACAAACACACACACACACACACACACACACACACACACACACACACACAAAGAATGATTGAGTGGGTAGGATACTTTTTTTTTTTTTTTAAGATGGAGTCTCCCTCTGTTACCCAGGCTAGAATGCAATGATGTGATCTTGGCTCACTGCAACCTCCGCCTCCTGGGTTCAAGCAGTTCTGCCTCAGCCTCCAGAGTAGCTGGGACTACAGGTGCCTGCCTCCATGCTTGGCTAATTTTTAATAGAGACAAGGTTTCACTATGTTGGCCAGGCTGGTCTCGAACTCCTGACCTCAAGAGATCTGCCCACCTCAGCCTCCCAAAGTGCTGGGATTATAGGCGTAAGCCACCACCCCGGCCTAGAATACTTTTTGTTTCACCAAACAATGTAATTTTATTTTAATAACATCTCTATCTGATGTTCCTCTTTCCATTTTATAAATTGAAGCTCTAGTTCTAATAGATTCATGTCCCTTCTGGTTTCTTTACAGTGTGCACTGCTGGCCCTCACTTTGTAACATTTTTTGTCAGATGAAGTTAACACAAATCAATATTTCTTCTTCTACAAGAGAGGCTGACATTCTGATTTGGAAATCTTCATTGAAGAAATTTGGCTTATACTCTTGGAAACTTCTGGCTTGCATAACACTTTGACTTCTAGCTTAATTCTTGTGGAATCTTGGGGTTCAGGCCCTTCTCCTCAAGTTCTTTCTGTGGCCCAGCCAAATCTTGTGCATCCTTCCAGCCCAGCGCAAGCCTTCCTTCCTCTGTGAGGCCTACGGCCACAGTGATCTTGTCCTTCTACCTGCTCCTTGGAACTTCATTGTCTTTTCCACTCACTTGGTGCCTAATTGACCGTCCTGCCTTGTCCTACCCTTTGTGTTTAGTCAGAGCATCTGTTTCAACCAGCTTGCAACCACCTTCAGACAGGAGGCCCACAGTGCCTAAAACAGAAATAATAATAATAATAGTAATAACTAGCATTTATTGAGTATTTACCATGTGCCAGGCCCTATTCTAAGAGCTTGCTATGGATGACTTCAGTTAACCTTCACCCCATTCAAAGGGGTTAGTGCTGTTACAATCCCACTTTCCAGATAAGGGAGCAGAAGACCAAGGGAGCTGGGTCACTTGCCCAGGGTACCTAGCAGAGCCAGGATTTAAACTCAAGCACTCTGAGACCAGAGCCTGAGCCACCCTCAACCCCTACACTCTGCCGTGGCACTGGGGGTGCAGTAGTTGCTCAGTACAGCTTTGCTGAATGAATGAAAACGTGGAGGCTTGGCCTGTGCAGGAGAGAAACCTCCAGAGGAGGCCCTGTTCTGTTACTCTTACAGCTTTGCTGTTTGCCATCGCTACTTGCACATTATTGCTGTTGTTTCAGGAGCAAGATCCTGTGTGGTCCAGGAGGGAAAAGAGGTTAGGAAGTGAGATGCCCACACCCCTCTCCTGCCTTCCTCCCTTGCAGGTTGGGCAGAGAGCAAGTTGGGGCAGTTCTTCTTCCTGCCACCCCTTGCTCTCAGAGCTAGCCAGCAACCTGAAGCAGGGAGAGGTGGAAAGGAAGGCATGGGGGGCAGCAACAGCCTCAGGATCACTGGTTCCTGGGGCCCTTGCCTCCCGAGGCTCAGTCAACCGGATGGTCCTTTAGCTTGCCGGAATTTGGCCGGATTTACAGAGATAAGATCAATCTGACCCTTAATTCCTTAAATGTAATTTATGGGCTTGCCTCCTGTGTGCTACAACACGTCTGGCTATCCAAAATCTGGTAATTAGTTATGTAAACACAGGATCCTGCCTTTGTGGATTATAATTGGACTTGAACAGCAAGAAGCAGGGACTTACATGGTTGAGGCTGCACTGAAACTCTTCTTTTGAAAACACTCACCTGAGCCTTTGAAATCTTCCCTGTGGCTCATGGATGGCTTTAACCAGACCAAAAAAACTTTTTTCCTCCTCCTCCTGCAGGCCTGGGCAAATTTGTTCCCAAACACCACCAGGCTTTCTAGGTCCTCTCAGATGATGGGCTGAAGATGCCCCGTCATCTGGGCTGGACTAAGAGGACAGGTGCCCTGGGAGGGAGCCTCCATGGAGCTCCTCATTGTCTGTTGGAACATGAATTTTTATACCCCCTCTAAGAAGAAACAGGATTAGGAATTTTATGCTGTTTGGAAAAGAGGAGAGGTGGCTGGCACAAGAGAAAGATCTTTGCTTTTTATTCATGCTGTGAGTTCCCCAGGAGCCTTTGCTGTACATACACACACAAGAGCCAGGAGGATTAGAGGAAAGAAAATGAGCTGATTGAACCAGATGGTTCAGGAAGCACTCCCAGGAGGCTGCTGGGATGGATGAATCTGCATCTTTAAATAACATTAATTTCTGAAAGGCCCAAATTGTTTCCTAAATTACTACACTGAACTCTTACCTTTCATCTATTTTTATGGCACCTCTCTGGTTGAAGGCAGGAGCTACTGCTTTCTGACAAACCATCTTTGGAGAAATTCCTCATCCTTGGTGCAGCTGGTAAGGAGTTGTTTTCCAGAAGGAAAAAGGAATCCTTAAGAATCAAAGTGCTTTGAAAAACAGATTTAGGCAGGAACAACCACCCCTGGGTGATCTAAACAAGCTACCAAGTTCTAATGCCAGCTGAGACACTCATTTCCTCAGTGGCTGGGGGCAAACCACTTAACCTCAGTTTCCCCATCTGTAAAATGGGGTTAATAATGCTTACCTGCTGCAGGAGTGCTGTGAGGTTTTAATTGGGTAATGGCTGTGGAGCCCTTTGATGTAGTAAGTTTTATTAACTTACAAGGGATTCCCTGAGGCCAGAAAAAGCAGTTAAACCCAAGAGAGAGAAGAAAGGCACTGAAATGAAAGCAAAGCTCAGCTAAGCGTTTCACCTCCAGCTCCAATTTCAGAAGTGCAGAGTCCAGCTGCTCCACTGTGAGTGGAAAGCAGTGGCCGGGGCTGGGGACTGTCCGAATAGCATCTGGGGAGGGAAAGCTTCAGGGTCATCTCAGAGGGAGCTTGGCTTTCAGATTGTGAAGGGTGAAGGTAAGCAAGTAGTCTTGCTTGATCAAGCCAGGATCATTCTCTGGACCCACTGAGGTTCTTTGTTAAGAACCTTCTCCAGTAAGAGAATTATTTTGCTATTAATCCAAGGTCCTTGTAATTGAATTTAGAAACCCCTAGCCTCTGGCCTCCCGTTTCCCAACAATTAAATAGAGAACTGGCCTCTAGCCAGGGTTGCTGACCAGAGAAGAATTGGAAGGACGGCACCAACCAAAGGTCAGAAAACTGGGGCATTTTCCAAGCTCCACCATTCACAGCTAGGCAGACCAACCTAGACTGCTTGGCCAGCTCTGTGCTTCAGTTTCCCACTCCATAAAATTGATTGCTGTTAAGGCCCAAATAATTAAGATTTGGAATGTGAAATGCACTAAAATGATGAGGAACAAACCCATACTCGCCCTTCAGTAAGTTAAAAAAATCAATTATTTGAATAATTTTACTCCAAGCCAACTCATTCAGCATAAGAGACTCCATGCTCCTCTTCCTCCTTTCTAACTTTTGTTGGGTGCCCACCACACAACCACAGTCATTCAGCATCAGCTACATGAACACAGCCCAGGAGGGTGATCAACTTGTCCTGATTTGCCTAGACTATCCTCGTTTTAGCTCTGAAAATCTCATGTTTCAGGAGCCCCTCCTAATCT
The DNA here is from genome assembly GCF_000001405.40 of Homo sapiens. Classification (NCBI taxonomy): domain Eukaryota; kingdom Metazoa; phylum Chordata; class Mammalia; order Primates; family Hominidae; genus Homo; species Homo sapiens. The sequence continues at coordinate 35,162,892 of NC_000006.12, forward strand.
CAGGCAAACAGGGATGGTTGGTCACCCTAACATGTCCTTGGGCTGGTTGGAAAGTGCTGGGTACAGTTCCTGTCAAGCAGCTATTGACCTACCATGGGCATATCTTAGGAAAAGGGGCACTGTGGTGTGGCAGAGGTGAGGGAGTCCTATGATCCAGACTGTCATTTCTGGCTCTGCCTCTCTCTACTGACTTCAGATCAGACCCGTGGCCTCAGTTTCCTCACCTGCAAAGGGAGGTGGTGTGACATGATGCCTTTTCACCTTTCCTCCAGGAGACATGGCTGCAAAGACATGCCCATCAACTTGCCCAGCTCCAGGGGGGATGCTGTGTGCTTTGCAATGAGTGGCAAAACACACAGTGTGGGGACACACTGGGGACCAAAGTCCACCCCTGCTTGTGGGATTCAGCTCCTTGGTGCCCACTGACTCCTTTAATGCCCTTTCTTTGTGAGAAGGAAGAACATGGCTGGGAACGTGTTAGCCCTCAACTAACCAGTTGAGTGTTGTGCATATCTCTTTAGATAACTTTCCTTCCTAAAATGAGCACATTATATTCCTGAGATCTGAAACTTTACTTTTCCAAGACTGTGTTCAAGTTTGGCAAAATGAGCGCTGAGTCCAAAAATTAAAGCAATTTAAAAGACCCACTATTTCCCGTATCATAATTTAGGCTACATATTTTTAGTATGGTTTCCTACTCCTGTGTTTTATTTTACAATATAAAGAAAAATACCTGCTGTAAAGGAAGTAAAATTCTATAAATTATACATATGTTTTGTCTTCATTGTCCAGATTCTCCAGCCAGCCCATTGCTTGGATATACCCTTTGTTTGATCCATGTAGACAGAGGAGATAATCAGGGTTGGGATTGTTTTGATGGAGGTGGCTTTCTTTTTGGGGATTGATTCTTTTAAAAATGCCCTTGATAGGCGCTTATCTTAATGAAAACAGTCTTCTCGTGACAGACCGGAACCTGGCTTTCATAGCATTAAAAAAAGTAATTTACATTAAGAAATGGGAAACAATGATTGAATCAAAGCCACCCTGAGCAGCTTCCCCCTGCTCTGCTCCATCTGAAAACAGCCCTGTTTCCATTTCACCGCTGAGCTCAGCCTGCCTGCTCCAGACGTCCAGACCTCGCACTCTATAAATTGTCTCTGCCCTTGCCCCGGAGTTGCTGACTATATGTATTTTTGGGCCCGGCATTAATTCCCTCATCCTTGGCTGGTGACATTAAGATTTGTAACTGATAGAATGTGTTTTTAATGTATTTCCTGCAGGTTACCATTAAAGAAATCTAATTCTTCTGAACTTGCAAAAGGTTCTGCTGCCATTAAAAAAAAAAAAAAAAAAAAAAGGTATTACGGGAAGAATTTCCCCAAAGCCTCCAGATGGACTGGGCAGCCAGAGGGGTCTGGGGCTCTGGAATTCTCTGCTTAGCTCTGCCACTCACTCTTCCTCCTCCTGCCCAGTCTGTTCTCTCTCTGCACCTTAGTATTCCTGGGTATGAAATGAGGATAAATATTTGTCTATGAGATGAAGGTGTTGTAAGGATTAATTGGTTGGTGCTTCGGGAAGCCTTTGAAGATGAAAGACGCTCTCTGCAGATGCTAAGTAAACTCATAACGTGTCTGATTTTAATGAGCCAGGTGAAGCCAGTGGGGATGGCTGGAGATTAACTGTGCCTAGTCCAGAGCCTGCCTGCATGGGCTGGACTGAAAACGGGGTGGAGCTCCCCGCTAGTCCCCTGCGTTTGATCCCATCACTGTTTCCCCTGACTCCTGGCACAGAGCCTGGCACATTGGTTCTCTAGAAATATATGCAGAAGGTAGTGAGTTAGAATTTAACCTAGCCTCTCATGTCGCAGAGAGCAGGGCTTCAGACTTCCTAAATTATGCTTATTGCCTCTCATTCTAGCACATGGCTTGGTTGCAAGTTACTTAACCTCTAAATCTCAGTACCTCATTTGCCAGTGGGGATAGTCAGAGTCCCCATCTCGAAGGTCTGTGGTGAGGATTTGTCATAAACAGGCTAACAGCAATTGAGCACTTGCTTTACATCAAACACAGGTTCTAAGCATTTTACGCTCATGAACTCAATAAACGCTCATGCAGCAATCCCACCAGGGAGGGACTGTTATCCCCATTCTACAAATGGCAAAACTGAGGCAGAGAGAGATTACTTGGTAGCTTACCCAAGGCCTGAGTTCTTCAGTGTTAGCTAGACCACTGCTCACGAAGTGGAATACTGCCTGTTATGCTTAACAGAGTGCTGGACACATCATAAGTGCACAACAAACAAGTTGCTTGAGGGGTTCTCAGACTGCCTGATTTGCCCAGCCAGGAATACAGGAGCTAGGAGAGAAGGGACCAGAGTAGACAGAGACAGGGGCCCCAAGCTGGGGGAAGTCACCAGGTCTGTGTGCAACAAGCCAATGTGCAGGTTTTAAAAGGTGTAAGTCTGGGCCTGCTCAGGGTGACCACATTTGGGACCCATGATACTTCGTCAAAAAATTTTCCTACCAAATCATGGTACCTCAAAGACAATCTGAGCTATGAGTTTTGAATGCTGACCTATGGGAACTCCTGGGATTGTGCCATGGCTTATGGTGGAGGATCGTGCTGTATGCAGTGTTGCTATTCCAGGTAATTAACAAACCAAGGATCAGAATGAATCAACATACATTAAGACTCTGGCCCAAGCAGTCCTCTGCATCCACCTGAAGAGCCAGAAGGGAGACTGAGACCCACAGAAGAATGATTTCATACTCCAGCGCTGTGACATCACAACCCAGGCTCTGGCATAGGAAGGGAACCAGCTGAAACGTGGGTTGGGGGAAGCCTCTGGTCAGAACAGAAATATCTTCAGTAACTGCTGCTGGTGATAGAAGGGGAAATGGAATTTTGTTTAAATATTATGTTGTTTTGAAAAGTCTGACTAATGTGAAAGTCCCTATTTAAAAAGGAGTTGACTCTACATTGAAATTGGTTGGTGTTTCCACACCCACATGTTGACTAAGGCCTTGAAAAACAAACTTCCTGGTAGATCCTGATGCAAATCACCTGGGAGCAAATGCTTCAAGGTACAATCTGTGAGCTGTGAGCAGATGTGCCTAGCCAAGAAAAATCCTGGGTCTGTGTTTATGAAAAGGCAAACAGATCCCAAAAGGAGGCCCAAGCCCTAGCTGGCTTTGGGCACTGGCCCTCCAGGAAAGAACACACAGATTGGAAGGAGGCCCTAGCACACATCTCTGGGACCCCAGTGAGCCCCTATTTCAGACCCCCTCTCAGAAACACAGAGAATGGGGGAAGAGGGAGGGCCACATGGAGCCCTCTCTTACTGAGCGTAAATGTGTGTCATTCACTGAATCTTTAGCACAGCCCCATGAAGCATGTGCATATTACTATCACAATGTCCATTTTCCTGATGTAGAAATAGGCTTAGGGAGTTTTAAGCAGTGTGACCTATGTCCCAGTTTGCCCCAGAGAGTTTTGATTTACGCTGTTGTTTCAGCATAACTGGTAATAGCCTTTCCCTTCATTCTCATAAGGGCCCCATTTGGACATTCTAGGTTAAGTGACTTGCCCAAATTCACCCCACTAGTGAATGGCAGAATTGGGATTCAAATCCTGGTTTTCCTCTGCTCAGAAAGCAGACCCCAGGGCAATTTCTCCTCATTCACAATAACAAAGGTGGTTCAGGGGCATGATTTCCAAAGTCTCAGCAGCCCTTTGGGAGCTGAGTGCCTGCTCTCCTCTCTTTCACTGAGGGCCTCTCCAAGCCTGTCTGATTGTCTCTCTGTGCAGGAAGGAGCCTGATGGGTGGCGTCAGTGCTCAGCAGACAAACCAAACATGTTCACCAGCACCCCACCTTGCTATGTTTGTTTTGTCTGCTGAGCACGTTTCTACCAGCTCCTCTACAATAAAAATGCAAGATGGGGCTTCCCCATTTGGTCCACCAGCCCAGCTCCCGAGCCCTAGCCTCGGCCAGCACCACTTCAACCGACTGAGTAGACCCCTTTCCTTGGAAGACTGCCCTGGGGCCGGTCCTGAGCTGTCCGGACTTCCATGGCCTCTGTTTCTCCAACACTTGCCTTGAGACACAGTGAGGATTTGTCTGTTGTCCCAAGTTCCTCTGCAACTATCTATGTTTTAGGACCACAGAACTGGTCCAATCCAAGCTCATTTTTCTGGCGAAGAAACTCAGGTCCAGAGACATCAAATGACTTGCCCAAGAGCACACATCTGAAAGTTGAAGGCAAAAAACCAGGTCTCCTGACTCTGAGGCTAGTTTCAAGCTGTGTTAGTTCTCACTTTGGCCTGAGACCGCTTGGTAGGGGGAGACCTCCAGTATACACGTGGAGAAGGCCTTTACGTGATGATGCTTGGATGCCAGAGGCCAAGATTTGTCTGCATGAAACGTCCCTCAGCCCAATTGCTAATATCTCAGGATCAGCAGCAGGGCCTTCATTCAACCACCCACTGAATCCATGTACCTGCCTTTGTGCCAGGTGGTTATGCACAAACACCTCCAAGCAAAAGAAATCACTACTCCTGAGGTGGCCCTCTGTCTTCAGACAACTGGCTGCTAGAGATCCCTTCTGATCATTGAGTGGGAGATGCTTTCCTTTCACCCAATCCAGGGCAAGTTTGGGGCCCCTTCTTCACACCCTTAAAGTTGAAGATTCATAACTACCACTCTTTTGATTGTTCCTCATGTGATGTTGTTTTGGAATATGCATTTGGAGTGCAGACTAGGTGGTCAGACCTGAGATTGAAGCCTACCTCTGCCTTTTATCTGCTGTGTGGCTTTAGGCAGTGGCTTAACCTCTCTGAACTTCAGTTTACTCATCAGAAATATGAGGAGATCATGCTTAGTGTTTACTTCATTGGGTTTTGTGAGGATCACAAAATGCTGAGATTATCTACATTACTGGCTAGCTCCAGGATCTGGCACAGTAAGCTCTTATAAAGGGGAACAATTAATATTCTTACTTTTTTTTTTATATAGACAGCCTCTGTCACCCAGGCTGGAGTGCAGTGGTGCGATCATGGCTCACTGCAGCCTCGCCTTCCCAGGTTCAACAAAGCAGAGGCTCCCACCTCAGCTTCCTGAGTAGCTGGGACCACAGGCATATGCCACCATGCCTGGCTAATATTGTTTATTTTTTGTAGAGATGGGTCTCCCTGTATTGCCCAGGCTGATCTCAAACTCCTGGGCTCAAGTGATCCTCCCTTCTTGGCCTCTAAAGTGCTGGGATTACAGGTGTGAGCCATCACGCCAGGCCAATATTCTCACTTTTCCTCAACTTCATACTGTATTTCTCTAAATGCAGCACCAAAGTTTTTGTTTCTCTGGAAGCCATATCACATGACCAACTTTTATCATGAACTAAAACTTGTGTCCCTTTTTCATACACACAAGTGCTAACACATTTCACCCCTAACATGTCCTCTCACAGTTTTGTTTTGCTTCATTCTCTCCCTCGAGCTTGCAGTCCTTGGACTCTTTTCATCCTTTTAGAGGCTGCCTATCTTTCTGGCCCATCAAGACTCTCTTCTGGATCGGAGATCTGGAGACCAGGGGAAGACGATAACCATGTGAAAACCACGAAGGCTCAGCCGTGTGAGGCTCTTGCCTGCATCTTTCTGCTTTCCCCCCTTGTGGGTCCTTAAAAGCCTGCCCAGCTGCCCAATGAGGTGACCCCTTAGAGCCTGCCTGGCTGTGTTGACGTTCCACAAGCAATTGTCTGCAGAGGAGCTCTTGTGCTCCTTTTGAAGTTCAGTGGAGTGAAGTGTAATCTAAGTGAGCTGGAACACATTTCGATAAAACAGCTTGCATGGCCAGGGCCTCCTTTAGGCAAAGCCATTAACATGGGAAGCGGAGCCGGGCTCAGCTGAGCTTTCCAGTCTGGATTCCCCAGGCCTTCCACTGGCTTTTGATCACAGGACATTAGGATTTTGGTGCTCGGAGGGATAGCTCAGTATAACCCCCTTATACACAGATGAGGAAACTGAGGCCCAGGGAGGGGAAGTAACTTTCCTGAGGTCACATAGCTGGTGAGGTGCAGAACCAGTGTTGGGACACTTGTCCACACTGGCTAGACCCTCCCTGTGCTATACAGAATGGCAGATGGGCAGGGAGGAAAAAGATAGAAAGGACAATGCAAACATGGAAGGGTCAGGTTCCCTCCCTGGAGGATGCCTGGTGGGCCTTGGTGTCCACACACAGGCCAGACTGGCTGAGGAGGGGAGGATAAGAGCATAAGTCTGATGAGTCCTCACAACTTTTTCAAAGCACATTTGCATTGTTGGTCTCAATTGAGTCCCATAACACCAGGAGGAACTCAACAAGCCGGGCTGGTGTCTTGCTGATGGGGAGTCTACCAGAAAGGTGAATTGACCTGCTCAAGGTCCCAAAGAGCAGGTGGGATGCTTCCATGGGAGTGTTTTGCCCTGGAAAATGGCTTTAAAATCACTTGGGTAATATATGGGAAGTAACAGAATCAACTTTGTAAGGTTGTTGTGAGGATTAAATAAGTGCTTAGAATTGTGGCTCAGTAGGGCTGGCTTCTGTCATCACCATCATCACCACCATCACTATCACCACTATCATTACCAACACCACCACCACAACCACCCCATCATCACCACCACCACCACCATCACCATCACAACCACCATCACTACTACCACTATCATTACCAGCATCATCACCATCACCACCACCACCATCATCACCACCACCACCATCATCAACACATCACGACCACCACCACCACCATCACGACCACCACCACCACCATCACAGCCACCATCACCACCATCACAACCATCACCACTACCACCACCATTACCATCACCATCACCACCACCACCATCACCAACACATCACAACCACCACCACTATCACCACCATTACCATCACCATCACCAGGACAGCTGTTGTTCTTACCCACCCTCAGGACTGATCCAGCCAGCAAGGCCTACCCTCCCTCCCTTCCCCTGGGAGAAAGGAAAGCTGCTCTAGCTAAAGGTGGCCTCATTGCTGAACTTCTTGCCCAGACTTCTAATCCACTGATCAGAGGACCTTAAGAGTACCCTATGGAAACTCTGGATCCATGGTGGCCCCCATAGTAGGGGAGGTGAGGCTGACATTCTGAGGTGCCCAGACTGTGTTCTGGCTCTCTAGATACCCCTCTGAGCTTCCAGAGCCCCTGAGAAAGGGAAGCCATCCTGTCTTACATGTTCCCCCATCCTTGTTCTCCAGGGAGGCTTCTCAAGAGTAGAGGGCTGCAGAAGGGCTTTCCCTACTCCTGAATGCCAGCAGGTCCCCCAGAACAAGACATGCAGCCAATCCCTCACCACTTGGGGAGTGAGTGGGGGCAGGAAGGCAGGGGGGACCTGATCTTTCTCTTCAGCCTGGGAATCTCTGTGTGCTGCTCTCTGGCAGCAGATGGTTCTTCCTAACTATGTCTGACTCAGGCTGATGTTAGAATGAGTTGGCCTTCCTAGGAATTGACGGGGTGAAGAGAGCCAGGGCCTGCTGGGGGCCCCAGGGGACCCTTTCCATAGACAGAAACAGAACCTTCACAGTTCATCTTTTTGTGTGTTCTGTATTTGAATTCTTCTTAGCCTCATTCTAGTATCTTAGCTTTTTGAGGACAAAATTCAAGGACATTTTCTCTCTGCAAAACTCTTCACGGCAATGGTCAGCTGACTTTTCATTATGTATGCATAAATGGATGGATCAGTTCTGAGCTGGTCCCTCGCTTTGCTGTATCCTAGCATCTCTCCCTCCACCCCTCCATCCTTGAGTGAGCAACACGTTTCAGACCTCATGCTGATCAGCAAAGGTACAGAGAAGACAGAATCCCTCCCTCAAGGAACTCTCTCGCAGTAAACATCACACCTCAGACCACGTGGTGGGTGCCACCAGAGGATGGTACAGGTGTGTGGAGGAAGCAAGAGGAGAGGGACCTGGTCTGACTGAGAAGGTTATAGTCAGGGAAGGCTTCCTGGAGCAGGGGATGTCTGAGCAGAATCCTGCTGCAGGGCTCTGAGCCAGCAGGCATAGGGGGTAGGGATTTGGAAGGATGTTCAAGGCATCCCAGGCCACAGGGTCACCTAAGCCAAGATGCAGAGGCACCAAAGAACAGACAAGCCGGGGCCCCTAGGAGATGAGCAAGCGGAACATGGGGTGTGAGAGGGGAGAGACAGTGGTGGGTGGAGATGGGAGCAAGGCTTCATGTGACAGCTCATCCTGATGGCAGCAGCATCCTTAGTGGAGGCTCATGTTTGTTCAGTCTCTCAATCAAAGCAGCAACATGGTAGGGGCGGGTGGAGGGTGGTGGTCTTTCAAGCCTAGGGCTGAATCCTGGCTCTGTCCCTTGGGGGCTGTATGATGTGGACAAGGCACTTAACCTCTGTGAGCGTTGGCCTCCTCTTCTGGAAACACGGGGATAATGGTCCCTCCCTTGGAGAGTTACTTGGAGAATTCACGAAAGCCCCCAGCAGAGTGTCTAAAACTTAAGAGGGGCTCCATAGAAGCTAGTTAGTCATTCCTTCCTTTATTCATTCTGGTTCTCCCTGCTGCTTGTGTCAACTCTACAGTCAGGTAAGGAAGCGAAAAACTCATTATGTTAATTAGGACATAGGTTTGGCTGCTGTGACAAAGGCCAAAGTAGCATTGGCTCCAACGAGACAGCAGGTCATTACTCTCTCACACAGCAGCTTGAGCATGAGCAACAGGCTGGATATGGTAGCTCCACATAGTTGGGCACCACCGCTCCTTCTCTGTAGCTGCTCTGCCACCTTAACACCCAGCTTCTATCTCAGGGCCTAAGATGGCTGCCCCAGCTCCTGCCACTGCCTTCACATTGTAGCCAGTGGGAAGAAGAGACAGGAAGTAGAGGGCTTAATCTTCCCATTAAAGGCCTGACCTGGCATTTGTACACATCCACCTGAGTGTTCCAGGTCACATGCCATTGGCCAGAACTTGGTGACATGACTATATCTGGCTGCAAGGGAGGTTGGGAAATGTATCTCTAACTCAGGGACACTCAACTGAGGAGACCTTTTTTTTTTTTTTTTTTTTTTGAGACACAGTCTCACTCTGTTGCCCAGGCTAGAGTGCAGTGGCGTGATCTCCACTCACTGCAACCTCTGCCTCCCAGTTCCAAGCGATTCTCCTGCCTCAGCCCCCTGAGTAGCTGGGACTACAGGCATGCGCCACCACGTCCAGCTAATTTTTGTATTTTTAGTAGAGATGGGGTTTCACCATGTTGGCCAGGCTGGTCTCAAACTCCTGAGCTCAAGTGAACCACCCGCCTTGGCCTCTCAAAATGCTGGGATTACAGGAGTGAGCCAAGCGCCCGGCCTGAGGCATTTCTTGGTCACAGCTGGGAGAGTGGCTGGTGCTAGGTAGAGCGCAGGGATGCTGCTAAGCCTTCTGCCATGCGCAGGACAGCCCCCGGCAACAAAGAGTCATCCAGCCCAAGATGTGAAGAGTGCCGAGGCTGAGGAACCCTACTGTAGCTGGGTAGCCAGGACTTCTATTACAAAATGAAGGAGAGAAATGGTACAGGGGATAACCAGCAGTTTCTGCCATAGTTACATACACTAATGGTTACATGATTGAAGAGGATTAAAATGATATATTTTCCCAGGGGTATCTCTCTCCAGCAGGGATCAAAACTTTAAGTCAATGGAGCTTCACGGACTATCAAGAATTAGCCTGCAAGACAGCGAGGACTGTGGTTGGCCAGTCCTGAAATCCCACCCCGTGGGTGGCCCACCAGAGCCACCAGGGAGGCCAGAACCCACAAAGCCTCCCAGGGAGACAGTGCTCCACAGGCAGGGTTCAAAGCCTGGCCCTGCAGCAGTTCACCTTCCAAAATGTTCTCCTTGCAATAACTTGGGACTTTTTGAAACACATTTCTGATTGGTTCTGTTTTCCAAGGAGGTGAAATCTGGGCTGGCCACAAAGGAGGGTGAGAGATAAGGGGGCCTTAATTTTCAGGAAAAATACAACAGTAAAATTTTGGGGGTATTCATTTGGCAACAGTAAATTACTTGTGTTAAATCTCTGCATGAGAAACGCCAACACAGAGGAGTGAGGATTTTAACATATTTTGTAAAACGATCCCTATTCAGCTTGGCTTTCTCAATATCTGTGGTTATTGGGCATCTATAACATTCCAGAAACTGTCCTTAGCACTTTATAGATGTTACCTCCTTTAACCTCTCTATCAACCCCACAAAAAAGCTGTAACTGTTATTCCCCTTATACAAAGAATCAGAGAGATGAAGCAATTTGCCCGAGGCCACACAGCTAGTAAGATGCAGTGAGACAAGTTTTTGCCTCAGGAATGTCTAGCCCTAAAGCTCATTTTCTTCCCACAACCACCTCTTTATCTGCCAGGATGGCCACAGGGGATCTAACCTATTGTTAAATGTCTACCCGACCTGGGAAGGAGGTTCACCCCATCTCGGTTACTTGCTCCACTGTCTCACCCGTAAACAAACCTCAGTCGGTGGATAAATGCTGCAGAGAATGGAGTCACCCATCCTCTAATTGCCAGCTGGGAAACCGGAGCACAGAGTGGTCAAGTGGCTTGTTCAAAGCCACACAGCAAGTGAGAAAGTAACTCAAAAGCCCTGTCCCTCAGCTCTAACGAATAAACAAACAGCTATGGTGCCACAGTCCCCACCACCCTGCAGGTCTTGCCAGGAAAGCTGAGCTATTCATCTGGGGAAGAGGTCCATGAGGGAAGAGACTCTAGATGTTCACAGCAGTGGGACTCCTAGGGGCTACACAGAGGAAACCAGCCAGGAAGAAAGGTTGTTTTTGTCAGCGGGAAGTAAATAGCAGTGACTCAAAGACACACGTGCTCTGAATCCTTTGAGCAGCCAGGGCCCATTTTTAGATAGATGCTCTTTTGAGCCATAACCACACCCAGTGCCACAAGACGGCATTTGTCAACAGGAAGCCCATCCCTGTGATGCATCTTCTCTCCCTCCTGCTCTCCGCCAGGGGTGATTGCTGGGGGCCAGTGGGAACCAGAAACAAGGGGCTAAGCCACCAGACTGAAGGAGCCAAGCCAGCAATGACCTTCATGCCTCTGAGGAGGGCAGTTGTGTCCAACAGCCAGACCTCAGATTTTCCCAGGCCAGGTCTACCACGAAGGGGCCTGAAATAGCTCTGAGGTTCTATGCCCACGAGGCAAGGAAGGCAGGGGCAGGGACTGTGGGCAGTGGGAAAGAGCACAGTGCCACTTTGTTGGGGAGATGAGAAGCTCTGCCTCCACCAGACTGTGGCACCTGCCAGAGACATAGCTGAGCAGAGATGCTTGCCCATAGCTGGGCTCAGCTGAAAGAGAAAGTCATTTGTTAGGCTACGAAAAATGGTACCATGAACCTGAAACTAATCACAAGAAAAACAATCAGACAATCTGAACAGAGGGACATTCTCAACTAACAGCCTGGACTCAAAAAGTCAGTGTCATAGCAGCATTATTCACAGTAGCCAAAAAGTAGAAACAACCCAAAGGTCCATCAACAGATGTATGGATAAACATAAAATAATATTCCACTGTATGGATATGCATAGAATGTAATATTATTCAGCCACAAAAAAGAATAAAGTTCTGATTCATGTTACAACATGAATGAACCTCGAAAACATTATGCTACGTGAAAAAGCAAGTCGCTAAAGGCCACATATTGTATGATTCCATTTATATGAAATGTTCAGAATATACAAATCCATAGAAACAAAGAAGTAGATAAGTGGTTGCTATGGGCTTAAATGGGAATGGAAAGTGACTGATAATGGGCATGCGGTTTCTTTTGAGCATAAAAACTTTCTGAAATTATTTAGTGGTGATAGTTGCACAACTTTGGGAATATATTTTTTAAAAACCACTGAATTATACACTTTAGAGGAAGGAATTTTATGGAATGTGAATTATATCTGAATTTTTAAAAGTTTTAAAGACATTACAACTAAATGCAATGTGTAGTCCTTAATTGGACTCTATACTGAAAAAGAAAAAAAAAAGCTATAAAGAACATTATTGAGGCTGGGCACAGTGGCTCATGCCTGTAATCCCAGCACTTTGGGAGGTCGAGGCAGATGGATCACTTGAAGTCAGGTGTTTGAGACCAGCCTGGCCAACATGGTGAAGCCCTGTTTCTACTAAAAATACCAAAAAAGTAGCCAGGCATGGTAGTGCGCGCCTGTAGTCCCAGCTATCTGGGAGGCTGAGGCAGGAGAATCTCTTGAACCCAGGAAGTGGAGGTTGCAGTGAGCTGAGATCATGCCAGTACACTCCAGCCTGGGCAACAGAGTGAGATTCGAGACAGAGACATTTGAAAATAAACAGTGTATTAGATGATACACTGTGTATCAGTGTATCAGCGATGATAGTGCTCAGGTCATATAGGGCAGTGTCTCTGTTCTTGGTAGATATACACAGAAATATTTAGAGTGAAATGTCATGATGTCTGCCACATACTCTTAAATGGTTCAGCATTTACAGCTATGACAAGGTTAAATAACTTGCCCAATTTATATAGCAAAATAATAACCAATTTCCTAACTTTGTCCTTTCTCACAACTGAGAAACTGTTATTATTTTGTGCAGGCTATAGAGGCCGGGCACAGTGGCTCATGCTTGTAATCCCAGTACTTTGGGAGGCCAAGGCGGGTAGATCACGACGTCAGGAGTTCAAGACCAGCCTGGCCAGCATAGTGAAACCCCATCTCTACCAAAAATACAAAAATTAGCCAGGCGTGATGGCGTGTGCCTGTAATCCCAGCTACTCGGGAGGCTGAGGTAGAGAACTGCTTGAACCCGGGAGGCGGAGGTTGTAGTGAGCCAAGATCACACCACTGCACTCCAGCCTGGGCGACAGAGCGAGACTCCATCTCAAAAAAAAAAAAAAAAAAAAAAGAGCATGGATTGTAAAGCCAGACCGCCTGGAAAAACATGCATCTCTGCCCCTTACCAGCTGTGTGACCTAGGGCAAATTACTTAACCTCTCTGTGCCCCATTCTTCTCCTTTTAAATATGGGGATGATGATGATGATGATGATGATGATGATGATAACAATAGCAGTATCTACTTCCTGGTGTTACGTGAGTTAAAATGTAAAGCCCTTTGGACAAGGCCTGGCACACTGAAAGTGATCTGAATGGGTTTAGGGAAAAAATCTAAAATCTGGCCGATCTGTAGCAGAGACCAGAACTTTATGCTTCTTCCTCCCTAGAGAGATCATGGAATCTCACAGGATACCAGGATAGAGAGCACTTTCAAAAGGGCCAAACTACTGGAGGAAGAATGATAGGTGAACAGGTTAGAGAAAGGGAAAGCCAGCCACAAGGGGCAGGACCTCAGAAATCAAGTCTAGGGGGTGGAATGGCATGGGAGTGGGGAGAGAGCAGATGTTGCATAGGTAGGGGCTGACAATGGGATGCCCTGAACCGAAGGAGGGGAGACAGGCTTAGGAGCTCCTGTGTTCTAGCTCAGGAAACTGGGCCCCAGAGAGGGGAGTAACAGGATCTGGGGCTCACACCTCGTAGTGGCAGAGCTGGGGAAGTATTGGCAAGACTCCTGGTCCCATGCTGTACCCTGACAGGAATCCTCAGGATGTGGCTTCTGTTGCTATATAAATGAAAAACACCTGGTTACTTAAATGATGGGCATTATTAAAATGTTCTTTGAGGGATTACCATTGCTTTCAATACTTTATCTCTTTCCCACACCATCTCTTGCCCCATAAATGGAAAGCTGTTATTGAAAGGAGACATATTACCTAATATTTATTGTTTCTTACAAGGCTGAGTGCCATGCTAGGAAATTTATGAAAACCAGTCAGGTAGGTTCTATTCCTATTCCCATTGTGCAGATGAGAAAAATGAGGCTTAACAAGATTAAGGAGTTTGACCAGCGCTACAGCTAGTAAATAACAGGACAAGGTTTATACTAGGTCCTTCTGTGCAGAGGTTGTACTGTTTATGCTGTACCAGTGGTTTCCAGAGTGGGTGCCTGTGCCCCAGGAGCTGAGTGGGAAGTAACATTAGAATGTCTATTTTTTATTTATCCTTTTTAAATCCCAATATTTTGAAAAGATTTTTATTTCATTTTTTAGAGATAGGGTCTCACTATATTGCCCAGGCTGGAGTATAGTAGCTATTCACAGGTGCAATCATAGCTCACTGTAGCCTTGAACTCCTGGGTTCAAGCAATCCTCCTGCCTCAGCTTCCCGAGTTGCTGGGATTTCAAGTGTGTGCCATCCTGCCTGACTAAATCCCTATTTTTTATGTAGATCTTATAATGTACCCAAAACATTAGCCCACTAGTTCATGTGTATGCAGACTCTACAGGGTAGCCACACAACAGCCCACCCCAGCCCCACTTCCCTTGTTGCCTAATACTTACCCAGAATCCTTTGTGGCCAGTGAAGCCATGTGACCAATATAGCCAATGAGACATCAGGGCACATTCATCATAGGACAGACATTTTGCTTCCTAGGAAGGGGACAAGTGTCAGAGCATGAACGGCTGGCACTGCTGCCACCCCCATTTTCCTGCTGAAAAGGCAGATGCAATATTAACGTGTGATTTTGAAGGGACAGACTTAAGAACAAAAGTCAACACACTAAGGATGGAGGAACTTCGGAAAGCTGGAGAGAGAGCCCAGTCCTTAATGATATCCTTGATCTGATGAAATGACCTCAGACCATCTTCTCCTTGATCTCTTTTAAGGTCCCAGTAAAGGTCCTCAGAGATCTAACAATTACTGCCTGGGCTTTCAGTTATTTGCAGTTTCATGCATCCGGACTGACTAACAGGAAGGAGTCTATAAATGTGCATCTATTAGGGATGTATGGCCAGATTTTTTTACCGGGATGGATTCATGTGATAGGGATCACAAAAATTTGAACTCTACCATTTTCTGCTGTGCTCTGGGGTATAGGGGGCTGATGAATGGGCCCAAAGTGATGAACTCTGTCTCAATCTCTGGAATGCTGGGGGAGTGACAGGGGGATTGGAAGTGTGGGTTTGTAAACTGGCTCTCAGAAGAATCCAATCTGTGCAAACGGCTAAGTGCTGCGAATTCTCTTGTTTTCCCCTGTTAGTTTTGCTTGGCTATAGAAACTCACAGAAGAAAGTGTGCCCTATGTCAATTCTCATTTTCCAGAACTCTCAGCAGGTTTAAAGGACCCAGGAAGGTACCCTCCTGGGATAGCCCTTATGACCTGAGTCCAGCAGATAGAAACTATGAGAGCTGAGAACTATGAGGAGAGGGCCCTTTGCATTCCATGCAGGTGAGTAGAAGGGGAACAGGAGACTGTGTGTCACCAGAAACAAGGTCCCTGCATCTGGAGAAATTAAACTGGGCTGCAAACGACAGAACAATCACATTGCAGTGGCTTAAACTAGATAGAAGTTTACTCTTCTGTCATGTAAAAGAAGTCTGAGAGTAGGGAATCTGGACAGATATGGTGACTTTCTGGTCATCTGAGACTCTGCCCCATCTATATTTCTGCTGTACCATCCTAGTGGCTTTTAACCTCAAAGTCACTGCATTGTCCAAGACAGTTGCTGTGCTCTAGCTCTTACATCTGAATTCTAGGCAATGAGGAAAGGTTAAAAGGGTCCATCCTTTCTACCCCTTTAAGAAGTTTTCCTGAGGTCTCTGCTTACATATTACTGACTGCAAGTAAGTCTGGGAATTTTCCTTTTGCCTGGGCACAATGCTGCCTTGAATACAGTTGAGGTTCTGTTGCTAAGGAAGAAGTGGATTTGGAGTGGCAACTAGTACCTTCTGCCCTGGTCTCCAAAAGCAAGAGGCATCTTGGGTCAGAAGAGAGAAGATGGGACCAGAAATCAAAGGACATGCTCTAAGCTTGATGATGAGTCCATGACTTTGAGTGGGTCTCAGAACCTCACTGAGCCTCAGCCTCAAACAGAGTGCCGTGGGAGAGTCAAATGAAACGATGCTGTGGAAGGGCTTCCTAAACCATTAAGCACTTTTCCCATGTAAGGAATTACTGTTTTTGCTACTGCTGTCATGAATAGTAAGAGTAGCTGGCTGTGCTCTCCAGGGAGAAAGGCAGAGGAGCCTGGAGGAGGAAGAAGGATGGCATTTCCTGGGACACATAAAAGAAGGAAGGAGATGCTGCTGCTTTAGCTATGCATGAGGAACACCTCTGCAACAGGGGTCTGTTCCCCCAGCGCCACACACCCACATCATGTAAACACCTACAGTCTGGCAAAGGCCCGTGCTGCCTGCTTCAGTCCTCAGGGCCCCAGACAGGCAGGCAAACAAACCCAACACTGTGGGGGAAGCCTAAACACCCTGGGGAGAGGGGAAAGGCTCCAGGAGCAGAAACCAAGGCCTGGGTCCCCACAGGGCCAAAATAACCTGCTGATTGAGTCAATCAGAAAACAAGCTGGTCAAGCCAGTGGGGGAGAAACCGAAACCCCAGCCAGATCTATTATTTAGCAGTTTGCCACCAAGCAAAAATAAAAATTATCCCCTGCCCCCGACCCCAACCACGGGGTTGTTGGTGTCAGGCCTCACCTTGGGTCAGCCCAGGCCAAGTCAATGTTTCAGACTGGCTTTCTCCACAGCATCCAGGAGGGTGTCTGGGAGGCAGACTCCTGAGGTCAGGGGAAGGGGCAACTTCTCCTCTAGGCCTCTAGGCCCTAAGTCCTTGACAGCAGCACCCCCAAGGGGCTGCAAACAGCCTGTTTCTGAATGAAGGTAGTGAGAGAGATCAGTGAGAGCCCAGGGGTGCACTTGAAGAGCTGTTATGACACAATCCACCAACAAGTATGCTGAATGCCTACTCCCTGTCTGCAAGCCCAGGGTGATGGTGGGTTTCTGTTCCAGAGGCTGTGAGCTTGGGATCAGAGCCTCTCTTGATGCCAGTGTACCCCATTTCCCCTATGCCCCCCAGTGTGAGCTGTAGAAAGTCTGCTGTTTGGAGTCCAAAAACTAATTGGTTACAGCTCATGGAGAGGCCTGGGGAGGGGGGAGTATGAATTACAAGCAGTGTAGAGAATAAGTCTTGTTTCACAGTCCCTTTGGCTTGGCACAGGTTAAGTGTGTATAAATCAGGGTTCTGTAGCTTTACTTTCTAGTTTGCCATTCCCTTCACTCAAGACTCAAACCAGAACTTAAAAAAAATGTTTTCTGGAAGTAAACATGTACAGAAAAGAACACACATTAGTGTAAAACAGCTGGAGAATTTCCCCAAAGTGCACACACCCAGGTCACAGCATCTAAATCAGGAAGCAGAACGTTGCCAACCCCAGAAGCCCCTTAGTGCCCCTTTCCAATAATTATTCCCCAAGGGTAACCCTGTCCTGACCTCTAGCACCATAGATTAGTTTTGTCTGTTTTGGAACTTTGTATAAATGGAAGCATACAGGATGCCTTTTGTGTCTGGCTTCTTTCACTCAACATTATGTCCATAAGATTCACTCAGCTTGTTGTGTATGGTTGTCATGTATTCTCACAACCGGATAACATTCCAGAAGACACTTCATCCATTCTGCTATAGATGGACATCTGGGCTATTTCCATTTGGGAGCTACCACAAAAGTGCTGCCAAAAGCAGAACTTTCTTTTCACAATCAGATTCCATAGTCTTCCTTGAAAAGTGTTTTATTGTGGCGAAATATGTATAATATATATTCCGCCATTTTAACCATCTTTAAAGTATACAATTCGGTGGCATAATTACATTCACAGTGTGTGCAGCCATCACCATAATCTGTTTCCAAAACTCTTTCATCATCCCAAACAGAAACTCTATATCCATTAAGTAATGATTCCCCATTTCTTGGTAACCTCTAATCTACTTTCTATCTCTATGAATTTGCCTATTCTAGATATTTTATATAAGTGGAATCATACCATATATACACTTTTGTGTCTTCTTTCACTTAGCATAATGTTTTGAAGGTTCATCTGTGTGTTAGCATGGATCAGAACTTGATGCCTTTTTATGGCTGAAAAACATTCCCTTGTATGGATGTACCACATTTTATGTATCCATTCATCTGCTGATGAACATTTGGGTTGTGTCTACCTTTTGGCTGTTGTGAATAATGCTGCAGTAAGCACTGTTGTATGCTTATCTGTTTGACCCACAGACTTCTACTGAGGACTTGCTGTGTGTCATGAGCTGAGATAGGTACTCACCCATCCACTAGTAAAATGTCATGTGAATGAAGTGGCATTATTATCCCCACGCTACAGATGAGGAAACGGAGGCTCAGAGAAGCCAAGGAACTTTCCTAGAGACATGGGGCTGATCTAAGAGGCTGAGGCCATGGCTCAAATCAAGACCTTTTGACCTCAAGTCCCTTATTCTTTCCATTACTCCCGTTTCTCTCTTGCAACCCTGGTCATGGAGGAAGTTAGAAGATTTTGGTTTACGACCTAGTTCTTGCTTTAGTTCCATGTAGAAAAATCTTTCCCTTGGAGCCACTAAACCTGGACTTGGACTTTCTGGAAGCATTTTCCTCTCTCCTGGCAAACAGCCCAGGACTAGGGAACAAGAGACACGTCTTGGCCCTCTTGACTCAGCCCTTAAACTAGTGCTCTAATTTGGTTGTTGTTTTTTTTAAGCTACAAAGTTATGCCATACTCCTGCCCTCCTGCCACCAGCCTCCTGAGTGGCCCAGAGCTCAGGTTACATTTCTTAGTTTCTCTTTTGGTACAAAAAAACAAAACAAAACAAAAAAACAGAATTTCTGAGACCTAATTGGATTTTTACTCAGGGACACAGAGAGAACCACTGGACCCAAAGCATCCTCTTTCTCTTCCCTGTCACAATGTTTTGCTGAAAGACACCTACTGTGTGCGGGGTCGCCTGCAGTTTTGCTCTGGGAAGTGGTCACATGTGTGATACAGTCCCTGCCCTCAGGGCCTCCCTGTCGGGCTGAGGAGGCTGGACACAGCTATGGAAGCCTAATGATCAAGCCCATCAAGCAAGTGGGGTTCTAACAGTACAGGAAGGCTGCACAGGGTTCTCGAGGGAGGGTGTGGCTGTGGAGCCCAGAGTTCAGCATGATGTTCCCTGGCAACTTCTGCCGAAGGCCCTTGTGATTCACCATGCAAATGTTTCTTGAGCGCTGGCAACGTGCCAGGCTCCTTGCTGGGCCCCAAGGAGGGAGCCACAAACACGGACAAATTCCAGGACCTGCTGGAGCTGTTCTCGGGCTCTAACGTGAGGCAAAACTGTGCACAAATCCTGGGGCACTCTGGACACTGAGCTCCGGACCCCGTGCAGGCGGTAGTCGCCTCTGCGCGGAGTAGGAGCTTTGTGGGCCTCCCACCCAGCATCAGGAGAATCAGGGCCCACGTGGCGGGCGAGGGATCTGCGACGCAGCCACCGGGCGCCCAGCTGGGGTCCCCAACCCCACCCCCAGCCTCGCTGTCCCGCTGTCCTCGCGCCGCGTCGCCTCCCCAGGCTGACAATGCGCCTTTCAGGGGCCTCCGCCCCCGCTGGAAAACCCCCGCGCGGTCTGTCTCCCGGGCGGCGGGCGTCTGCTTTCCTCGAGGTGAGGGATTCCGCGCCCCCGACGAGGTGCAGCTGCAAAGCGCCCGCAGGCGCCGGCCAAGCCGGGCCTGTCTGTGACTCACCGCCCGGAGCGCGAGTCTCCGGCCCGCGGACCCCAGGGGACCCCGGGGGCCCGCACCTCCTCCCCAGCTCGGGTCCAACACACTTTTAGAAGTTGCATAAATACATACATTCCATATCATATATACATATATATAATTCATATATATATATATATATATATATATATATATATATTTTTTTTTTTTTTTTTTTTTTTTTTTTTTTGAGACGGAGTCTCGCTCTGTCGCCAGGCTGGAGTGCAGTGGCGTATCTCGGCTCACTGCAACCTCCGCCTCCCGGGTTCCAGCAATTCTCCTGCCTCAGCCTCCCAAGTAGCTGGGACTACAGGCGCACGCCACCACGCCCAGCTAATTTTTGTAGTTTTAGTAGAGACGGAGTTTCACCATGTTGGCCAGGATGGTCTCGATCTCTTGACCATATCACACATATTTTTAAAGTCTGTTCTCTTTTCGTTTCCTTTCCTTTTTTCTTGACTTTTCTTGCCCTCCATCTCCAGGTAACCCATACTAAGACCCTAGAATGAACCCTTCTATATTTTTCTCCATGTTCATATAAACATATGCAAGCATCTCTCTATACATTTACATACACACAAAGGTATATAAATGGGATCTTGAGTGATATTTTTCTGTATCTTTTCTTGTCCATTAATACCTCATAGGAACTGGTTTGGTTGCATAGCAGTCTTTTCTTTAAAAATTATTTACATACAATTCACCCACTTTAAGTTTATAGTTGGATGAATTTGGGTAATTGTACTTAATCAACAGTTCTCTCACCCTAAACAGTTCTTCTGCCCCTTTACAGCAGATCCTCTCTCCTCACCCCCATGGTGTGGATAATTTATTCAACTATCCCCTTCTGACAGGCATCCACTGTGTTTCCAGTTTTTTGCTACTGTGAGCAACAGTGTGATAAAAGCCCTTGTCACATATCTTTGTGTGCCCAGAAGTTGGATTGCTAGGCTGAATTGTCCCTGGATTTAATTTTAGAAAATATTTCAGATTGCTTTTGCAGAAGGTCTAACACTTAATGTCCATGTCCCGGCCAACAATGAATGAGGGTGCTTTTCCCCCACACCCCAGCGGCAAATAGGTGGCACAGCCCTTGGTGATTTCTTAGTCCTCTGAAACCACCCTGAAGTATCTGATTGTTACTTTAATTTGTACTTCCCTGACCCCTTAATAAACTTGAGCAAATTTTCATCTCCTTGCTGGCCATGGGCTTTGCTTTTCCAGGAACCACATCCCCTTGGTACATCTTTACATGCTTTAAGCATAGAGATTCCCACTCACCCAGAATGGCTGGGGAAGGAGGTGCTTGGAGTTTATGGAAAGGTCTAGATAATAGAGAGTTCCCTCATCTGTTACACCCAATTATGAGCTTTCAAAAGATGAGACTATAAGCAGATATATGTATAGTAATAGTATAGAGAATAGAGTGGGCTTTGGGGTTACTTACAAGTTGTGTGCTATTGGATAAGTTATCTAATCTCTCTGAGCCTCAGTTTGCTCATCTGTGAAATAGAGATAATGATGATTGCGCCACCTGTCTCTTTACAGTTGTGGAAGAGCTTAGCAGTAATTTATGTAAATAACCTGAGACATCACAGATAGCCAATAAATGAAGTCAGGTATGATATGCATGGTTTAGGCTTTCCTCGGTGGTTAAACAGGCCTTTTGGAGGCCTAGGGTTAGCTTGAATGTCAGTCCACATTGCATGGGTCTGGGTGAAACTGGGATGATTTAAGTTTCCTGTGGACCTAGTGATCAGATTCACAGAAACTCAGGCTTCACAACTTTGGCACTACTCATATTTTGGGCTGGATAATTTTTTGTTGTGGGTGGGGCTGTCCTGTGCTTCAGAGGATGTTTCGTGGTACCCCTATTCTCCACCCACTAGATGTCAATAGCAGACAGACAGACAGACAGACACACACACACACACACACACACACACACACACACACACCAGTCAAAATGATTAAAAATGTGTCTTCCCTGAGGCTGTCCTTGAAATGCCCAGCCTGGACACAGGGAAGACCAGGGAATGCTGAACCCACCAGGTGCTTTCCCCATATGTAGGAGCTGCCATGTCTGCCCTCAAAGGTCCAACAGTCTAAGTGTCCTCAGGCTGAACACCCTGGACTTGTCATTGACTAATCGTTGATTCTTATTTCTCCAGCCAGTCAGCCACCACGACCTGTTGATTTTCTGCATTTAGAACCTCCTGCACCTACCTGTCTTTTTCTCTGCATCATTCTCAGCATGGCACATAACCGGGGGCTTGGCAAGTGTGGGCACGATGCAGAGATGTTGGGAACTATTGTCAGGGATGCCCAGCTGGGCCAGGAGACACCACCAGGGGCCTTCCCTGGGGGTGGTAACAGTTTTCTTTTTTTTTAATCAGTTAGGACTCTTGTTTACCCTTTGTACCCAGCGCTAGCCCAGTGCCTGACACATAGTAAGCACTCAAAAATAATCTGGGGGTTTGATTAATCAATTGATTAATTAACTTGATACACACACACACATGCATGCATAGAGATGGCCTCTCTTTTTGCCGTCCATTCACATACACATTACCTTTCATTACAGAGACACCAGGTTACAAAGAAAACCCTTAAGAGTTTGCTGTTGACTTGAGCCGTGTCACTTGTAAGAAGGACAAAATATGTATGTGGTCAGTTCGAATCCCAGGCCTGAAACTGGAAATAAACTAACCCCTTGTTGAAATCGCACAGGAAACCTGAAGGGAGGTGGGGGAGACGGGTGGCAGGAAAAATGCCTGAGATCTTACACAACTTGTGCAAACAGAATGACAGGGCTAGGCAGCCCTGGGAGTCCAGGAATTAATAGCCCTGCCGAGGCTCCGGGGCTCTGGAGATGGAGCTATTTAAAGTCAAGAAATGTCATTTCCACCCACAGAGCCTGCCCCAGTTGCATTATCTGGAGCCTCTTCAGCCCCGGTGTTCTGGCAGCCTCCTGGCCTGACCTCCCAGTGGCGGGACCACGGGGCTCAAGGCCAACCTGTCATCACTGCTCTGTTGGGAGATTGTGGGGGGGTGGGGGGGGCTGACCTTAGCCTCTCCCAGTTCCTCCTCTTCCTCTTCTCTGCTCAGGCCCAGGACAAGCTGAGTGGACACTCAAGGCCCAGCTCACCCCTCTGCAAAGGCTACTGAGAGTACTAAGGTTGCTGCCCACATACAGGGGCCAGCCAGCCTGGCCAGCAGGGTAGGTCTGGGGTAGTGGATGGGGAGAGATGGGGTGTGGAGACATAGACCCTTGCCCACCAGAATCATACTCTTGTCCTGCTATATGACCTCAGGCCATTTGCTTAACCTCTCTGGACCCTCATTTCTTTACCTGGACTGGGAAATGAGAGTCTTCCTCTCCTTGCCCTATTTCTGGGGAAGGCCACAGGAGATCAGAGAAGGGATGTCTTTTGAACCTTTAGGAAGAAAAGCACCATAGAAATCCAGGTATTACCTGCAGCTCCTCCTCCCCTCCCTTCCAGGCAAGGTAATCCAGGAATGCTTCCTCCGGAGGCAAGAAGGCAGGAAGCTGGCATTTGAAGTGTCAGTGGGCTGTAGACTGTGTGACAGAGCCATCCAGCCCCATGCTCCCAGGAGCTGAGGTTCACATTCTTGCCAGGCACCTAAGGCAAGAACTCCCTCACATCCTGTCTGCTCTGATCTTACATATCTGTTCTGGCTGATGTTGCTGCAGTTTTGGGGAGGTGGGGGACTTAGAAGCCCAAACAATGTGCCAAACCAAGTTTTGCCCTGCAGGTGTCTAATGCCTGGGGATTGCTGGGCTTTTTTCCTGAAGCTGAGGAGAAAGCACAGTGGTGCTAAATGAGTTTCCAAGAGAGGTGTAATGAAATACCAGGGACACCCCAGCCCAAAGTCTTCCTGAACTCATTGCTGCTGCCACCCAAGGGGTAAAAGGGAGCTAGGAAATGTCTTTTTTTTTGTCTTTAGGAAACAGCAATGGAAATGCAGCCTTCTACTCTCTTAAGCCCCCTTCTCTTGTCTTATCTTAGAACTTGCGTGAAAGCTATGGATATTTTCCTCATTTAATTTTTTAATTTAATTATTCTAGACACACTAAAAGGTATGTATCAGAATAGTCTAGATTATGCTGCAGTAAAAACCCCAATATCTCAGTGGCTTAACACACACTTCTGCTTCTGCTACTTACTGCTTCTCACTTCTGCTACATGCCCTTTGTGGATGAGCAGGGGACTCTGACCATTGAAATCACTTAGGGACCCAGGCTGGTGGAACAGCCACCATCTGAAGCACTGTCAGAAGCAAAAGAGATGCCGGGCACAGTGGCTCATGCCTGTAATCCCAGCACTTTGGGAAGCCAAGGCAGGAGGATCACTTGAGGCCAAGTTCAAGACCAGCTTAGGCAACATAGCAGGACCCTGTCTCTAAAAAAATTTTTTTTAATTAGCCGGGTGTGGTGGTGTGCACCTGTAGTCTCGGCTACTCAGGAGGCTGAGGCAAGAGGATCACTTGAGCCCAGGACTTGGAGGCTGCAGTGAGCTGTAATTGTGCCACTGCACTCCAGTCTGGTGACAGGGTAAGACCCTGTCTCAAAAAAAAAAAAGAAAGGAATCTAGAGGGTCTCAAAAAGGCAGTTAATGCTCTAGCTCACAAATCATTGACCAGAACTAGTCACAGGGCCTCTCCCAACCACAGAAAACCTGAAATTACTATCCTACCAGGCGCTTGGAAGGGGAAGGACCCAGAAATGCTTGGTGGACAACAGTAATGATGACCGCAGAATAAAGAATTATATCACAGACACCGTGTACCTACCAACCTAGGAAATAACACTTTGCCAATACCAGGGAAGCCCTCTGTGTACCTGATGCAATCCCATCTCTCTGCTCTCCCCACAGAGGTGACCATTCTCCTGAATGTGATATTTGCCATTCCCTGTGTTTCTCTGTTTTACTATCTATTTCTCCATATTTACGATATGTAATAGTGTCTTGCATGTATTTAAAGACCATATAAGTGGTATCATACTGTATATATTCATCTGCAACTTTCTTTTCTGATCTACTGTGTGTTTCTGAGAGCCACCCACATTGATGAGTGAAGCTGTGATTGGTTCTGTGCTGTATACAGTCCCTTGTGTGACTACCGTAATGTCCAGTCTCCATGTCAGCTGCTTCCAGCTTTTCATGATTACATACAGCACTGCCATGAACATTCTTATGCACCTACAAAACAGAGCTTCTTCAGAGTAAAGACTTAGGAGGGCATCTTCCTATTGATGACATATTGCCAAATAGCTCTCTAAAATGGTTTTACCAAGTCATTCCACATCCTCACCATCACTTGGTTATGTTTGATGAGTGGGACATTCCCCGAAGGTTTTAATAAAGTTGAACTCTTTTTTCCTTTTGATACGGGGTCTCACTCTGTCACCCAGACTGGAGTGCAGTGGTGCAATCACAGCTCACTACAACATCTGCCCCCAGGCTCAAGTGATCCTCCCACCTCAACCTCCCAAGTAACTAGGACTACAGATGTGCACTACCAGGCTCTGCTAGTTTTTTTTGTATTTTTTGTAGAAACAGGGTTTCATCATGTTGCCCAGACTGATCTTGAACTCCTGGTCTCAAGCGATCCTCCCACCTCAGCCTCCCAAAGTGCTAGGATTACTGGCGTGAGCCACTGTGCCTGGCCTAAATTGAACTCATTAAGTCAGTTCATATATGTTTATCAAACACCATCTACGTACCAAGCACACAACTAGAAGCTGAGGGTAATGAAGGGGGATAGAACTCAGTCTCTGCCCTCAGTGAGCTTGCAGTCTGGTGAGAAATCACCTCATTCTCTTACCCACAGGAAACCACTGTCTTCTTTTTTTTTCTTTTTTTTGGAGATGGAGTCTTGCTCTGTTGCCCAGGCTGGAGTGCAGTGGCATGATCTTGGCTCACTGCAAGCTCTGCCTCCCAGGTTCACGCCATTCTCCTGCCTCAGCCTCCCAAGTAGCTGGGACTACAGGCGCCCACCACCATGCCTGGCTAATTTTTTTTTTGTATTTTTAGTAGAGACAGGGTTTCACCATGTTAGCCAGGATGGTCTCGATCTCCTGACCTTGTGATCCGCCCGCCTCGGCCTCCCAAAGTGCTGGGATTACAGGCATGAGCCACTGCGCCCAGCCCACTGTCTTCTTTTTAAAGGACATGCTCATAAACTCATGACAAGACAAAAGCCAGGTGCTTGGGCAGAAGGGCCTAGGATCTGAGGGCCCAAACACCTTCAGCCAAGCTCAGACAGGATGGCTAGAACCTTGGCTCAAAGCTGGTGGCCCCTCAGGCTTCTGGAACAGGGTGGCTGGAAGGCTCAAGGCAACAGCCACGGTCTGGTGAATCACCCTTGGGTGGTAGTGCCCCTGCATTCAGAAGGCCAACAAGAAGCCTTCAATTCTCTAGGTAAGCAGTTGGCAAGACTAGGCTGGGGGCAGGTGTATGAGGGAACTGTAATCACAGCAGTATTAGTGGTGCCAATAATCATATTAAAGCAATCCTGCAAGACAGGCAGGGTGAGGAATCAAGTGTGTCTCCTGGGATTTGGGCCTGAGCCACCAGGTAGGAGGATCGGGTCAGAGGCAAGGTCAGTGAATGGAGAGCTCTATTTCTGTCTGGTTGTTTGAGGAGCCACGTCAAGTCAGCAGTGTGCTAATTATTGAAACTTATGCTTTCCTGCATTGTAGAGTTGATTATCTTTCTTATATATCTTTTTCTTATAGCAAATGAAGGACTCCTTGAAAGAAGTGGCAGGGATCTCAAAAATATTCTTATCAATGTTCTGTATCTTGATCATAGTGGTGTTTACACAAGGGTATGCATTTATGGAAACTCATCAAACTGGACACTTTAAGTCTGGGGTACCCAACCCCTAGACTAGTACCTGTCTGTGGTCTGTTAGGGACTGGGCTGCACAGCAGGAGGTGAGCAGCGGGCAGGTGAGCATTACCACCTGTGCTCTGCCTCCTGTCAGATCAGGAGTTGAGAATAAAAGCTAAAATGGCTCTTGGCTATAGCTCTGGGTATAGCTTAACTAAGGAAATCAATCCAGAAATGCACATTGAACCCAGGTATCAGCAGGATGTGACTCCAGACTCTCTAAGGGATATGAAAACATTTTTTAAAAACCACCTTAATCAAGTTATAATTCACATACAATAAAATGCAACCACTTAAAGCAGCAGTCCCCGACCTTTTTGGCACCAGGGACCAGTTTTGTGGAAGAGAATTTTTCCATGGACCAGGAATAGGGTGAGGGTAGTTTCAGGATGAAATTGTTCCACCTCAGATCATCAGGCATTAGATTCTCACAAGGAGCATGCAACCTGGATCCCTTGCATGCGTGGTTCACAATAGTGTTTGAGTGCCTGTGAAAATCTAATGCTGCCACTGATCTGATAGGAGGCCGAGCACAGGTGGTAATGCTCACCTGCCCGCTGCTCACCTCCTGCTATACAGCCCAGTCCCTAACAGACCACAGACAGGTACTGGTCTGGGGGTTGGGTACCCCAGACTTAAAGTGTCCAGTTTGATGAGTTTCCATAAATGCATACCCTTGTGTAAACACCACTATGATCAAGATACAGAACATTGATAAGAATATTTTTGAGATCCCTGCCACTTCTTTCAAGGAGTCCTTCATTTGCTATAAGAAAAAGATACATAAGAAAGATAGTCAACTCTACAATGCAGGAAAGCATAAGTTTCAATAATTAGCACAGGCTATGAGGGCCAGGGTATGGAGGGGGCAGCCTCTTGGGAAGTACCTGGTCCTAATGCCAATATACTTGGGACAGGAAGCTCTCCATCACCCAGAGAGAGCCAAGGCAGAGGCAGGCCAGGCACCACAAGACCTGCTTCTCCCAAAATATTTCACTGGCCTGAAATGCCACCATGAGTCACCCCTTTGGTTTAAAACATTTGCTAGTCCCTCTGAAATAGCCATATTAAAATGTACATAAATGACCCACAAGACAACCTTTGAGGTGTGTGGCAATTTTACCTCCACTGACATGTGCAGGTAAAATTGGTTATTGGATTCTGCTACCTCAGGAGAGGAGAGGGCAGCTGCTGGACTCCTCTCATCTCCTCATTTTTTAAAAAACCCCGTGAGAGAGTGATTTCCTTCTTTTAGGATGTCTCAAATCACTACACGGAGGCAAGCCCCATTTGAAAGCTTGTAACATCCATCCTAACCCCAAAAGAAGGGGGATTTTGTGAGAAGAATGAGTTCAGCAGGGATGTGGGAGAGGCCCAGCACAGGGGTGGGGGGGAATACCCAAAGTCCATGGTCATCAGGGGCATTGGGGCACTGAAGGTTAGGACTACAGGTGTTTCCCCCTGGAAAAGAAAAGACTGCAGAGGTAGGAGATTGCTGCCCTCAAATATCTGAAGGGTGGTCGTGAGGAAAGAGGACTGGAATAGTTTGATGTGACCTAGTTGGGAGTAGGGTGGGGAAAGCCAGAAGGCAGCAGGTTTTAGCTCAACGTGGGGAAGAACTTTCTTATGGTCAGAGTTACAGGCAAGGGAATGGGTTGCCCCAGGAAGTGGTAAGATCCCTGTCATTAAAGGTATGTAAGCTGAACCCAGACACCCCTTAGCAAGAATTCAAGCTCTTAGGTCCCTTCCATCACTGAAATTCTCTAATTTGTTGGTAATCTCATGGGTAGCCCTTAAGAAGCCCCAAACCAACAAATATTAGTTGAGCAATTGCTTTGTACAAGGCAGGATGGGGCTTGGACGCCAAGGCACAAAAGCCATGGCCTCTGGCCTCTATTTAGCTGGGCAGGTGGTATAGGGGCAGGGTGTGTTTAGAATCACAGAAAGGATAGAAAACACATACTTTTACATTTCAGAAGGAGGAGATCCTGCCAAGCGCTACAGTAGTCCAGGGAGGCTCCCAGGAGGAGGCAAGATGGGGGAACAAGCCCTGGGAGAGTCTTCAGAATTCAGACAGGTAGAAAGAAAGCAGAGGGTCCCATGACGGGGGAGGTAGGAAATGATGAGGTGCCAAGCTGGCTGGAAGGATGGAACATGAGGGAATAAACAGAAGTATTGGAGAGTGAGCTGAGGAGGCTGAGAGAAGATGGAGAGGAAACAGCTCTGGGAGGACCAGGAGGGGCACGAGTCCACAGAGGACAGGCAAGGCCCAGAGTGTGGCCTGGGGCCAAGGCATCACTGGGGCGCCGAGGGTGTGTGGGGTGGATTTCTCTCCCACCCCCAAATGTGCTGCAGACCACCAGGCACAGCGCCCCAAGAATGCCTCTCACCCCCTTCCCTCAGCTCCGCCATGGCCTTCGTCCCCCTTAGGGCAGTGAGCGCTGGAGAAAGACAGGAAAACCCACAAAAATCTTCCAAATAAGACAAATATGTAGTGCAGACAAAGGCCGCTTTGGGTGGGATGAGGTTTCGGTTGCTCCCCAGTGGGGCGGACCCGTCAAAGTGGCTTGTGGCCACAGAAAAAATGCGTCATCTCCTGCTCTGGGTGGGGGCTCGTTGTCTCAGCTACCCCCAAAGAAAGCCCAGGCTGGGGGTTCCCATGGCCGGGGAATTGGGTCCTCCAAGTCACCCACATGGCCCTGCTCACCCTTCAGCAGGGCATCCAGGCCTTCTCGGGGAACTGGGAGACCCACTTTGGGGTGTTGGTGGGGCTGTTTTAAGCTGTCCCCTTGCTGCAGCTCCCGGCCTTCCTGGTGTGTGGTGAGTCCCAGGGCATGGCTGGGGTGGGCGGCGCCTGTGCAGCCCCTTAGAACCTCATGAGAGTGTGAAGGGCCGAGAGTCAAGTGGTGTTTGCAATGGAAAAGTCAGGTGCCGCCAGAAGCACCTCATTAGGGACAGGGGTATAGGGGGTGATGGGAGGAGGCGAGGGCAGGCGCTTTCCTCTGCCGCCTGTCTCCCCAATCCCCTCCCCACTCCTACACCCCTCCAGGCTCCCAGGCCCCTAGGGTTCATTCCATTTCTGCTCCAGTTCCATGCCTGTTAATGGCCATTGTTCTGTGGAGAAAGACAAAAATGTTTTCAGTTTAGAGGCATTGTTTTGGACTTTCTCTCTGTGGGCCACGGGCCTGGATGGGAGGCCTCTTGGCAGAGTGGCCCCAGGCAAGGAGAGGTTGGTTGCACTGGGAGGTGGGGGTAGGGTAATGGGGGAGGAGGGCTGGATGAGAGGCTGAGTGGAGTCCTCCGTCTGTGCTGGGTGTGCATAGGGACAGCCCCCAAGAGAGGTCAGTCCCCTCCTGTCTTTGGCCTCCTCCTGGCCTCCAGTCCCATCCCAGCTATTTTGGCCCAGGCATAATTTTCTCTTTAGGCTCCCTGACTTTGGATGGGTGAGCAACTTTCTCTCTGTGGGCCTCAATTTCCTCATCTGTAAAATGAGAGGCTTCGAAGACTCTTCCTTGTTCTATGCCTCTGGACTCAACAGCTCAGTCACATGAACAGCCCCTTCTTTGCTCCAAGACTCCAGTGGTCAGAACCGGCCTAGAATTCGGGCAGTGGCCACCTAGGCAGCAGGCTTTGAGTGGAAAAGTACCTGCCCCTGGCACCATAAATGTCTTTGACTTACTTTGTGGTCTGGAATTCAATCACTAGAGATTCACTCTTTGGGGGCCTGTTTCAAATGCCATTTTCAATAAGTGGGGAGATAATTGCTAATACCTTCCAACACTGACTGAGAATAATCCTTTGCTTATATATTACTCTTCACAATGTTGAAATCGTTTTCAGCTATATGATCTCATTTGAGGCTGCAACAACCCAGGGATTAGCTGACCATTGAAGGGTTAAGATCCCACAAGCTGTGACTCAAGATAAGAACTTGGAAGCAGGTGGCCTCCTTCTAGGAATTACCTGTATTTTAACAAAGGAATATCTTGAGGATAAAAATAATCACAAAGCAATCCCTCTGTAGGTGGCAGAAATTTCAAACCCTGGGACACCAGGCAGGCAAAGCTGTCTGGGGTGGCTTGGAATGAGGATGCTGTGCCCAGTGGGTGCGTGCTCATTCAGCCCAGAGCAAGGCTGAGCCTGTCTAGTGCCTGCCCCTGCCCACTGTTGTCAAATCAAGTGACCAGCCTTCAAGTGCTCACTAGACCCCTGGTGGGGACAAATCGGTGTCGGCAGGTATCTGGGTTCACAGGAAACACCCACAGAATGATTCCAGGAAGTCAATAATGATATTTAAAGCAGAGTCAACCGCGCGCTGTGGCTCACACCTGTAATCCCAGCACTTTGGGAGGCCGGGGCAGGCAGATCATGAGGTCAGAAGTTCAAGACTAGCCTGACCAACATGGTGAAATCCCGTCTCTACTAAAAATACAAAAATTAGCTGGACATGGTGGCAGGTGCCTGTAATTCCAGTTACTCAGGAGGCTGAGGCAGGAAAATTGCTTGAAGCAGGGAAGCGGAGGTTGCAGTGAGCCGAGATCATGCCATCACACTCCACCCTGGGTGACAGAGCAAGACTCTGTCTCAAGGTAAAACAAAAACAAAAACAGAGTAAGGAAGAGTTTAAGTGCTGTGGTGAGGGGATAGAGAAGTCAGGGAGGTTGGGGCTGGATAAGAACTAGTGTGGAACATGGAAGGCTAAGGAAGGAAGCCATGGGAAGCCATGGAAATACAGGGGTGGAGAAGTGGTGGTCTTCTACAGGGAGGGCCACCCAGATAAAAAGGTTATGGCTTGTGGGTGTTGGATGAGGGCATTTTGAAACTGGCCTGGAGTAATTGGATACCGATCCTGGAACAGACTCTGTGTCTACAATGAAAAAGAATGACCATTTATTAGGGCTTCTAGATTTAGGTGTTTTCTGTTCCGTATTTTGCTTGAGACTTGAACTATCCTAGAGGTAGATTTTATCATTCACAGTTTACAGAGAATTCAGAAAGGGCATAAAATCTGCCTAAAGTCATACAGCTCGAAAGTGGCCACACTGGAAGTCAAACCTGAGTCAGCCAGCTCCAAAGCCTGCTTTCCTGCCACTTCGGCAAAGTGATATCTATCTGCTCACATTGCCTCCTCTTTCCCCATGACAGTGTTCTTGAGGCACAAAGAGCATCCTTGGTATTTCCTGCACAGGTAATTCTTTACCAGTTTTTGTTTGTTTGTTTGTTTCTTTCTTTTGAGACGGAGTCTTGGTCTGTTGCCCAGGCTGGAGTGCAGTAGCATGATCTCGACTCACTGCAACCTCTGCCTCCTGGGTTCAAGCAATTGTCCTGCCTCAGCCTCCCCAGTAGCTGGGACTACAGGCACACACCGCCACACCCAGCTAATATTTTGTATTTTAGTAGAGATGGGGTTTCCGTATGTTGCCCAGGCTGGTCTCCAACTCCTGAGCTCCGGCGATCCACCCACCTCGGCCTCCCAAAGTGCTAGGATTACAAGTGTGAGCCACCTCGCCTGGCCCTTTAACCAGTTATTTTTTATTCATCATGTAGTGAGCAATAAGGGTTCTTCTTGTGCCCCAGCTTGGTAAGATGACCACAAGAAGAAGAAAGTATCTCTACACAGCAGTTTTTCTATAAAGGGGCATATATAGTATATATTTGGGGTTTTACAGGACATATCATCTTCTTGTAACTACTCAACTATGGGGAAAGTAGCCATTAGCATTATGTAAGTGAATGGACGTGACTGGGTTCCAATAAAACTTTATTTATTAAAACAGGAGTCAGGCCAGATTTGACCCTTGATCCACAGTTTGCTGTTTGAGAAGGAGAGCTTTGCACAGATGGAAGAGTTAAGTAACGGGGCATGAGTTAAGCAACAGGATGAGTGTCATGGACCAAGTGTATGGGCTCCCAGATATCCTGGGAATACCCAAGAGGTGGTGAGTGTACCAAGAGTTTATGGCATTTTGCATTTTGGAGAAACAGGAGAGGTGAAAAAGGAAAGACTGGGGTTAGATTGTGGGGGCTGGGCTTTAAATACCAAGCTGAGTACTACTGGGAGCAGAGATAATGTTCCCCCTACTGGGATACCATGAAGGTGACATTCATTTGTGAAACTTAAACTCATAAGTACACCCCAGAGCAGAGCTGTAGCAGAGATAAGCCAGGCTTTGGGTTCCAGGGAATTTCCTGTAAATTAGTTTACATTTACAGGTAAATATGGAGTGCCATCACATCCCAGCATTTTGAGGCTATTTTCTTTTCTTTTTACGGAGTCCTGCTCTGTCGCCCAGGCTGGAGTGCAGTGGTGTGATCTCGGCTCACTGCAAGCTCTGCCTCCCAGGTTCATGCCATTCTCCTGCCTCAGCCTCCCGAGTAGCTGGGACTACAGACACCCGCCACCACTCCTGGCTAATTTTTTTGTATTTTTAGTAGAGATGGGGTTTCACCATGTTAGCCAGAATGGTCTCTATCTCCTGACTTCTTGATCCGCCCGCCTCAGCCTCCCAAAGTGCTGGGATTACAGGTGTGAGCCACCGCGCCCAGCCTGAGGCTATTTTCTTATGTTAGCCAGGATGGTCTCGATCTCCTGACCTCTTGATCTGCCCGCCTCGGCCTCCCAAAGTGCTGGGATTACAGGTGTGAGCCACCGCGCCCAGCCTGAGGCTATTTTCTTATGTATTGTAGAAAGAGAAAATGGCTGATGTAATATCGTTTTCATAATTTTTTTGAGTATTTCTTTTTGTGAATGCTAAACAGGTATTTGAAAAAAATGTCTCTCAATTTGTTGGATATAACATTTATTAAAGTTGATTAATTGTGTCACTCAAATCCTCTATTATTTTCATTATGACTTTTGTCACTTGATCCACAGATTTCTGAGACAGGTCTATTAAAGCTTTCATCCATAGCCATAGATTTGTTCATTTCTCCTTTGTTTGTATCAGTGTTTACTTTACATATTTTGAAGCTGGGTTGTTAGGTGCCTAAAGAATCGTGGAAATTGTATGTGTTTGGAAGATTATAATTTTCACCAATATATCTCCTTCTTTATTTGTTTGTTTTTTTCTTTTTTTGGCTGGAGTGCAGTGGTGCAATCTCGGCTCACTGCAACCTCTGCTTCCCAAGCTCAAGCGATCCTTCCACCTCAGCCTCCCAAGTAGCTGGGACTACAGGCGTGTATTTTCAGTAGAGATGGGGTTTCACCATGTTGGCCAGGCTGGTCTTGAACTCCTGACCTCAAGAGATCCACCCACCCCAGCCTCCCAAAGTGCTGGGATTACAGGCTTGAGCCACCATGCCCAGCCTTTCTTTGTTTCTTTTAATGCTTTTTGTCTTTGGATTTCATTTTGTCTGATACTAATATACTTCCTTTCTTTTTGTTATTATTTGCTTGATATATTTCCCCCATCTGTTCATATTCAAAATGATCTTGTCAGTTTCAGTACATCTCTGTAAAAATCATATGTATAGAAGGATGCCCTTTAATGGGGAATTTTCTCTTTTCTCATGTATTATTAATGATATCTTTAGACTTGTCCTGTCATTTTATTTTATGCTTCCTCTTCACCTTGTTTTCTTCTTATCTTTTTTCCTCTCTTTCCCTGCTTTTTGTTAGACTGATCTTTGCCCCCTTCCCCATCTTTTTAACTTGCTCTATTGATCTGGAAGTTGATTTTCCAATTCTCCATCTTCTGCTGATTACCTTTAAATTTGAATCCTGCTTTTTTTTTTTTCTTCCATACCCTCTGAGGCAGATGAATCCTTTAACTTCTAGTTTTCTATAAATGACTAGAGCTGATCAGGAACTTTTTCTCCCGTAGCATTATTTAACTTTCCTCCTTCTCCTCCCCCACCTGCCACCTCCCAAGTTGAGATCATCTGGGTAGATTATTGCTCCAAATTGTTGTTTTTAAAATGTTTACATTATGCCTCAATAATTACTCAGACTTCACTAAAAGTTTTACTCGTTTCTTTGTTCACCACAGTTTCGGCATCCCACGTCTTCCTCTTTCCTGAATTCACTATTTTTCTATTGAAGCACCTCCTCTGGAAATTCTTTAAGGAATACGAGGGTGGCAAACTTTCTTCTTGTAAAACAAAAAAAAAAATCTTAATTTTTTCCTCCCACTTGAATACTTCATTTCCCTTCAGGGCCTTGAAGATAATATTTCATTGTCTTTTAACATCCAGTCTGATGCCAATTTAATATTATTCTATTGAAGACCTGCTTTTTTTCTCTCCAGAAGCTTCTAGGATTTTTTTTCTTTATTTTTGTTGTTATGAAGTTTTACTATAATATGTCTAGGTGTGAGTCTTTTTCCCTGGGAGAGGTCAAGCTAATGATTAACTTCTTTCTTCAGCAATTGGGAAATTTTCTTTTGTTAGTTCTTTAATTATTTTCCCTCTTCTATTCTCTGAAGCTCTAGCTTTCTGTAATGCCTATCCCACAGATGGTTCTTAATTTTTTCTCTCAGACTTTCCATCTTTTTATCTTTTTTAATGTGCTTAAGGAGACTTTCTCAGGACAGTCTTCCTGATCATTAAACCTATCTAGACCATCTACTGAGTTTTGAATTTCAATGATCAATTTTTAAATTTCTTAGACTCCTGATTGATTCTTTTAAATGGATTTAATATTATTTTGCATCTCTTGAAGATAACAATTATACATCAACCAAACTGGTTTCTGTTTTTGTTTGCTCTATTATCTCTGTTACTTTGGGCATTAACTCTTCCATATGTTAAGTTTAGAGCTATGCTATCCAATACAGTAGAGCCTTGCTGCTTAAATTTAATTAAAACTAAATTAAAAATTCAGTTTTTCAGTTGCGGATGCCACACTTCAAGTGCTCAATAGCCACATGTGGTATGTGGCTACATATTGGACAGCTCAAATATAGAACATTTCCATCACTGCAGAAAGTTCTATTGGATAATATTGGCTTGGGGCTACTCCCTGTCATGGTTATATTTTTCATTAAATTTTTGGTGATTATTGATGTTCTGCTCATCCTTAATTTGCCAGCTTTCTGTTCACTGTAGCCTGTCTCTGTTACGGGGAGTGGGAGAGAGGTGAGTGGCCTGCTGACAGTCTTTCTCCTGGCTGAGGGCTCCCTATTCCTCTCCCAGAGTGTCAGTAGCTACTTGGAGTATTGCTTACCTCTCTAGCCCAGCACCTTGGGGCAAATCCACTGCTGCTAGCTGTTGAGCACTGGTGTTCAGGAATATCCCTGGGACCTCCTCTGGTTTCTTTGAGTCTGTTGACTCAGGCTTGGAGTCCCCCAAACCACTCTTTTCTCCATAGCAGTCTTCTCCTGCATGTTTTAGCTGTGGTTTCCTTCAGTTTTATTTCTTTATAGCTTTTTTTTTTTTTCTCCTGAGACAGAATCTTGCTCTGTCGCCCAGGCTGGAGTGCAGTGGCATGTTCTTGGCTCACTGCAACCTCCACCCGCATTCAAGCGATTCTCCTGCCTCAGCCTCCTGAGTAGCTGGGATTATAGGCGCACGCCACCATACCTGGCTAATTTTTTTTGTATTTTTAGTAGAGACGAGGTTTTGCCATGTTGGCCAGGCTGGTCTTGAACTCCTGACCTCAAGTGATCTGCCTGCCTCGGCCTCCCAAAGTGCTGGGATTAAAGGCGTGAGCCACCGCGCCCGGCCTCTTTATAGCTTTGATGCCATTTATCTTTCTCTCTCACAGATCCAACATTTCTGATCTGCTGATGGTTCTCTGTTTTATCACACGATATTGGATTTACTATTTTATTTGTTCCAAGAGTTTTTCTGTCATTTTGTGTATTGTAGCAGGAGAGACGGTCTTTTGCCAGCTTGACCCAAACTGCAACAATGCCTTTGTATTAGCATCACTCTGCTCCTTGTACACACATTTAACAACTAATGGTTGAAAACCTTGCAATTCTCAAATTCAGACAGGTGCTAGGCTGGCTAAATTAGAATCACCTGATAATCCATGGACCCACTCCTGGGGGCTTTGAATGCACAGCTCGGCTTGGGAATCACTGGCCCACTAAGTGGGATGAGCAGGAAAGAGAATCATGTACCCAAGACAGACCACTTTCTTTGCAGGATAGTTTGTGGCCAATGCTCGAATGCCCAGGATCTCCAGTAGCCAGGTCACTGTTTATGTCAGTGAATGGGACAGCGGGTGAGTGTGGAGATGCGGAATTTAGGGACTTCTTTCCCTCAGGACTAATAGAGGATGAGAAATTGCAAAGCCCAGTGGATAGAACTCAAGGACAAGGGAGATACAAAAAGTACAATTGAATGGAATTGAGATGAATGATTGCTGCAGGCCTCTCTCCCTCCCACAATGATATCAACTCTGCAAACCCCAGAGATCAAAATGCAGCCAGAAAATTTCCCCATCTAGAGATTTTTAAAAAAACTTTAATTGCTATCCTACTGAGGGGCCAACTCCAGCTTTGAGGAGATATATTTACTGGTTAGATTTTCAGTAATGATTATTATTGTTACTGTTAAGAAGAATACACTCATTGTCTCCAGTGAGCTCACTGTGCTGCACAAACATGACCTCATTTCTCCTCTGAATGGGGCAGGTATTGTTAACTCTGTTTTCCAAAAGAAGGACATGGAGGTCCACTGCAGTCCAACGCCTTGAGCAAGGCCACACATCAAGAGAGGGAGGGATGATGGAACCAGGCCCTGGACCTCTCCCATTTGGGTCCCAGGGCTCTTTGCAGAGATCTAGGTTCATGTGTCCGGTCAGTCCCTTGACTTCACTTAGGATCACAGAGCTGGTTCTGGGGATCCGAGGGGATCAGAGAAGTCAAGATCACCAACATCAGATACCAGGGGAGGAATAATCATCACCTTTCAGTGGCTCAGCCAATTCCATACTCCAGTCTCAGCAATCAAACCCTCCCTGGTTTGGCCCTGGTTTTGCTAGGCTCTAGCCTAACTGATTTCCCTCCCTACTTCCTCAACAACTTAGGGGACTCAACTACTTCACCCCCTTGGATCCACTCAGACTGAGAATCATATTCACATCAGACTTGTTCTTCTGCCCCATGACAAGTTCCTGCTGCCTGGATGTCACTTGGGTTAATTGCAGCACATTTTGGCCACTGTGAAATTCTTTAGGCCCCTGCTTCTGCCATCCCCTAAATTCTGTCCCAGATTACCCTCCCCACCTCCTACCCAAGCTTCAAGCCTCAGCATGCCCAGGAAACCTTCCCTTAACCTTCCAGAAGAGTCCCTCTCCCTCTCTGAACTCCTGCCACCCTTATTCATTCATTCCACAGGTAATCACCGAGGACCTACCATGTGGCAGGCAGTACAGGAGATGATGAGGACACGATAGTGAACAAGCCAGACATGGTCCCTGCTCTGATGGAGCTTACGTTCTAGTTGGGGAGAAGGGAAAAACAAAAGTAAATAATTCAGTAAGTTAAATATTTACAAGTTGTCATAAGCTAATATGAAAAGACCTCCCTAGGCCGGGCACGGTGGCTCATGCCTGTAATCCCAGCACTTTGGGAGGCTGAGGCGGGTGGATTACCTGAGATCAGGAGTTCAAGACCAGCCCGGCCAACATGGTGAAACCCTGTCTCTACTAAAAAATACAAAAATTAGCCGGGCATGGTGGCAAGCGCTTGTAATCCCAGCTACTCAGGAGGCTGAATCAGGAGAATTGCTTGAAACCAGGAGGCAGAGGTTGCAGTGAGCCGAGATCACGCCATTGTACTCCAGCCTGGGCGACAAGAGTTAAACTCCATCTCAAAAAAGCGAAAAGAAAAGGCCTCCCAGTAAAATCCAAAGAAATTAGGGCCTCTGAAACTTACTCTAAATCTGCCCATATCTCTCCATCTTCCACCCTGTCCAAGAAAGAGCTTGGTTTATCGAGGTATGTCAAAAAGGGTTATATGTGGCTAAAGGGTGATGGTAGATGACAGCAGAGGGGTACAAGGTGGGGCAGGAGAGGGAGGCAAGGCTGGACTACACAAGGCCTTGAAGGCTGGGCCAAACGGCGGATTTCATGCTCAGAACAATGAGAAGACATGGTAGGATTTTTGACCAGGGAGTAACATGGGCTGACTTACACTTTATGATGGAGATTCTCAGTGGGGCAGGGGGAAGTGAAGATAGGGGGTATGATTTCACTCCCCTCCCCCAGGGGACATGTGTCAATGTCTGTAGACATT
The DNA here is from genome assembly GCF_000001405.40 of Homo sapiens. NCBI lineage: Eukaryota > Metazoa > Chordata > Mammalia > Primates > Hominidae > Homo > Homo sapiens. The sequence continues at coordinate 35,201,682 of NC_000006.12, forward strand.
TTTGGCTGTCGCAACGTGGGGAGGGAGTGCTGCTGCTGGCACCTAGTGGGTAGAGGCCAGGGATGCTGCTAAATGTGCTACAATGCATAGGATGGCCCCCCAACAAACGTCAATCACGTTGAGGTTGTATGGCCCAGCTTTAAAACGACTCTGGCTGCCATATGAAGGATAGATTCTCAGCCCCCAAGAGTGGAATTAGGGAGAACACCTGGAAAGCCATTTAAATCAACTTCATATAGCTATAGTATTGACCCACCTGAACCTTTCTCCCAAACCTTAACCTCCCTGATCTGGGGTCTCTGTTTTCTGTTGAGTGACAGCCAGTCAGCCAACCAGCCCAAGTCACCCTGCAAGAAGCCCCTTTGCATTTTAACAGGGACCTTCTGGAGACAATGCTTTAACCCAAAAGAACAGTCAGGCTGGCTGAGCAGCAGGGGGAGTCATGCCAAGGTATCACTGTGCAGAAGCCACCTGCTGTATGGGAGAGGATGAGGGTTTAGAGACCAACTCCAAGCACGCCCTTTTCCTCCATAGTCATAGTCAGCCCCTGTCATGCTAGCTGCTGCCAACTCGGCGCTCTCCTCCCTGACCCTGAGAATGCCAGGCCTGTACGGGCTGCAGAGGATCTGGACACTGAAAGCATGTGATGCCCTGCACTTACTGCGAGTTTATGAGTATTTACACCAGCATGTAAACCTATCATTTACAGCCTCGGCATGTAAATCAACATAGAGTTCAAGGGCTCTCCTTTTGACTCCTCCCCACCAACTTGAGGTTGGTTTTAAGATTTGGGAAGCACATGATTGAGCTGTGGTGACAATGGGAGGTCTGTGGATAAGGAACTCAAGGAGGAGGGGAAGGTCCCTCCTTAGAGGCAGGACTGGCCAAGCAGATGGTGAAGGAAGGAGAGTTTGTCTTCTGTGCCCCAGTTACGGCCCACTCTTCTACTAACACAGAGGTTGTTAACCTTTTGAGAGAGAGAGAGTTTGTGTGTGTGTGTGTGTACGTGTTGGGGTAGGGGGTGGGGGGACGGTTATGGAAATTTTGAAGAAAGCTATAGAAAACCTCTCTCTGGAAGAATGGATAATGTGGACAAAAGTTTGTATACAATTTAGGAGACTCCCAAATCCCCTTAAAGTGACAATATGAACTAATTCACACCAAAGTATAAGTGACTAACAATGTTCAGTTTATTTCCATTTAAATGGGGGAGGAAAGCCCTTAAATCGAGCTGGAGCTCTTACTAGGGAACTTCTCTAAATCAGTGGGTTGAGATACATTCTAAAGAGGCTGGAAAAGCATCTCCTAACTTCTGAAATCTCTGCATACTCCTATTGTACCTACATATAAAACTGAGTTTGGATATAGGGAAGCAACAGAGGGAGGAAGGGCGGCAGCATGTTTTTAGGCTAATTTAGACTCAAAAGGTCATCTGAAACTCCACCCAATGGGTTTTGTTGGGACTTGGGTACTAGATATTCCTGGTCAGCCAAAGTGTCTGATCTTGTTAATGGGCCAGTAAAAATTAGGGGGACAAAGGCCAAGCACTGGCTACTCAAATGAATCTCCTCTGCAAAAGCCGAGCAAGCAAGAGCAACTCGTAATGAGTTGTAACCAAGCAAACAGAGGAATCATTGTGTTTCATTAACTTTAATAGAACTTGTTAGGTTGGCTTCCAAGGGCTGTGGGACGGGAGAGAAAGCCAGACTCATCATCGGGGCTGGGGAGAAGGCTGGCTCTCGTGGACTGCCCCTGCGTTCCCCAGCACCAATCTGGAAGCAGCTGCTCTTGCTACCCCCATGGGCTCCCCAGCCCAGCACGACATCCTGGCTACACAGGCAAGGAGCCCAGGCCTCAAGGACTAATTCTTTCTTGCCAGGGTGGGGAAAGACAGAGACAAAGAGCTTAGGGCAAACCATCTCCAGGCTTGGGAAGGCCACCTGGCTCTGGGCACCTACAAAAAGGCCCCCTTCCAGGGACATCAAAAGTTCAGCTCCAATGCCCATAAGCCCCCACTAAAGGGGGGCTCTGGGCAGCCCAGAGCCCAGCCCAAGGACCACTATCAATGCCAGCCACAACCCTGTCTCCCTCTTCCTTCACCCCAGATCTGTCCAATACCAGAAAAATGAAAAACAAACAAACAGGGCCAGCAGAAAACACATCACCAAACAAACTCGCCTCACATTGTCCTCTGTGGTTGGCCAGGGCAAGAAGCCAGAGGTCGTTTGCCTGGAAAAGCCCAAGTAGCTCCTTAAGCTTGGCCCCTGAACAGTTCAGGGTTTGCCTTGTCTCCTCCAGGGCTGCCTCCTTCTCTTTCTCTCTCTTCCTTCTCCATCTCTCTTTTCCTTCTGTCCATTATTTCCCTCCCTGTCACTTCTTTTTTGTTTGTTTGTTTGTTTGAAACGGAGTCTTGCTCTGTCACCCAGGCTGGAGTACAGTGGCCAAATCTCGGCTCACTGCAAGCTCCGCCTCCTGGGGTTCACACCATTCTCCTGCCTCAGCCTCCCGAGTAGCTGGGACTCCAGGCATCCGCCACCACACCCAGCTAATTTTTTGTATTTTTAGTAGAGATGGGGTTTCACTGTGTTAGTCAGGATGGTCTTGATCTCCTGACCTCGTCATCCGCCTGCCTCAGGCTCCCAGAGTGCTGGGATTACAGGTGTGAGCCACCATGCCCAGCCCACTTCTTTTTATGTCCTCTTTTCCCCGTTTTTCTTTCTGTTCTCTTCCTGCATTCATGATGAAATAAATTCACTAAAAATCAACACATTGAAGAAATCCTGGAGCACACATAAAGCTAATTCATGAAGTGAGCCCGCCATGCTGCTACTTTGCTGTAAAGTTGCCGGGTTCCCGGAGCCTATGCAACACTGTCAGTCGCTTAGCATCTGATGGAAACAGGCTCTTCATTGTCTAGCCCCATCCCACCTTTCAGATCTTCCTCCACACTCTCTGAAATACTTGTCTCTGATTGAACCAATTATTAATTCCCTGAAGACATTCTCCTCTCCAAGTCTTTGCTCATGTTGTTCCTGCCACCTGGAAAGCCCTCACTCTCTTCACCCAACTCCATGTATGAGAATTCTATATATTCTTTGAGGTCAGCTTTAAACCCTTTCCTCCTCCACTGAGTTGTCCTCCTGCTTCCAGCTGGAATTAATCTGTGCTCTTTATGCCCTCATTAGAATTTTATGTTGGCACCTCCATGTTTGGACATTTACCACATTCTGCCTTATATTCCAATTATTTAGATGTGAATTTCTCTTGCCAAATCATAAACTTAAAAGGAGAAACCATGTCATCTTTGAATCCCCACATCCTTTAAGTCCCTGGTACATAGTAAGTGCACAATAAATGTCAAACATCAAACATTGAGTCTGTGGTTATATAGAAATACACATACAATTAGTTCCACATCTTAACTTCACCAATGTGGGCCTATTTCAAATACAATAATTTTATTTGCAAATTTGTTTGAGGCAGTGGGTTCCCTGAGTAGACTCCCAGAGGTCTGGCTTCAGGACTTCACCAAGGGCTGAAGGATGGTATGTTAGATGGCGGCACCTACTGGTAAAGGGTGGCATTACAGCTTGGATCTACCAAAGAGAAGCCACCAAATTTCTCAATCAATCCCAGCAGCATTGGACCGGGGACTGGGGACAGAGGGTAAAGACAGAAGAGCTCCTTCCGGGCTGGGTGCGGTGGCTTACACCTGTAATCCCAGCACTTTGGGAGGCCGAGGCAGGTGGATCACTTGAGGTCAGGAGTTCAAGACCAGCCTGACCAACATGGAGAAACCCTGTCTCTACTAAAAATACAAAATTAGCCGGGTGTGGTGGCGCATGCCTGTAATCCCAGCTACTTGGGAGGCTGAGGCAGGAGAATCACTTGAACCTGGGAGGCAGAGGTTGCGGTGAGCTGAGATCGCAGCATTGCACCCCAGCCTGGACAACAAGAGCGAAATTCCGTCTCAAAAAAAAAAAAAAAAGAATGAGCTCCTCTCCCTCCTCAGTAGCCCTTAAGCTGATCAAGAGGTGGAACATCACTGAGTCTGGGTCAGGGGCCCAGGGAAGCCCGTTCTTCTTCAACATACTGCAACTTCCTACAGACTAGATTTTGCAGGACCAGAGCAGGGCACCAAGGAATGTCAGCCTGACTGTGATGTCCCTCAGCTTTGCCAAGTCAGCTCAGAAGTGGAGACGTGGCATGACGAAAAGAGAGCCTCTTGCTGCAAAAGGGAGGCAAAATTCTGTAAGGATATCAACACTCAGCAGAAGCACATAGCTGGCAAACATTCCGACGATCCTTCCTTATTGCAGGTTTTCAGCTTCTCCTAGAATGATTTTCAGCCCAATGGGAGCCCTTCTATGGAAATGTAATAGAAGCTATTGGGCAACTGAGCTTTGTTTTACAACAATTTGCTTTATGGTCTACTTGAAGTTGGTTCATGGATAAATTGAACTTTGCCCCAATACTTCCACCTATCCTTTCCTTAATCCAGGATATCCATAGGAGTGGTATTGGTAGATGAAGTGGTCCTTCTCCACCTCTCCATCTTTTCCTCTGAGGAGGGAACCCAGTGGAGATCTAGGAGAGGATAGCCATAAAGAATAGGGTAGGGGGAGGGAAAGCAAGCCACCTCTTAGCAAAATTAGGAAGTTCCTTATGAGTGTTCCTACAGCCCCCTCCTCTGACACTCACAACACATTTTTTAGGGTGTCAACTGATAACTAAAGTTTTAACTGGCAAAGGCCGTCACCCTCTCTCACAGGAATATTTGTATTTAGGGCCAAAGAACATAAGGTTTAGCTCAAAGGAGTGATTCTCCAATAATGGAATGTTAAGCATCAGTCAGAAAGATCTTTGATGAGGTGGCAGAGAATCCCCCAGGGACTTTCAAGTGGCCTCACCTAGGGTTCTCCTTCCTGGACTTGCCTCCCAGAGTTCATATGAGAGCTGCCTATAGACCCCTTTCATCTGTTCTGGCCCCAGACCTCTGACCACTCAGGCTGCTTCTTGACCAGTCTCCTACCTCTGGCTGCTTTATCTAGGCTGCCATTACCCAGTTCTTCAGACCTTTGGGGATATCCTGAGCTCTGGCTTGGAAGGTTCCAGATACGCATCTGTGTCTTCCAGACCCTGAAAGTCTCTAGCAGGAGTCCTCTCCTAGGCCCCCTGTGTGTACATGGTCTTTCCTCAGTGGGGTTTTCCACACTGCCCTTCCATTGAACACCCTCTGCTGCCCTAGGTCCTCCAGGAAACCTGAAGCATCCTCAGACGGGTGGGAGGCAGGGAGACGAGGTCAGGGAATGCTTCACTTCTCCTCTGGGGTTTGCGTGAGCTCACCCTTCCTTTATTCTTTCAGCTATTCAGTAAATATTCACTGAACACAACTATCTTCCAGGCATATGCTTAGAGCTGGGGATACAGAGGTGACCCAAATGGGTCTTGCCCTCAAAGGTTTGACAGAACTAGTGGAAGGTAAACAGACCATTAGCGATAGCCAGGGCCATCACTGGGATAGGTTTCAAGGACCACTGAGCTCCAAGTCTGCTGGGGCAGTAAAAAGACTTCCCTGCCAAGGTACCATGGAAGCTGGATCTTTTTATTTTTGTTTTTAACAGGGTCTCATTATGTAGCCCAGGCTAGAGTGCAGTGGTGAGATCACAGCTCACTGAACCTCCAACTCCTGGGCTCAAGCAGTCCTCCTACCTCAACCTCTGAGTAGCTAGGACTACAGGTGTACATCACCACTTCAGCTAATTTTTGAATTTTTTTGTAGAGACAGGGTTTCATTATGTTGCCTGGGCTGGTCTTGAACTTCTGGCCTCAAGTCATCCTCCTGCCTCAACCTCCCAAAATACTGGGATTAAAGGCATGAGCCACTACAAGATTTTAAAGGGCAGTAGTTCTCCAGCTGACAAGAACATGGTGCGTGCCAGGCATGGTGTAGCTAGGGTGTAGTGATGGTGAAGTTAGAAGACAAGCATGAAATGTCATTGGAAATAAAGGCTCAGGACTGGCACAGAAGGCCACGTACACTGTGCCAAGCAGCCAGAACTTAGCTCTGTCAGGCAGTGGCCCACAGGAGACACAAGAAGTACCTGAACTGTGGCAGCAGCAAGGGGGATCAGGAGGAGGACTGTCCTTAGGACTCTGAGGAGTCCAAATGGGGCCACTGAGTAGGTTTTGAGCTATTAACCTCAAGATGGAGATCACGGGAAGAGGACAGGTCAGGGGAGGATGTTGTGAGGAATGAGTTCAGCTGGGGGTAGGTTCAGCTTCAGGTCTTGAAAAATATCATCGGAAGTATCTATAAGTAGGTGGAAATATAGGACTAGATAGGAAGCAGAGAAGGGAGCTAGAGCTATAGATCTGCAAATTGAATATGCGGAATTAGAGCTAGGAGAAAAGTGGGGTTAGGGATATAGATTTGGTGGTCACTGGCATATTGGTGGTGCCTGGAGCCATAATGCCCCACTACGTGCTGTCCGCCTATTTCGTGAGGGACCTTCCACACAAGTCATCATCAGTAACACTCCAAACATCAGTAACAGAAGTTTATCCTCCCTATTTTCCAGATGAGGATGATAAAGCTCAAAGAGGTGAAGAAACTTGCCCAAGCTCACCCATTGACGTGGCTGGGATTTAAACTTGGGACTATTTGACCACAAAGCCAATGTTCTTTCCTTCACCCTTGCTGTCCCTCAGAGAGTCCCCTAGGGAGGTCATGTAGAGTGAGAAGTGAAAAAAGCCAAGCTAGAAGCCCAAACTCTCCAGCATGTAAGAGGCCAGCAGAGAGAAAGCAGCCAGCAGGAGATGCAGGAGAAGAAAGTGCTCCAAGAAGCGGAAGAAGAATGTTCAGAGGTTTTGGATGAGGCAGAGATGTCAGGCTAGATAAGGACCGGCAAACAGCCCTGGATATGAAGACGTGGAAGTCGCTGGAGACTTTGGGGGAGGGGTGGCAGAGGGAGTCTGGGACAGAATGCATTAGGGCCAGGGATGAAAGGGAAGCAGTGTCATGGAGACCTAGGGCAGAGAAGTTGGGAGCCTGGAAGGACAAGAGGCAGCAGGGTCTGGGTTACTTCCCTGTTGCTACTATAGGATGCTGCAGATCTTATTGTGTTTACAGGGGGAGCTGAGGTGAGACATTCAGGCAAAAGAGGGGATAACTGACAGAGCCAGCTCCCTGAAGTGGCAAGAGGGGATGAGATCCAGGTACATGTACATGGTATTAGGTTTGGCCAAAAGGATGGACCCCTCTCCCAGCAGTGGAGAGAGAAGGGAGCAGGCGATAGGAGGCTCACGTTAGATGGCTCCTGGCTTTTTGGAGAAACAGGAATTGAGGATGCTGATTGGAGAAGTATGGGGGCTGGGGTTGGCAGAAGGGAAACAAGTTTGGGAGGGCAGCTGTGTGGAAGTGGACAGGGTGCAGGCCTGGGGTGGCTGGAGATTTGCCTTGTGATGTGCAGGGGTCTGGAACCACACATCGGTGATGATGCCAGTTGGCAGGGTAGAGATTTTTGTTTCCTTAGTGAAAGCAGCTGGGGCACAGGTGGAGAGGAAGCAGGTGGCAAGGTAACTCAGGAGTGGATGTGGGCAGAGAGGAGGGGTGGGAGGAAACTGGGGTGAAGGGCCAAGGGAGCTAAACTGGAGGTGGCCTAAGTGTCTGGAGGAGAGGCTGGAACAGGTGTGGGCAGCTTGGATTGGGTTCCCTCTGCCCCATGTCTTGGCAGGGCTGCCTGTGGACCTCTCTGTAAAGCCAACACTAAGGGCCTGGGAACAAGGTACTCCTAAAATCCCAGCGCTGGGAAACAGACTTTGAGAGAGGGTTACTTCCAAGCCTCTGCCTATATGGCAAAATGACTCCTGAGCTACCCTGAAGGAGTGCAAAGCAAGGACAGAGTCAGCCTGTCCACCAGCCTAGTAAGATCCCCTCCCTCTGATTAGGGTGTGAGTGGCAAAAGTGTATCAAGTCTCTGTGAATTCAGAGGAGGCAGTGTAGACAGCTGAGGAGGTATACAAGCTTCAGAGTCAGGCCTGGCCCCAAGTCCTGGCTTTCTTCTTTCTTAGTCTGTCATCCTGGGTAAGTTAATCTACCTGAGCCTCAGTTTTCCCACCAATAAAATGGGGATAACAATTCCTGCCTTACAGGCTCGTGATGGAGTGCCTGGTATAGTGCCTGGAACATAGAAAGCACTTGGTAAATGGTAGCTATGAGCTCTAATTTGTGTCTCGGGGTGTCTATGTCTTCTTAAGGTAGAGTAGGAGGTGCAAGACAGTAGGGATGGAGAGACTCCAGAGCTACCTAGTGGGCAAGTGAATATTCTTCTAACTGCATAATGTATAAGTGCTGATGACAAGGGCAGTGTGCTGGAATGCATGGAATTTTTGGAACCTTCTCAGTAGGTATGTATGACAGACAGGAACCTGTTGGGGGTGGTGAGAATCTAGCCCAGTTGGCTGTGCTCACACCCAGTGGCATCAAAGCCTAATCTGGGACAAGGCTGCTTCTTCCCACCAGCCACTACTATACCTTTGTTATCAAACCCTTGGGCTTTTTTATTTTTATTTTTTTTTTGAGCTCTGTCGCACAGGTCAGAGCAGTGGCACAATCTCGGCTCACTGCAACCTCCAACTCCCAGGTTCAAGTGATTCTCCTGCCTCAGCCTCCCAAGTGGGTGGGATTACAGGCGTGCACCACCACACCTGGCTAATTTTTGTATTTTTAGTAGAGACAGGGTTTCACCATGTTGGTCAGGCTGGTCTCAAACTCCTGACCTCAAGTGATCTGCCCACCTTGGCCTCCCAAAGTGCTTGGATTACAGGTGTGAGCCACTGCAGCTGGCCCCAAACACTTGGGCTTTTGTTCTTCTGAGAAGTAGTGGAAAGAACAACAATAGCCTCTACCTATTAAATGCCTACATGTGCCAGTGCCAGGTGTTTTCTATATATTATCTCATTTAATTAACACCAATAACCCTACGAGGTTTTTATCCCCTATGTCAGATGAGAAAACTGAAACTCCCTGAGATTGAGTAATTTCCCTGAAGTCACAGAGGTAGAAAGCACCAGAGCTGAGATTTGAATTGCAGGTTTGTTTAGAGCCCACACAGACACTGATGGACGGACACTTTTGAGGTCATATAACCATATCTATTTTCCAGGTGAGGAAGCTGAGGCTCAGAAAAGTGAAACAACTCACCAAGAAAAATAGATGGCTGGGAAATGGTAGGGCCTAACAATGATCTCAGGGCAATCTACTTCCAGCTTGTATGTGCTCTCCATTAGACTATATGGCACTGCCCATCGAGGTAGGGTCATTGGACTCATTTTATATATAGGGAAACTGAGGAGCAGAAAGAAAAAGCAACGCTCATGGAAGGAGACTTTGCAGGGGAGGGGAAACCCCTGAGCCTGGTGGGCCCTGGCAGAAGGATCCCTAAACAGGACTGAACCAAGATCTATCAGCTAGGGGATCCCTGACCCCTGCCAGTCTTCTCCTCAGACATTTTCAGGAGCAAGTAGAATGAAACAAATGTCAGAAGCATCCCTGAAGGAAAATGAAGCCCCAAAGCAAACTGCAACCTTAGAGGTGCGTGTAGGAGGCCCAGAGCCCACTGGACATTTTGCCCCTGCTGGTTATGATATGGCACGTGCTGCTGCTGCTTTTGTAGTACCACTTGCAAGTGCCATCTTGTTGTTCCTTCCCTGTCATCTTCCTGAGTTACTGTCCAACTGAGTCCCTGCAGAAGAGGACAGGGCAAAAGGCAATATGAATTGGACCAGCACCTCAATTCACAGTGTCCTGGTGATATAAGCCCTGCTTCTACT